>NC_000017.11:16248686-16551717 GCF_000001405.40 Homo sapiens | reverse complement strand
ATGGATATAACCTATTTAGATTTAATGTGAAATTTAAGAAGGAAACTTGACTTCTTAACCTTAATTTGATATGATTTTAATTCATTACAGAAAGAAACCCTGTGAAGGGTATTCAAAAACATAACTCATCAACTCTCTATTTCAAGTACACTTATCCTTTGGTATACTCGGGGGATTGGTTCCAGGACCACCCATGTATACGAAAATCTACCCATACTCAAGTTGCACGGTCAGCCTGGTGGAACCTGTGTATATGAAAAGCCCTACATCTATGCAGGTTTCCCATCCCTGAATAATGTGCTTTCAAACTCTGTTCAGTTGAAAAAAAAAATTCCAGTATAAATGGATCTGTACAGTTCAAATGTGTTGTTCAAGGGTCAACTGTACATCCTAATGAGGCCTTATGAGTGTAACTTAGGAAGGTGTCCATCAAATAGAGATTTCACACTAGAGAGTGATCTTAAAATTACAGAAAAGAGTAAGCTGCTTTCAGGCCTTTTATTCCCAGCTTTGAAGCCTTAAAATATGTAAAGGACTCCCTTCCCTGTTTTACTTCCCCTTCTCCTGTTATGCCATAACTGCCATATGGAGCCAGTAGGTTTGAAAAAAAAACAGTTGGAAGTATCTTAAAGATTTCTATGTGACCACTGGTTACACCTTCCCTCAGATATGGAAATATTAAAGAGAAGCTTAATGAAAGATATGTTATGATAGAAACTAATGTGTATATAACATTAGATGTGTAGAGATTTAGTTAAACAGGCAAAAATTAAATGCCTCAAGCTTAAATGAATTTTCAATACACATTAGCCTTGATTTCACTAGGTTTTGACATTCAAGGTCATCCTGAAGGAAAAAAGTAGGTATAAAGTATACAGTTCCCATTTTTTTCACCTGACTCCTAAATTTATACTTTAGGTTTCTCTGTGACTGTTTTACTATGGAAAGTTCATTTCTTCCACTGAAACACGTTTCTTGAGTGTCTACTATGCTCAGGTCCCAAACTTCCTAATTGGATCCTCTCAAGCTTGTTACAGTGCTGAAAATCACAGGTGGTTTACACAACAGAAAGATTTCTAGAGTGATGAGAAAGTGAGGATGTGATATTTTGTCATGGGTTGAGCATAAGCAACCTGCTAAAATGGGTTGCCAAATGCTACCTATATCCCAAGAGAAGGAAGTGGAAGTGATAGTGTAGCTATATAAATAATGTGAGAAAAAAATGGAAAATAGATCTGAATTCACTGCAGAATGTGGGTCGGGGAAAAGGTGAAATTTTAGTGGAGTGAGGAAAACATACATAGATAATTGCTATAACATGAAATGTAATTGGACTTGCTTTGCCTATGAAATGAGAGTGGCTAAATAAAAAAGAATTCAGCCTGGTTATTAGAAGAAACTAAAAACAAAATGACCGATTTTTAAAGAATAATTGGAAGCCTGACACTCCTTCATACATACAAGTAAAACAGAGATTACTCTTAACATGTCAGGAAAAAATTTAATTGGAAAAAGCATTGATGCAGTAATCATTAAACAATGATAACTGGGTTTGTGGGTCTCAAAAGGAAAACTGGCAGAAATGCAAATAGAAATAGATAAAAATACTATTGTATTTCATATTTACAGCATTCCACTACCAGAATATAAGGCCATATTCTGAGAACTGAGATTTCATTGTGCTCTTACTTGTTTCTCCAGTCCCTTGCATAATAGTGCATGGTCAATACATGGTTGAATTAATGAATAAATTATATAAATTAGATTTCAGTAATAAAGTAGAATTGACTGGCATGGAGTGAAAATTGGTATAACGAAAAATATTTTTGTGCATATATCAAAGAAATGTTCAACAAATAACATTTACTTGGGAACTGCTTAAAAATCGTGAATCAGGTTTCCTGGGACATCTTTGTACAGGAAGTTTTCCTGAGCTAAATGAGGGGAAATTGGTATCAATTCTGGTGCTATAAATATCAATTTAAGCATGTATTAACCATGCAACTTCCTTTGGACATTACTGTTTATAAAACCATCCTACAAACAGGTACTGAAGGAAAGACCCAGGATGCTAGTATCCTAAAGGCTATATTATTGAGTGTTTTCTTTAAAAAACTTGATTTCCATTTCCCTTACATTAGTTAACCTTGATTTCATAGTATCATCCTGCACAAAGTACAGGTTGCAGAATACTCAAACTGTGCTTATATAGCTGTTTTTTAAAATAACAGTTGTTTGAAAATCTTATTTTTTTGATGCTGCTTCATCCCTCACACAGCACTTATTTCCCTTGGTTGAGCATGTGGCATGTGACAGTCCATAGCGCCTTCCTTTGCATTACTCTGTTATTTCCTGCCTTTGTATGTTTTATGTAAATAATGCATTTATAAAGTCTTCCACTGATAAACAGAGGCAATTGATGCCCTTATAAAATAACAGACTAGTAATAGTGGAGAACCCTAGATCTTTGTGTATTTTTCCCACTTTTACAGTTGTCTGACCCGCAAATTATTCAACAGTTTTTAGCAAATAGCCTTATTTTCCAGAACTTTTTATTATGAGTTTTCAAATATATAGAAAGTTTTAAAAATCATAAAATTAACTATATACCCACCTAAATTTAAAAACTAACATTCTGCCGTATTTTTTTTAACCAAACATTGGAAAGTAACTTACAGACATGACATTTCATCTCTAAATACTTCAGCATGCATCTTACAAAAATAAGGATGGTCTTTTACATAACCACAATACATTTACATACCTTTAAAAAAAAAACAAATAGTAATTCCCTAATATCTGAAGACTTAGTCTGTGTTTAAATTTCCTCTGTTGATCCAGTCAGTTTTCACACATAGTATTTGATTATCTGTTTCATCTATCTAGAACAGTCCCCACTTTGGTTTTTCCTTTTTTTTGAGACGGAGTCTCACTCTGTCACCCAGGCCAGAGTGCAGTGGTGCAATCTCGGCTCACTGCAAGGTCCGCCTCCCAGGTTCACGCCATTCTCCTGCCTCAGCCTCCCGAGTAGCTGGGACTACAGACACCCGCCACCACGCCCGGCTAATTTCTTTGTATTTTTTTAGTAGAGATGGGGTTTCACTGTGTTAGCCAGGCTTGTCTCGATATCCTGACCTCGTGATCCACCCGCCTCAGCCTCCCAAAGTACTGGCATTACAGGCGTGAACCACCGCGCCCGGACAGTTTTTCCTCTTTAAGAGAGCAGGTCAGTTGTCTTGAAAAATGTCTCATGTTCAGGATTCAACTGATTATTTACATGTGGGTTGTTCCGGTACCCCCTGTAGTTTCCATAAATTAGAAGTTAGGGCAAAAGGCTTGATTGGGTTGTTTAAACATTTTTAATGATAACACCTCACAGATGTATTTCATAGTGCATCATATCAAAAGTCTCATTAATATCAGGTTGACTCATTATCAATGGATCACTCATTTGAGGTCACCAGATCTTCCCAATATAAAGGTAGTTTTTCCTATTGCAATTAATCTGTGGACTGACACTGGCAGCACATGGATATTTTGATTGCCAACAACTTTTTACCTGGTAAAAAGTAACCAACGGTGATCGTTGCCTGAATCCATTGTCTCATCAATGTTTGCAAAATGACAATTTTCTAATTCTATCACTCTACACTTGTTGAGTGGCATTCTTGTATAATGTTCCCTCATCAACTAGGAATGCACTAGAGGCACAGTCAGCAATTATTTTACCTTAATTACCAGTGTAGGAGTTTAATTACCAGTAAAGAGTTTGATGCTTTCATCTGCAGTGATAACACATGATTCAATGTGTTAAGTCATTTATGATCATTGTTTCTGATGTTCAGATTGTCCCAAATTTGGCCAGGTGGAGCCCTTCAAGTATCTCTTATGTCCTTTTGACATTCACTCTCTAGTCTTTGGACACTTGATTGCCTTCTAACACAAGATATCTCAAGTTGGCCTTGCATTTTCAATGCCCCAGGCCTGGAATGAAACCTTTTTCCAAGAATCCCTGGCTCCTTTTAATAGGTAGCTATTTAGAAACCAAGATCTGGGCACTAGGGATTCTCACTGCTCCCGGAGTGTCACTGGCAATTCTTTCCAACCATTCAAGTTGGTTTTCATAAAGACAACTCTTCACTCATGCCATCAGTTACCTAATATCTGTGTAATGAGGGATATAATTACATAACTGGGATAAACTTTCGGGTGCAAACAACTAAATCTTGTTAAGCATGCACCTAAATTGGAGAGAACACTTCCATGTTATGTATGCTAGAAAGCAGCAAATTAGCTGCAAAAGGCCTGTGACAATGCCATCAGGAAATTTACAAGGGAATAGAACTTGTCAGTTAATCTGCCAAGTGGGTTAAGTAGAGGGCAATTAAGAAAGCAACTAGATGTATACCTAATACGTTGTGTTTTAACTATTATATGTCTATAACTTACGGTGTTTATAAGCTAATAGCCCTCCTTTCCCATCACATCTCTTAAGGCAGATTTCTGGTAAGATCTAAATATTAATCCTAAGGATCTGTTTCATGCAAATCTAAGTACTAGTTTTTCTTACTAAACCTTTATTTGGTCTCTAAAACTTTAAGGCTGTTATGTTTCATTCTTTGTCTTCTGGTGTCAGTTCACTTGCATGTGCCCGAAAATGTATTCTTACTCCTCTGTTTCTGTTCTCCCCATGGCTCTATCTTTCATAATTATTAGCCCCTTAGAACACTATAACCATTAAAAATGGCAAGCATGTGCACTACAGTGATATGTACAAATGCGTGTGTGTAAACAGCATCGAGCCCTGCACTGTGTATGAATGGGGAAAGTGAAGCCCATGATGCTGAAATGTCATGCTTGAGGCCATATGTCATATAATGACAGAATAAGGATTGGAACCGCATAGCTCCAGCACTTAGTTGAGTTCTTCTTGTAAAATAATGTTAAATGGAAATTCTGAGTACAAAGAGTATGTACCTACAATTTTATAGAATTATGTATTTTTATGAGATTAGAGCACTGAAAGTTTTTTAAATCTGTTTTTGTCTTCTTTCCCATAGAGTTTCTTTTTTGTTGTTTGTTTTGTTTTTTGTTTTAAGGAGCAGAGAGTTTAATAGGCAAGAAGGGGCTAGAAGGAAGGGAGAAGGAAGAAAGAAGCAGCTCACCTGTACAGAGACAGGAGAGGGGGCTCCAAAGCCGAAAGAGAAGGTCCCCACCTGCCACGGATACCAGCTAGGTATATATACAGAGGCTGGAGAAGGCAGTGTTTGATTTGCATAGGGCTCAGGGGATTGGTTTGACTAGGCATGTCTTCAAATAGCCAGAGGAAGAGCTGGCCCTCCCACCCATATGCAAATATGGGGCGCCACGATGTTCTACACACGTAGGGATAGGTGGGGGTGGCCATGTTGCCAGGAACATGTGGGGCAAGGGCAAGAAGGCTGTGGGAATTGACATGTTGGGTGGACCCAGTTTCTAATGGCCTGCATTTGCATATCAAAGGTTGATGGCCTGACTGTAAGAGTCGGGGCTTTACAAGAAACTTTTCTGGAGATGCTTTAAAAAACTAAAACTTCCCAAGGACCCCTTTGCCTCTCTGCCTAAAATAATTTCTTAATAACTCCTACCACATTCCTCCCTGTGGTGATATCACACTATCTGCTGTTAGGGGGTTTTGGGCGACGACTCTTTCTGGCTACTTCCTGCTGAAAAGGGGCGTCAAATGGGGAACAGCAGTGAGGGCTCCTCCTAGGGTCAACTTAAGGGTCCTCGGGAGAATGGCGTGTCCATATGTGGTTCAGTTTGCAGTACCATTTGGAGTTTGACTGCTTTGAGGCGAGAAGAAACAGTTCGAGTTATGGTACTGAGTATACAGGGTCCAAATATCAATACAAGACATATAAGCAGGAGAGGGCTTGATAAAGGGGCTGACCAATTCCATAAAGAAGATTGGAATTCATTAAAGAGGGATTGTAGCCATCCAGGGCTGGAGCCGGCATTTTCCCTGAGCCTGTTAATAATTTTGATTTCATTCTTAAGTACCTGTAGATTTTCCTCTACTAGAGGTGTTAATCATTACTAAACCCAATAAAAAGTGCTAGCAGACTCAGTGATAGTAAAACTTTCATGCTTCCTTTTTGTCAGTAACTATTATCCCTGCTATAAGGATAATAATTGAGCAAAATACAACAGCAATGGAAACTCTGTCCAATATGTCAGTTAGAAGGTGCTACCACGTATAACCCTCTTGCAAATAGCAGAGTGAGTATAGCAACTTCCACAAGTGTGATGTAGTAGATAACTTCCATGTAAAATTTTACTTGCCAAGATACAGAATTTTCCTTTGGTGGTCTATGAAGCCTTGGTTTTATTTTCCCAAACAAAAAAAAAAAAAAACCTGAGTTAATGGGCATCATACTCACTTTCATTAACTGGCAGAATTTGCAGGATAATTGCCCAGAACTAGCATATTGATTCAGATTTTTACATTACCCATCCCTTTTTATTTCTTCCAAACTGTAGGGGATTACCACTTGATTCACAGGAATAAGCAGAGTTAGTATAATATGTAGGCAAAAAGCTTAAAAACAATTGATGAGACTAGGATTTAATGAGAAATGTATAGTAAGTTTTGGAGAAATGTATGATAAGCTTTGGAGCACAGTTTTTCTCTCCAGTCCTCATTTTTGATAAAAACAAATTATGATAGGCCCGTGTGTGTTGTCTGTAGAATAAACTTTAGTCCTATACATGGCCTGATTGTTTGCATAAAGTGCAGCAAGAAAGGTTATTTCTACACAGGCCTTTTGGATTGGCTTCGATGAAACTGTTCTACAAGGAATCTCAGATAAGACCTTTTAAAGCCAAGCCCAGCCATGGGTTTGTATCCTCAAATACCTGTGAGTTGGGTGATCCTCTCCTCTTGAGGCCCCAAGATAAACTCGGAGCTCCCAGACCTATTAGAAAGTGACACTCTTTACTGACCACAGGTTAGGAATCTTGTGCAGGGACTGTGCAGACAAGGTATGAGGCCAGTTCTCCCCAAGGGGCTTTTATTTGCTCTGCATGTCAAGCTTGATTCCTTAAAAGGAAACACACCCTCAAGCCTTGGTTAAAATAACCAGTTTTTCCAATGTGTCCTGTTGACAAAGAAAAATGGATTCTTATTGCACTGATGCAAAGAGCTATATTGCCGTTAAGTTAAGAGTACAGCTAGTCTCCAAATTCTAGAGGAACCAGGCAGAGACAAATAAATATGCTCCAAATTTTGTTCACAGGAGTATACCTTACTCAATTATTAAAGGCCATAAATAGTTTAAAACTTTTCTTGACTCTGAAAAACAAAACAAGGATCAGCAATATTCCAAGCAAAGTTAAAAACTCTGCTTTAACTTTCTGAGTGCAGTCCATTTACTTAACTCTTGTTTTGCTTGATATTTATGAACATATTAGTTCTTTGTGAGTCCCATACATTCTCTCTCTATTCCAATGTTACAATCTTTAAAGCTATTAAAAACCTGCATTTGAGAACACCTGTTGAACTCCTTAATAGAGCTTGATTATAAACCATTTTTTGAAAAGGAACAAAGCAGGACAACAATTGTCTGTGAATGACAAAATTTTCAGGATAGTTAAAAACATGACTGACAAAGAAGTTTATTTATCTTCATGGTTTACAATAACTTTACCCTTAATTATGATTGATAGCATATACTTAGACATTAGAATCTTAGAAATCCCATACAATTCTGAAACATATATTAGTATTATTCACCAAACTATAACTTAAATAAGATTGGACATCATTTTGGCAATCTCATGTGACTAAACATGTCAAATAATCCTGTTTACCTCTTTTCTGAATGTTTCAGGGCCCCTCTAAACCATTCAAAAAGTTAGGTATCAGGAAGGACAATTTCCAGATTGCCATAAATTATTTTGCCAAAATGATGACTCAAAAGGCAAAATCCTTTCATTAGCCTTTATTATGAAATGAAAATCTTGTTCAAAGCAAAATTTTACCCTTGCATTAGTTTATTAATGTTAACCCCAATTTGTTTACACGAAACCTTATAGATTATTCCATCAAATCCTAACCAATTTGACCATGAGGTGAAATCTTTTTTTTTCTTTTTTTTTTGAGATGGAGTTTCATTCTTGTTGCACAGGCTAGAGTGCAAGGGCATGATCTCAGCTCACTGCAACCTCCGCCTCCCAGGTTCAAGCGATTCTCCTGCCTCAGCCTCCCAAGTAGCTGGGATTACAGGCATGTGCCACCACCCCTGGCTAATTTTGTATTTTTAGTAGAAACGGGGCTTCTCCATGTTTGTCAGCCTGGTCTCGAACTCCCGACCTCAGGTGATCTGCCCGCCTCGGCCTCCCAAAGTGCTGGGGTTACAGGTGTGAGCCACCGCACCCGGCCAAGGTGAAATCTTTACAAACCTTTTATAACCCTTTTACTAAGGGGCAGATTAGTGTCTTAAGACCTCCTTGCTATGCTTTTATTTTAATGCTTAATTTATGAAAAGACCATATAGATACTATGGGAGAGGACGGTGTAGTGCTTCTACCATGCATTGCATTGCAAGGCAGCCCAAAGCCAATTGGCTTATTTTGTAATTAGCCCATCCCTGATGGGAGTCTCATCTCCCAGTGCAGGGTGAGGATGTTTCCTTATCTTCCAGGTGGCCAAGAGCATCCCTGATTTATAACTACTATTAGCCATCCCTTACAGTGTATTTTCTACTTGATTATTACACACCAAAGCTTTCTTGTAAAAATGCGAAGTAATTTCTGATACCCCCAAAACTCAAAACCATCAGATAACACAATGCAAAACAGAACAGAGCCTTTGATTTTGAGAGGGAATTATTTGCTTTTAATTCCTGGGGTTTCATGAGGAAAACAGAGGGTTTTTTCCCAAAACGGGGTCTGTGGCGCCTCCTCTGTGTTTCCTGAGGAGTCCCATGCTACCAGAAGTTATCTTAGGGCCTTTTATACATGCATTAAGAGTAGTAAGACAAAAAATGGAGAAAAATAATTCAGTCGGCTGAGATGAGCCTTTTTCCAGAAAAACAAGATTCAAGAAAAGAAAAAACATAAAGGCCTTTTAATATACCTATAACTTGATTTTCCACTTTTAATTAAGCTGAGCACTCTTTAAGAAAATTCTTCTAAATCCTTTGTTACTTGACCTTAGCCATGCCAAGCAGTTAAGATTTTTGGCTTTTGAACTTTACAATAAGTAACCTCACAGGTAAAACTAAAGAGCTTTAATTAGGTTATGACTTAACCAGGAGTGTAAAAGGTATTTTTAAAGGAGTGACAGGCAGCTTTTTTTTTTTTTTTTTTTTTTTGCTGAGACAGAGTCTTGCTCTGTCACCCAGGCTGGAGTGCAGTAGCATGATCTTGGCTCACTGCAACCTCTGCCTCCTGGGTTCAAGCAATTCCTCTGCCTCAGCTTCCTGAGTAGCCAGGACTACAGGTGCATGCCACCACGCCTGGCTAATTTTTGTTTTTTTAGTAGAGACAGGGTTTCGTCATGTTGACTAGGCTGGTCTTGAACTCCTGACCTCGTGATCCACCCGGACAGGCAGCTTTTGAAACTGTCACTGCAAAATTGTGACTGAGACAGTGGAAGAGATCTCACCCAAACAACTCCATTTTGTTTCCAGTCCCCAAACTGTCCTTGCCCATCCCCGGGCATAGGCTGAATCAAGTTGGGGAGGAGCTTGGTTTACAGTTTATAGTCTAAAACAAAGAAGATAGCAGCTGCTTCTCAAGATATACTTCCCTTTTGCCTGGGGACCAGACCAAGAAACTAGCTACAGGATTAGAAACCATGGCCCAAGAGCCATGCAATTGGAGGCTACAAGATTTTGACCCTCCCTAAACGGCTGTTATGATCAGTGCTTAAGATGTTTTGTAAACCCTGCCCTTGATGGATCAGCTGACACAGCCCAGACTGACAAACTGGCTTATCTGATTTAGCACAAGAAGACAGCCACCATTGTAAAATGGCGGAGACAAAAACAAAGTATTGCCACATGGTTACAGATTATGTTCCCATGACATGAAACAAGATGGAGGCCTGTAGCCAAGTTTGCCACTGGATACTTTGCTGGGCTGGTTTGAACAGCAGGCTTATGGGTTTCTGGGCCTGCATCCTGACCTAAGATACCTTTTCTTTAACAGAACCACACAGAAAGACATACAAAGAAGAGCAGATTGTTTACAGCTTAAGACCAACCTCACAAATCCTTTTTCATTAACTATAAATTTAAAGAAAACATAAACAATGATCTTTATTATCCCTTTTGCCGGTTTCCACAGGAAGAGAGAAGCCAAAAGCCTGACTGGTAAGAAATTTTTACCCTTTTGCCAGCATATCAGGCTTCTGGGCTGGGTTTCCTTCCCCCTAGCTCAACTCTATGCCAAACATTTTAAGGTTTGGAAAATTAACCTTTTCCATGTTGGAAGAACATTATAAAAGAGAAGCCATTTTAAACTGCAAAACAAGGAAAAACACCACAGAAAGGAGTTCCAATTAGGGTTGTCAGGAGGTATTGCCTCTTTTCCTATTGGGAATGGTGTTTCCCCTTTGCCTTCCCTATTTTTTTCTTTTCCCTTTTGGCCTTCTATAGGAGACATTACTTATCTCCAAAATTTTCTTCTGCTTGCAGAGCTGCTTATTTTACCTACAGTAAGGGTTTGCCTTAGCAGCAACATAACATCCCTTCATGAGAGGTTACATACCTGAGTTAAATATTGGAAAGCTTCCATATACTTATTAAGGTCATCAGAAAACCAGCCTAAGTCTCCCTTTACTTGCCAAAGGTCCTGCAATGAGAAGGGAACTTGAAGGGGCCCCAAATAAGGGGGACCCTCAGATGACTTCCCTGAAAGTTACTTTTTAAATTTTGGGGTACTGTTTTCCCTGGGCCTGCCTGATATGACTGCAAAAGAAAATAAGCCACTTTTTCTTCAAAGTTTCAAGGTCGAAAGAGTCCTAGTGCTTCAAAATACACTCAAGAGAAGTGCATGTTGAAGATGGTCTGTTACCCATCTAGAAAGAGAAGTGAGAATAAAAGCGTCCTTTTAGTCTCCTTCCTTTTGGTATGAAATCCAGGATGGAGAAGAAAGCAGTAGGAGGCGTCCCCCAACTATTTTCTCTTTTGTTCCTGGATTCCCAGCACTCATTTAAATGTTCCACCCATGACTGCAGGTGTGACCCTCCAAGCCATGGCACCAGAGGATCTGAGTTTTGGGCCATAGTCACGCTGTTCCCAAGCAATCAGTTCTCTGCCTTTTATTTACCTTTGACCTCCTAGACTTGGGTGGCCTGTGTGCCTCCCAAAAAATGGATTTGAAGAAAAACCATGTAATTGGGAAGAGACCCTTTAAGGGAGGGGATGTGATAGATTGAACTCTATATCCTGCCATTATAGCCCATGCTAAAGCATTTACCCATAGAAGAATGGTTCCGGTTAACTTCTGGACTTAAAATCCCCTTACTAATTAAGCACTGTCTTAGTAGGAGCCAGAATAGATGGCTTAAAGGAACATAGGAACTGAATGGCCGTTTTCCTGCCAGTGGGACAATATTGAGACTAAAATTTGGCCATGGAAGACATCCTACTCCTAACTGTTAAAAGCAGAAACTTCCCATTCTTAGAAGAGGCCTACAGCCTGATTTCTACTAGGTGGCTTAGAAATACCATGTGCTTGCCAGAGAAAACGTAGAGAGAGAGAGAGACACTTATTGAGTTACTGCATGCCGTGATTCACGATCTTTTCTAACAGACAGAATCCTGCACATTAGACACACAGAGAGACCACAGATAGAAAGAAAGTTTTGGCGACAGGGTAGCTGGAAGAGAGCCTTGAGACTAAAGAACAGATATAAAGTTGAAATCCGCTCCATACTCACCAGTCTCATGATTGAATTTCCTTTCCTGGCCAATGCACCAAAATGATACGGCTCCGATGAGTGGAGGAACACCAGGGTTCTTGGTCCTCATGCTGGTTTAGATAAAACAACATGGACATATGTGGAGTGGTTTTAAGGGGCAGATAGTTTAATAGGCAAGAAGAGGAAAGAAAGAAGGGAGAAGGAAGAAATAAGCACCTCCCTTGTACAGAGACGGGGGTGGTGGGAGGCTCCAAAGCCAAAAGAGGTCCCCCTCCCATACAGTTTCTTAAATTCAAATGTTTAAATGAGAACATCTCAATTCAGGATGCACCTCCTCCTACCAATTTTTCACTCAGATCTATCCCAAGTTTCAAAGCCATATAGTCAGTGATCACTCAGAACTATCTCATAAGTACCTTATGTGGTTTAACCTAAAACTAAATTGTTTTCATCCCCAAACCTCTTCTTTCTAAATTTATTATAACTTTGACAGGGGAGCTAGGAGCCACTCTCTTATTCACCAATAATCATTTTAGTCCTATTGGTCTTACAAGAAAGTTGGCTGTTTCATGCCTACAAGAGTAGAGGTTTTTTCTTGAAGAACAATTTTGGGCCATATCAAAATAAGATCTGCATCCAGAAATTGAAAAGTAATGCTCTCCACTGTAAACTGATTTTAAACTATACCTGGAATATTCATGCTGAGCACTATATTTTACATTAGAGTCATCCCTCATTATTGGTTCCAGGATTGGTTCTAGGACTCCCATGGATACCAAAATCCTTGGATGCTCAAGTAGCTGATATAAAAATGGCATAGTATTTGCATATAACTGATGTACATTCTCCCAAATACTTTAAATCATCTCTAGATTACTTATAATACCTAATACAATGTAAATACCATGTAGATAGTTTTACATTTTCTATTGCATTATTTTGAGGGTTTTCTGCTCAATATTTCCAATCTGTGGTTGGGTGAAATGCAGAACATGGCCAGGCACCGTGGCTCACGCCTGTAATCCCAGCACTTTGGGAGGCCGAGGTGGGCGGATCACGAGGTCAGGAGATCGAGACCATCCTGGCCAACACGGTGAAACCCCGTCTCTACTAAAATACAAAAAATTAGCCGGACATGGTGGCACACGTGCCTGTAGTGCTAGCTACTCGGAAGGCTGAGGCAGGAGAATCACTTGAACCCAGGAGGAGGAGGTTGCAGTGAGCCGAGATCACGCCACCGCACTCCAGCCTGGGGTGACACAGTGAGACTGAGTCTCAAAAAAATAAAAATAAAAATAAAAACCAGAAAGGCACTAAGAGATGCATAATAGGCAAGTAGGCACTCAATAAATATTGACTGAATGTGTTATTCTAATATGCACTGTGCAAAGTGCTGGCAAGATACAGTAGTTCAGAGAAGTGCTAAGTATTCAAAAAAGATAGATTTGCACTTTCTAGAATAAAGAAAGATGTCAACCATACTTTTTTTCTTTACTGCAACATTTGTATTTGCAGAGTGCTTTGTAATTACAAAGCATTTTTTTATTTTCACATTCATTTAATCTGTATGTGTTAGACTGCAGACTGGAAAGGGACTGACCCAGGTACCACCTCTCTTCTAGGACCCAGAATACCCATCATAGATGAAACTTAACTTTAAAATGACTGTGTAGTGGAAGAATGAAAAGTATTCATCTTGCAACCAGGATGAATACTTACCTCAACTCAGGATGCACCTCTCCCTGGAAAGGTGCATCCTGAGTTGAGATGTGCCTAGAAACCAGAGAAGAGAGATGGCCCAAACCTACCTGAGACCTAGCTGCAGAGCATGGTGGCCGTTTCTTCCCCTGCCTCTCAGAACCAGCAGGACTGTAAGCCAGGAGTTCAAGACTGCAGTGCACTAGATCCGGCCTGTGAATAGTCACTGCACTCAGCCCGGGCAACATAGCAAGACCACATCTCTAAAGAGAGAGAGGGAGAGAACGATAAAAAAGAAAGAAAGACTATAAAGAGCTGGGAAGGGAAAGAAGCCAGATTATCACACCCACCTTGACAAAATTCCCACCAATCAGTGGGCACTATATACCCTGCGATTCCCAAAGGAGAGGTCAAATGAGAGTCTAGTAGTAGTCCTACTCACTCCCAGATCTAGAAAAGCAGGCCATGAACTGTTATTTTGGCCAGCACCTCTCTCCCTGAATTCCCAGACCTAGGTGGAGACTGCTCTCTTTCTCTACCAAGAATTGGCAAACTACTGCTAGCTGGCGGCCCAAGCTAACACGCGCGCGCACACACACACACATTATTTTTACATTTTTAAACGGTTAAAATATTTCGTGACACGTGAAAATTACAGTGAAATTCAAATTTCAGTGAAGTTTTGTTGGAACACAGCCACACCTATTTGCTTACTGTCCAAGGCTGATTTTGTGCTACAACAGTAGAACTTTCAACCATAAGGAGATCGCAGAGCCTAAAATGTGTACTGTCTGGCCCTTTATAGAAGTTCACCAACTGCTTCTACACCATGGGGTGGGGTCTAGGTCTATTTACTAAGCCAAACGACCATCCAGGCAAAGAAATAAAAGAAGCAACACTCCTGGGGGGTAAAGTGGGGGAGTGTCAGAAAATAAAGTCAATTAGGAGAGCTTTGAAGCAGGGAAATGGAGTATAGAGGCACAACGCCAGAAGTCCAGGTTCAGAGAATAATCACTGAACCCCGCTCAGGAAGCAGGTGGACAATGCTGCTTAGAGCAAGGACGCCCTCTGTCGACATTTCCTTGATTGTGCGCCTATAACCTTCTAAAATCAGGGTGGAGGCATTCGAACGTAGAGCCTGCGGGAGGAGTTAAGTGGGCGGGTTCAAGAGGAGCGGTCTCTTTCTGGAGTGGCTGGTGTTCCTGTACTCTTTCGCCAAAGTCTTCCCAAAGGAAACTTGGGTTCCAGTTCGCACTAACAAGACACGCAACTCGCACTAACAGACGTGTATCCCTTTCCTCTCCCTAACTTCAGTCTTCAGTCCCTTACTCAAATAAGTTTGCAGAGAGGGCAGCTTCTCCGAAGTGAGTCCCCTTTTCGTTGTTTTTTTTTTCGAGACGGAACCTCGCTCTGTCGCCCAGGCTGGAGTGCAGTAGCGCAATCTCGGGTCACTGCAACCTTTGCCTCCCGGCTTCAAGCGATTCTTCTGCCTCAGCCTCCCGAGTAGCTGGGACTACAGGCGCGCGCCACCACGCCCAGCTAATTTTTGTATTTTTAGTAGAGAGGGGGTTTCACTATATTGGCCACCCTTTTTTTTCCTTTTCTTTTTGTTTTTTTTGTTTGTTTGTTTGTTTGTTTGTTTGAGACGTAGTCTCGCTTTGTCGCCATGCTGGAGTGCAGTGGCGCGATGTCGGCTCACTGCAACCTCTGCCTCCTCGGTTCAAGCGATTCTCCTGCCACAGCCTCCCGAGTAGCCGGGACTACAGGCGCCCGCCACCATGCCCAGCTAATTTTTTTATTTTTAGTAAAGACGAGGTTTCACCATATTAGCCAGGCTGGTCTCTTATCTCCTAACCTCGTGATCCGCCCGCCTCGGCCTCCCAAAGTGCTGGGATTACAGGCGTGAGCCACTGTGCCTGGCCCACCATTGGCCACCCTATTCATTATTAACTGAGACTCGTAACTGCACCCCAGCTCGACTTCCTCCCGACTCCGAGAGGCGGCGAGTCCACCCACTGGCGCGGTAACTCCCCTTGCTCGCCCCGGGAAATGGCCCGCAGTTTGGCTGAGACGGGTGGGACACCCAAGGGACCAATACCACCTTCCATAAGATGGGATTCGAACCTAAAACTCGTTCCTAACGGCCTAGGTGCAAGAGCTACCCCTCCCTGAACTACGACTTCCTCAGGTTTCAGAGCGGACAGCTCCACGGCCCAGAAAGAGACGCAGGGAGGAGCCCAGCTTCCGCCTCGAAAGGGACTCTGGGACACTGGGCGGGCCCAGGAACGCAGTGTTCTTGGGAAATGTGGTCCACAGCCTCCGCTGCGCAGGCGCCGTGGCCCTGCTCCACACGCGCACGGCTGAAGACCCCTATCTCCGAGAGCGCGCACGCACCCTTCCGGGGTACGAGAAGGCGTGGCGGATGCTGAGGCAGGCCCTACCGGTCTCGGTGGCGGTGTTGTGGTGAAGGCGGCCGGGTTTATTTAAGGCTGACTACGAATTTAAGTGGGAGAGACATGCAGTTTGTAAGATCTTCCCACCCCAAGGGGGAGATCGGCAGCGGAATGTGTCGCGCGCTGCCTTGGGTGCGCACCCACACACTGGCAATAATAAATGCTTGCTTTATTCCTTTATTTAACATCTTTCAAATTAATAATTTGTTCCCTAGGATACTCAAACTGACCAATGAGGTTTTGTTTATTTAGTTGTTTATTTGCTTGCTTCTTAAGTGTTGTTATATAACAAATTCATGTGACGTGTGTTTCAAATCCTTGTAGTTATTATTCCTATTGATACTCAAATTGTTCCGTCTTTGACCTGTGGAAGCCTTTTTAGGTTGATTCCTGAGGCCTTTAACATCACCCTAGTTGTCAATACTTCTTTGTTTTCTGAAATGATAAGGTATACGAGGTTCAACTGGCACACTTCTTTCCCCATACCTAGATTTAATGATTTCTTCAGGAGGCCCTGGTTCCTTTTGGTGGGAGATGGTATTTACAAACCACAATCTAGGTGCAAGGGCTACTCATCAGTGTTGAATAGTGATGTGTCTAGACCTCTCCCAAATAGAGCTACAGTTCAAACCGATACTCCCAATTCAAATTCAAGCAACAGGATTTTTACTTAACCTCATCAGTCTTATATCTGTATCTCTATTCTCCAATGTTGGAAACCCAAATATTATCAGTTATGCCAATATAATTACTCATTTACTTTATCAAACAATACACACATTTTTAAAAATTTCAGAACAATTATAATAGTACCACCACCATTATTATGGAAAAGTTTAAGATTTTTTAAAAATTATTTTTGTCCTTAGAGTATACCCTACTAGAGATGTACAGTCAAGTCAATGAAACTTAAAGTAACTTGGAATAATTTTTCTCTGGGTGTTATAACACCAACTCCACAGTGTAGTAGACCATATGATGGCCCCCAAAGATATCCAGGTCCTAATCCTTAGAACTTGTGAATGTTACTTTATAATGTCAGAATGGATTTTAGGTGTGCATAATTAGGGATCTTGAGATGGGGAGGTTATCCTGTTTTTCCTGGGGAGCTCTGTATGAAATTACAAATGCCTTATAAGAGACAGGCAGAAGAAAATTTAACAGGGGAGAAGATGATAATGTGACCACAGAGGCACATATTGGAGTGATGCAGTCATTAACCAAGAAATGCCAGTAATCAGAAACCGGAAGAGGCAAGGAATGGATTTTACCCTAGAGCCTTTGGAGGGAGCATGGCCCTGACAACATTTTGATTTTGGCCCAGTGAAACTGATTGCAGATTTCTTGCCTCCCAAACTGAGAAAGTGTTCCAAGACACCAAGTTTGTGGTGCTTTGTACAGTGGCCACAAGAAACTAATACACACAAGTTCCTTTGTTTCATTGTACTTTCAAGGTTTATGGATTGTTTTTTCTTTAATATATTTTGGTTTTAAAACTAGGAAAAGTTTTTTATGCTATCAAAGTAGAATCCACAAAACAAAGTACATTAGAGAAACCCAACTTCTATTCCTATGCCCTCTACCCAGTTCACTCCCTCTCCTGTAGCTAATCACTTTTAAATTTTATGGTTTATTCTTCCACTTTTTAGCATAAACAAATGTGTACATATATATTTCTATCCCTTCCATTCTCTCTTAAACTGTAGCATACTATTCACGCATCCATCCATCTTGTTTTTCCCACATAAAAATAAATCCTAAGGATCACAGAGATATTTCTCATTCCTTTTTACAGTTGCATATTACTATATTGTTTGGTTGTTCTACAGTGTATCCAAGCAGTCCTTTAATGACAAACATTTGGAGAATTTCCAAAAGGTGGAAAATAAGGAGAGAGAAAGAAACATAGATAAGGTGGGACAAATAGAAAACAAATAGCAAGAAGGTAGACTTAAACCCAAACACATTTGTAATTATATTAAACATAAATGGATAAATAAGAGAAGATCAAAGACTGTCAGACTGAATTTTTTAAAACTTACTTTGTTTATAAAAGATGCATTGTAAATTTCAGGGCACAAAAAGTAGAAAGTGAAAGCATGGAGAAAAGGTATACCACACAAACCCTAATCGAAAGTTAATGTTGCTATATTAATATCATGCAAAATACATTTTAAGGCAAGAAGCATTACTAGAAATGAAGAATAATATGATACAAGCATTAATCCACTAGATAATCATAACTGCACCTTTAAAATGTACCCAATAACTTAATCTCAAAATATATAAAGCAGAAACTGTCAGAATTGAAAGGAAAAGTAAATCCTGAATCATAATATGATAACATACCTCTGTCAGTAACTGGTAAAATAAACAGATTTAAAAAATCAGTAAAAGTATACACAGTTTAAAGAATGTGATTAGGGCAGGCATGGTGGCTCACATCTGTAATCCCAGCACTTTGGGAGGCCAAGGTGGGAGGGTCCCTTGAGGCCAGGAGTTCATGACCAGCCTGGGTAACACAGCAAGACCCCATATCTACAAAAAAAAAATAGAAAAATAAAAATTAGCTGAGTATGCAGGCCTACACTTGTAGTCCTAGCTACTTGAAAGGCTGAGGCAGGAGAATCCCTTGAGCCAGGAGTTTGAGGCTGCAGTGAGCCATGATCACACCACTGCACTCCAGCCTGGGTCTTGCACAGGGTCTTGCTCTATTGCCGAGGCTAGAGGGCAGTGGCACGATCTCGGCTCACTGCAACCTCCACCTCCTGGGTTTGAGCAATTCTTCTGCCTCAGCCTCCAGAGTAACTGAGACTACAGGTGCCCGCCACCACACACAGCTAATTTTTGTATTTTTATTAGAGATGGGTTTCCATATTGGCCAGGCTGGTCTCAATCTCCTGACCTCATGATCTGCCCGCCTTGGCCTCCCAAAGTACTGGGATTATAGGCGTGAGCCACCTCTCCCAGCCCAGTCATGGGTTCTTAGTTTCTGTTTCTGGTTGGGCCAGTAAAGCCCCTTCCTCATTCTTTTCCGCTTATCACTAGAGACAGAAACTAAAAACCGTGGCTTCAGGCTGCTAAAAGCCTAAAACAAAATAAAACAAAACAGAACAACACAACAACAAAATCAAATGGGTTGGACAAGCTTGCCAGATGTCCTCAGAATGCAGCACTCTTTTTGCTTGTTTGTTTTTTGAGATGGAGTCTTGCTCTGTCGCCCAGGCTGGAGTGCAGTGGCGCAATCTCAGCTCACTGCAACCTCCACCTCCCGGATTCAAGCGATTCTCCTGCCTCAGCCTCCCCAGTAGCTGGGACTACAGGTTCATGCCACCACGCCCAGCTAATTTTTTGTATTTTTAGTAGAGACAGGGTTTCACCATGTTTCAATCTCCTGACCTCATGATCCGCCCACCTCGGCCTCCCAAAGCGTTGTGATTACAGGCGTGAGCCACTGCGCCCGGCCGGAATGCAGCGCTCTTTACTTGGAGATAATGCCAATGAACAGGCTTAGGTTGAAGGATTATAATGGTCATGTAAAATCGATAATGCCTATAGCCCCTACCTTTAGTGAGTACGTAGGCACGTCCCAAGTTTAGTCATAGCTCCTTGTAGTTTCTTTTTATTTTTGAGACAGAGTCTTGCTCTGTTGCCCAGGCTGGAGTGCAGTGGCATGATCTCGGCTCACTGCAACTTCCATCTCCCAGGTTCAAGCGATTCAACTGCCTCAGCCTCCGGAGTAGCTGGGACTACAGGCTCACGCCACCACACCCGGCTATATTGTTGTATTTTTAGTAGAAATGGAGTTTCACCATGTTGCCCAGCCTGGTCTCGAACTCCTGACCTCAGGTGATCCGCCTTGGTCTCCCAAAGTGCTGGGATTACAGGTGTGAGCCACTGCGCCTGGCTTCCTTGAAGTTTCTTACAAGTAGAAGCACTAACAAAGGACGATGCATTCCTCCTCCTGCTTTCTGAGGATGCCCTACTCTGTAACAGGGTAGTTTCCAATAAACTTGCTTCTTTCACCGTGCTCTGTGATTCACTCTGAATTCTTTCCTACGTGAAATCCAAGAACCTGCTCTTGGGGTCTGGATCGGGACCCTCTTTTCTGGCAACAGGAACATGTGCACTCAGGACAGAGCTCTCCCAGGGGTAAAAGGATTTGAATATTATGAGTTCTCGAGCAAGTAGCTGACGTACTGGTGGTGGTGAGAGGAGATGTCTGGGGTGAATGTTCCAGAGGTAGAGGTGCTGGTGCTGGTGAGGCATGGGGATGCCAGTGTGTGTGTGTGTGTGTGTGTGTGTGTGTGGGGGTGGGTGGGGGGCGGGGGGTGGAGATAAGAGGTTCAAAGAACAGCAGGGCAAGTGGAACTATCATCCTGTGGACATTGACTTCATGGAGCATGAAGCTAAGGCTTGGGGTTTGTGAACAAAAGTCTCTAGAAGATAAGTGGGAAGCAGAGTGACCGGTGGGTTTGTGAGCAACAATAACAAGGTGCGCATGAAGCTGCGTCTTGGGTGCCATGAGGTTTAAAGGAAAATAAGCCAATCATTTTCATGTTGAACTTGGCTTAAACTTTCTCATCATTTTCTGTGCTCCGGGGATTCCTCTTATGTACATCATAGAAATGGCAGCTCGAAGGAGTAATAAAATATTTATGATGTACAATGAATGTAGATATTTGCAGCTTTTCATGTTTCAGATATTTAAACTTGTAAGAAAATTAAGGGAATGTTTAAAATGAAATTTTCAGCTGGGCGCGGTGGCTCACGCCTGTAATCCCAGCACCTTGGGAGGCCAAGGCTGGTGGATCATGAGGTCAAGAGATCAAGACCATCCTGGTTAACACAGTGAAATCCTGAAATCCCGTCTCTACTAAAAATACAAAAAATTAGCCAAGCGTGGTGGTGGGTGCCTGTAGTCCCAGCTACTTGGGAGGCTGAGGCAGGAGAATGGCGTGAACCTGGGAGGCGGAGCTTGCAGTGAGCCGAGATCGTGCCACTCCACTCCAGCCTGGGCGACAGGGCGAGATTCCATCTCAAAAAAATTAAAAAATGCAATTTTTGTATTTTTCAATGGCTTCATGCTGGAGAATTGAAATAAAATTGAGTAGTTCACTGTTTATCCAATCACACTTCATCTAAGAGAAAAGCACATCTGTAAGTCTGTAAAAATCTTTTTACCAAGTATAAGGCATTCTGAGAAAATCTCTTGTTATGGCTAGAAAAAGTAAAAGCAAATAAAAATCAGCAATGTTCAAAAAGAGCAGCTTTGTTGGTCTTTTCCATCAAGTGGGTAAAGATTTGACAGCTCTAATGCATGCTGCTGATAATTTGTAAAAGAGAATAGGGAGTACAATTAACTTGATTTGGATTTGGAAATTTGATTCAGTCTCATTTCCAGAGTTTCTGAATATTAACTCCAGTAGAAAAGTCCAGCCCCAGGAACAAAGCACCTTCTAGTTTCTCTAACTTCCCTGGTGGCAATTCCAGCCGGCCCTCAGGGCTGCGGAAATTGCAATGAGACCGTAATGCAGTCACAATGGACCTGTGTGATCAGGAATGTTGTAGCTTTGGCCAGGCTGTCAGCCAGATGTAACAAGACAAATTTAAACACAGTGTCCCTCTGCGCAGCCCCCCACCTTCCCAGATGCATCTAAACCTGGACCTCTCACATTTGGTTAATTCCAGAAGTCAGCTCTTCTCTCTTCTGTTACAGCTGAAGGTCCCCAAGAAGAGAAAAAATACAATTTTCACTTTTTGCCATGTTGGCCAGGCTAGTCTCAAACTCCTGGCCTCAAGTGATCCACCCGCCTCGGCCTCCCAAAGTGCTGGGATTACAGGCGTGAGCCACAATGCCTGACCAAGAAAGAGATTTTCATTAGATACCAAAAATAGCAGGCTGGCTTATTTTATGATGTCTAATATCCTTAATCAAATGTAAAATGTTTTTAAAACATGATAGATACAATTAAAATCCCCTATGAACCTCTCCTGCCTGAATCTCATTCCCTTGTCTTTTTCTGTACGTGTAACCACTTTTTAAATGTCTTTACACTTTTATATGTGCATGTATATACAAATAATATGTGAAATTTCACCTGTTAAGTAAAAAATGAAAATTTAAAAACTTTAAGTACCAGATTGTGCATTTCTTTCTGCAATTTGTCTTATCTCGTCTTTTTCAGATTTATCCATGTGGATTCCTATAGCTCCTGTTTATTCACTGTAACTACTGGAAAGAAGTCTATTGTAGGTGTTGTTTTATATACTTTGCCCATCTTTCTATTGAGTCTTCTTTTTCATATTGAATTTGTTAAGGAAAAAATAATTCAACGACACTTGCTAAAGCACAGTAAGGAAGACTTTATTCAGGACCATGTGGATGGGCATAGGGACCGCTCAACGGGGTCTTGGAGTGGGTGAGAGACAGAGATTGGGCTCAACTCTGAATACTGCCTGGGCAAGTGGGAGTTTATAACCAAGGAGCAGGGTGGCAGTCAGTGGGTGGAAAATTACTAAAAGGAAACATTACAGGTAAGGAGTATTCAGGCTAAACACACCTAACGGGACTCTGGCTGAAGACAGTCCAGGGTGACCCAACATTACCTGGGAGATGGTGGAGAGTGAGGAATCTGATCAGATATCCAGGTGATCAGAGCGTAGAGGCTGGCGGCACTGGCTGAACGGACTTGGCCGGGTTCTTTGCTAAAACTAGATTTACAAGTAACCGCACAGATGAGCCCAGGACAAGTTTCAGGAGCCTGACTAAAGTTTGGTCAAGCAGAGTCTTTATCAAATTATAGGAGTTCTTTCTACTTGTCAACGCTAATTCCCTCAGTCCGCCAAAGTACTCTCTTCTAATCAACACCAACTTCCCAGCTGAACCCAGTGACATTGTAGGGTCTTTGGCTCCTCACCTCTTCTCTGACTTTGTTGACATCGCGTGTGTAGGATGTGGTGTGGACTTCCCTTCCCCTGACACTGCTGCCTCCACTCACTTTGGAGACCTGCCTAGCTCAGGTCCCCACCCCCCATCTGGCATCTTCACATCAGTTCTTCCCTGTTCCCCTTTCCAAGGTTCTCCTGAGGATTTCATGGTCCACCCTCTGCTCTTTTCTCTCTGTGGTCACTCCCTTGCAGAGCTTGGCGTTTATGGCCACTTCAGTCCTCAATTCTCTGCGGGCAGCTCCCGGTGTTGGTCCTGTGGCCTCTTCTAGGCTCTACTCCCGTCTTTCCCACCTGCCTATGGGATGGCGTCACCTGATAGTCCATCTAATGTAGAAAGAACTGTCTCACCTTTAATATATTTTCCCCTCCCCTTTCTCATTACCCATAGCCTCTCTCCTCCCAGTGTTTTAAGTACAAGAGACTTTCGAGCAAGGAAGGACTAGTTTGAGAAACTTTAAACGGCACATATCAGTTTAACAAAAAAAAATTTGCAGGAAAATTTACCTTGTAATCATGGCATTCCTGGATAATCAAGGAGCTGGATTCAGGAAGAATGGTACCCACTGGAGCAGGATTTTAGTGTCCAGAATGTGCCTTGTTTTTTTAATTTTTTAATTTTAAAATATTTAATTGTCAAATGAAGGTTGCATATATTCAAGGTGTACAACATGATGATTGGTATACATTGTGTCATGATTACCAGAATCAAATTAATGAACACACCCCTCACTGCCCTTGCTGCACCTGAGATCCAGAGCTGGTTCCTTTTGTAACTCAGTTTGCACGCTGTGACCGACATCTCCCCATTTCATCTCCTCTCCATTTTTATTTCTTCCTTTGAATTGGCTTTGCTTACGTTCTCTTTTCTCTTTATTTTCTAATTTTTTTTTTACCATTTAATCACCGGAAGTATCTTTATTGTTTTTGATTGTACCTGATTGTTGTGGGTTGAATTGTGTCCTCCCAAAAAGATACATGATGTTGTAGTCCTGATCCCCGTACTTGTGAATCAGATCTTACTTGGAAATCAGGTCTTTGAGATGTAATCCAGTTAAGATGAGGTCTTGCTGAATTAGGGTGGGCTCTAATCCAATGGCTAGTGTCTTTGTAAGATGAGGGGAACTTGGACGGAGACACACAGAGATGAGAACACCCTATGAAGACATGCAGGAAGAAGGCCAGGCAAGGATGGAAGCAGTGATCAAAGACCAGGGAGCAAACCTGGGGCACACCAAGGGTTGCTGGCAGCCCCAGAAGCTGGAAGGGAAGAATGGAGCGCCTCTCCCTCGGAGCCTCCAGAAGAACCAACCCTGCTGATGCCTTGATTTCAGACTTCCGGCTTCCAAACAGTGAGAGAAGAATTTCTATTGTTTTAAGTCTCCCAGTTTATGGTACTTTGTTGCTGCAGCCCTAGAAAACCAATGCAAGTGGGAGTTTATAGTCAAGGATGATCACTGAAATTTTTAAAGCAAAACAGTGACAGGCCGGGCGCGGTGCCTCACGCCCGTAATCCCAGCACTTTGGGAAGCTGAGGCAGGCAGATTACCTAAGGTCAGGAGTTCAAGACCAGCCTGGACAGCATGGAGAAACCCCATCTCTACTAAAAATACAAAAAATTAGCCAGGAGTGGTGGCGGACACCTGTAATCCCAGCTACTTGGGAGGCTGAGGCAGGAGAATTGCTTGAAACCTGGAGGCGGAGGTTGCAGTGAGCCAAGATTGCACCACTGCACTCTAGCCTGGGTGACAGAGTAAGACTCCATCTCAAAAAAAAAAAAAAAGCAGAGATAAAAGTCCCTCGGTGATTTCACCATCACAGCTTCTTGTCACCCCCACTTAAGGAAACCTATTTAACAACTTGGAACACAGACTCCCGTCTCCTACCCGTGGATGCTTAGGTTTTCCCCAGCTGTTTAGTTTACTATGACAAATAATCCTGTTGTTAGCATCTATTATATGTGTGTGTATCTGTGTCAGATTAAATTTGTATTTGTAATGTTCGATTTTTTTAACCAAAAACAAATCTGACAAAATGTTAACCTCTGCTACATCTATGTGACAGATGTGTGGGTGTCTTATTTTCTATAGGTTTCAGTATGTTTGAAATGTTTTGTAATCAAAACTGTGCTCAGAAATCAATCAACCAGAATAGGAAAATGTCCCAGTTTCCATGATACTGTGATGTTAATTTCTTCTGATATCATCTATCAGGTGACAACTGCCCAAAAAAACCTATTATAAGTGTTTCTTTGTGTGTGTGTGTGTGTGTGTGTGTGTGTGTGTGTGTTTACATACATATAGCATAAAATGCACCACTTTAACTATTTTAATGGTATACCATGAAGTGGTTTTTGGTATATTCACAATATTGAGCAATCATTGCCACTACTTAGTCCCACAGCATTTTCATTACCCCATAAAGAAGCCTCGTACACACTACAGAGTCACTCCCTACTCTCCCCTCCCCCAGACCTTGGCAACCATTAATCTGCTTTCTGTCGCTATGGATTTACCCATTCTGGGAATCTCATATAAATGGAATCATATAATACGTGGCTTTTTGTGACCAGCTTAATTCTCTTAGCACATTTTTTAGCTTCATCCATGTTGTGACATGTATCAGCACTTCATTCCTTTTTATTGCTGAATAATATTCCGTTGTATGAATACAGCATGTTTTACTTACCTATTCATCCGTTCATGAGCGTTTGGATTTTTTCCACCTTTTGGCTATCATGAATAATGTTGCTATGAAAATTCACATTCAAATTTTTGTTCAGGCAGGGCATGGTGGCTCATGTCTGTAATCTCAGTACTCTGGGAGGCCGAGGCAGGAGGATTGCTTGAGCCCAGAAGTTTGAGACCAGTCCTAGCAATATAGCAAGATCTTGTATCTACAAAAAAAAAAAAAATTAATTAGCCAGAAATGGTGCCACCTGCCTGTAGTCCCAAGTACTTGGGGAAATGAGATGGAAGGATAGCTTAAGACTTGGAGGTTGCGCCTGTAATCCCAGCACTTTGGGAGGCCAAAGTGGGCGGATCGCCTGAGGTTGGGAGTTGGAGACCAGCCTGACCAACATGGAGAAACCTCGTCTCTACTAAAAATACAAAATTAGCCGGGCATGGTGGTGCATGCCTGTAATCCCAAGCTACGTGGGGGGCTGAGGCAGGAGAATCGCTTGAACCCGGGAGGTGGAGGTTGTAGCGAGCTGAGATCGCGCCATTGCACTCCAGCCTGGGCAACAAGAATGAAACTCTGTCTCAAAAAAAAAAAGAAGAAGAAGACTAGGAGGTCGAGGCTGCAGTGAACAGTGATCATGCCACTGTACTCCAGCCTGGTGGACAGAATGAGATTCTATCTCAAAAAAAAAAAATTAGTTTGGATACCTGTTTTCAATTCTCTTGGGTACATACCTACAAGTAGAATTGCTGGGACATATAACTATGCTTAACTTACTGGGGAAATGCCAAACTGATTTCCACAGTGGCTGCACCATTTTACATTCTCACCAGCAATGCAGGAGAGTTCCAATTTCTCAACAACCTTGCCAACACTTGTTATTTTGCACTGTTTTAAAAAAATTATTATAGCCATCCTCGTGGGCGTGAAGTGGTTTGTCATTGTGGTTTTGATTTGCATTTTCTCTAATGACTAATAACTTTGGGCATCTTTTCATGTGTTTCTTGGCCATTTGTATGCCTTGGAGGGATGTCTATTCAAGTAGTATGACTCTTTCTTTCTTTCTTTTTCTTTTTTTTTGAGACAGAGTCTCGCTCTGTCGCCCAGGCTGGAATGCAGTGGCGTAATTGCGGCTCACTGCAACCCCACCTCTAGGGTTCAAGCGAGTGTCCTGCCTCAGCCTCCCAAGTAGCTGGGACTAGGCGCATGCCACCACGCCTGGCTAATTTTTGTATTTTTTAGTAGAGATGGGGTTTCACCATGTTGGCCAGGATGGTTTCAAATTCCCAACCTCAGGTGATCCACTCACCTTGGCCTCCCAAAATGCTGGGATTACAGGCGTGAGCCACCGTGCCCGGCCATGACTGTTTCTTTATGCAACATATAGTACTTTTATGCTAAAAAATCTTTAAGTTTTAGCTAAAGACATGGCGATCTTTTTTTCACTTTTTTTTTTTTTTTTTTTTAAGACACAGAGTCTCACTAAGTTACCAACACTGGTCTCTAACCCCTGGCCTCAAACGATCCTCCTGCCTTGGCCTCCCAAGTAGCTGGGATTACAAGCATGACCCCCTGCGACTGGGAATGAAATTGGTACTCTAGAAAGAATGGTTTTATAGCAGTGTGCAATGCACAAAAGAATCGGGAAAGCAACTGAAAGGCAAGATGCTCATTAGGGTTTTGACCCATTAATCAAAGCTTAGAGTGATGAGAGCTTGTTTTCTGGCCTAATTCCTTACCTTTTCCTTCTCTGTTATTCTACCTAGTCTGTATTTCCTTATAACACTGTCCCTCTGATGATTACCTTGTTGGTCATTTTTATCATCTAATCTTCCTGTGTGGGTTCCCTGCATTCTTGAGATCGGTTCTCTACAACCAGCCACTTGGGTGCCCAATCATCCCAACATGGTCAAATCTGAAACTGTCATATCTCCTTGCAGTGGCACAATCTCGGCTCATCACAACCTCCGCCTCCCGGGTTCAAGCAATTCTTCTGCCTCAGTCTCCCAAGTAGCTGGGGCTACAGGCGCCCACCGCCACACCTGGCTAATTTTTGTATTTTTAATAGAGTTGGGGTTTCACCATGTTGGCCAGGCTGGTCTCAAACTCCTGACCACAGGCAATTCGCCCACCTCAGCCTCCCAAGGTTCTGGGATTACAGGCGTGAGCCCAGCCCATATAGTGGAATCTTAGCCTACTGAAGAAAGTGCTACAAGAATGAAACTTGAGGACGTAATGCTGAGTTCAATAAACCAGTTGCAAAAGGACAAATATTGTATAATTCCACTTACACAAGGTAGATAGAGGAATCAAATTTATAAAAACAGAAAGTAAAATGTTATTTACCAGGGGCTGGCAGGAGAGAGGAATGGGGAGTTATTATTTGAGGGGTAGAGTTTCAGCTGGAGAAGATGAAAATATTCTGAAGGTGGAGGGTGGTGTTGGTTGCCCAACAATGTGAATGCACTTAATGCCACTGAACTGTATATTTAAAAATTGTTAAAATGATAAATTTTATGATATGTATGTTTTCAACAATTTTTTAAAGTTTTCCCAGAAACAAATAAAAACTGCAGAACTCCCAGCATATAATGGCTCCATCCTAATTTCTGCACTAATAGACAACTGAACTCTAGCATGGCTTCTAGAAGCATAAGGCCCTGTCTCTAGGATGACCCTAATCCCAGCTAAAGGCCTGCATATGGCCGGGCATGGTGGCTCACACCTCTAATCTGAACACTTTGTGAGGCTGAGGTGGGAGGAGCCATTGAGACCGGGAGTTCAAGACCAGCCTGGGCAACATAGGGAGAGCCTATCTCTACAAAAAAAAAAAAAAATTAATTAATCAGATGGCTGTGGTGATGCACAGCACAACTTTAGTCTCAGCTGCTTGGGAGACTGAGGTGGGAGGATCACTTGAATCCGGGAGGTCGAGGCTTCAGTGAGCTATGATCATGCCACTGCACTTCAGGCTGGGTAACAGAGTGAGACCTTGTCTCAAAAAAATTTTTGAAAATTAAAATAAAGGCCTTCCCGAGAAAGCTCAAGGCTGCCAGGAGAATTGACTGTTTGTTCCAGCCAATACCAAGAGATAGGCAGATAGAGCTCTGCACCACCACCCCTCAACTCCCTGTAGAGCCATCACTTTAGAAAGCTTGCAATTATAAAGCCTTTCTTTGCTCTTTGGGATATAAAACTACCACCCAAAACTGTTTCCTCCAGGACCTGAGAGTCTTCTCTTTAAAATGCAAGGCTTCAGGGAGATAATTCTGTCTCTCCTAGTCTGTAGGGGAGGCTGAGGGCCTAACTGTGGGCACCTTGCTCCAACCTGCACCACTGCCCCGTCACAAAGACATGAGAAGTGTGTGTGTCCTTCAGATAGACAGCAGTCAACAAACCCAGGTGGCCTGACATGGCCTAACCCTATTCACACCTTTAGTGCCTTTCCCTGAGCACACCCCACCTTTAAAAGTCTCCAGCCTTTTGTTTTGGAGAAGTTGAGTTCAATCCACACTGGTCTCTCTTCCTTGCTGCCATAGTATTGCTGAATAAAACCTGTGTTCACCATCTTGACCAGTGTCGGTCGGCATCGTTTATCTGGGATAGTGTCATAACAAAACCTAACCTCTCCTGACTGATAGTTAGTTGTCATTCTTACTCTTTTTATTATTATTGCCGAAGGTGATGATTTCTGGAGGAGCCTGAGCTCTTTCTCTTTCCCCTTCTCCCAGCTTCCCTTCTCCACTACATCTCCGTTATTGCATCAATTTCAGGAATACAGCTCCCAATAAATGGAAACAGTAGGACAATTTCAGTAATCATTTTCAGAATTTCTAGAGTCTTCACTGTAACTATTTTTTAGTTTCAGAGCTACTTGTTTCCCAAAATAAATCAAATCAGAGAAAACACATCTCTAGAATTAATTTTTTTTTTTAAGACAGGGTCTCTCACTGTTACCCCAGCTGGAGTGCAGTGGCACAATCACTGCTCACTGAAATCTTGAACTCCTGGGCTCAAGCACCCAGGCTTCTAAGTAGCTGGGACTACAGGTGCATGCCACCACATCAAGCTAATTTTATTTAATAGTACAGAGGAGGTGTCACTATGTTGCTCAGGCTGGTCTCAAACTCCTGGACTCACGTTATCCTCCCACTTTGGCCTCCCAGACTGCTAGGATTACAGGTGTGAACTACTGTGCCTGGCCTAGAGTGAATCTTTAGAATCCACCTCTACTGTGATGTGTCAATATAAGTTAGCAAGAACCAGTGACTTCTGAGTATATGAGTTCCAAACTTCGACATTTCCAAAGTCCCACCTCTGATGGCATTTGTAGGTGACCCCTTAGAGAAAACTTACAGTGTTCTCGCAGGTGCCAAAATTTATGCTGCTTTTTGCCCAACAGTTGGTTAGATATCTCAAGCAACTAAGAGCGTACTGCCATGGATTATGCCTTAAAGTAATGACGGTGCATTTACCAAACCACTCTTCCCTCTCTTACCCTCCAAAAAAATTGCTGTTCTCTCCAGGGCAGCCACAGCTGGAGGGGACGCTAGCTAATCCTCTTATCCCACCACTAGATGGCAGGACAGTCCAGTCTGGCAAATCTCTCTGCCCTGCCTGAACTTCGATGTCCACATCTTTAGTGAAGAGTCTTCCTAACAGAAATGTACTTCCTGGTTAAACATTAGTTTGGACTCAGAGAGCAGACAGGCTCAGATTCAGGCTGAGCCTCCTCCAAGGCAGACAGGTGTTCTCCTGAGGTGCCATTAGGGTTGTACTCATGTGGAGTGAGACGGGGCAAAGCGGAGAGGGAACCAGGGAAGGGAAAGAATTGGTGCTGATCAGATGTCCTGGAGCTTAACTTGCCTGCAGTCTGATGGGTTAGTATGGCAAAGTGGGGCCTGGAAGCCTCAACTCTCTATACCCATATAACCCCTCCACCCCATCCCTCTGCCTCCTGAAGACCCCTGTACAGCAGAGGCCAGTCCCAACAAGGAGGCCAGCACCAGGCTCCCCATCCTCTCTGCTCCAACTCTGTGGGTGTTTAACACACCAAAAGCAAGACTTCTACCAGCCAGGACCCTCTGTGAGCCCCCAGCCAGGAGACAGGCTCTGGGTTCTGAGATGAGGGAAGACGCCGGCATGATGTATGCACCAGCCTTGGGACTCCTAGCAGTACTTCCTTTCTGACACACTATTTTTTCAAAACATCATCCCATCCCTTGACTCAATGCTCTCACTAAGGCCAAGCGCCACGAGGTGACTGTGCCAGAAGCTCCCCAGCCAGTCGGAGCAGCACTGAGATCAGCAGATCCCAGGATCCTACCTCCCAACCTGTTGTCTTCCCAGCACACTGGACTATAGAGAAGACACCCTTGTGATTTGCTACAGGACCCTGCCCCAGCCTCCCTATCAACCTGCACAGTGGTGAGATGCAGTGAGGGCTTCTAGATTATGATCCGGACTAGGATCAGATTGGTCTGGTCTGATGACCCTCTCGGACACTTACTAGCTATGTGACCTTGGGCATGTAGTTTAACCTGTCTGTGCTTTGATGCCTCATCTGTAACATGTGAATTCTTATTGTATCTATGTTTCAAGGCTGTTGTAAGGATAAAATGAGATTGTGTGTGTTAAGGGCTTCCCACAATACCTGACATACAGTGCTCTGTAAATGGCAGAATCAAAAGTTGGATCGAAAATTTAATAGATAGCCACAAAAACAAACAACCCAACCTAAAAATGAGGAAAGACCTGGCCGGGCGCAGTGGCTCACGCCTGTAATCCCAGCACTTTGGGAGGCTGAGGCGGGCAGATCACGAAGTCAGGCGATCAAGACCATCCTGGCCAGCAGGGTGAAACACAGTCTCCTCTGAAATACAAAAAAAATAAGCCCAGTGTGGTGGTGTGTGCCTATAGTCCCAGGTACTCAGGAGACTGAGGCAGAGGAATAGCTTGAACCCGGGAGGCGGAGCTTGCAGTGAGCCGAGATCGCGCCACTGCACTCCAGCCTGGGCAACAAGAGTCAAACTTCCTCTCAAAAAAAAAAAAAAAAAAAAAAAAATGAGGAAAGACCTTTAACAGACATTTCTCCGAAGAAGATATACAAGTGGCCAACAAGCACATGAAAATGTACTCAACATCACTAATCACCAGGGAAATGCAAATCAAGACCACAATGAGAAATCACCTCATACCTGTTAGGATAGCCATTATTGAAAAACAAAACAAAAATCATAAAACGAGGGTTGATGAGGATGTGGAGAAATCGAAGCCCTTGTGCACCATTGGTAAGACTGCGATATGGCCCAGCCACTATAAAAACAGTATGGGCTGGGCACAGTGGCTCAGCCAATAATCCCAGCACTTTGGGAGGCTAAGGCGGGAGGATTGCTTGAGCCCAGAAGTTCAGGACCAGCTTGGACAACACAGTGAGACCCTATCTTTACAAAAAATAAAAAATTAGTCAGACGTGATGGCACACACCTGTAGTCCCAGCTACCTGGGGATCTGAGGTAGGAGGAGGCTTGAGCCTGGGAATTTAAGGCTACATTGAGCTATGATCAAGCCATTGGGCAACAGAGCAAGATCTTGTCTCATAAATAGATAAACAGAGACTCTTCAAAAAATTAAAAATAGAATTATCAAATGATCTAGCATTCCCACTTCTGAGTATATACCCAAAAGAATAGAAAGCAAAGTCTCAATGAAACATTTGTATATCCACATTCATAATAAGATCATTCACAGTAGACAAAAGGCAGAAGCAACCCAAGAGTGCATTAATAGATGAATGGGCAAAGAAAGTGTGGTTCATGCATACAAAGGAATATCATTCAGCCTTAAAAAGGAAAAAAATTCTGACACATACTATAGCATGAATGGACCTTGAAGACATTTGTTGTCAAATAAGCCAGTCACACAAGGACAAATACTGCATGATTCCATTTATATGGAATCTAAAGCAAAAAAAAAAAAAAAACCTCATAGAAGCTGAAAGCTGAAAGCTTGTTACCAGGGCTTGGGGAGGAGAGATGGGGAGCTGATGCTCAATGCATGTGGAGTTTCGGTCACACAAGATGAGAAAGTTCTAAAGTTAACAAGCCTGTACTCTACACTTACAAATTTGTTAAGAGGGTAGATTTCATCTTACATGTTTTTCACCACAATAAAAAAAAGACCGAGGCCAGGCGCGGTGGCTCATGCCTGTAATCCTAGCACTTTGGGAGGCCGAGGCGGGCCGATCATCTGAGGTCAGGAGGTCGAGACCAGCCTGACCAACATGGAGAAACCCCGTCTCTACTAAAAATACAAAATTATCCGGGTGTGGTAGTGCATGCCTGTAATACCAGCTACTCAGGAGGCTGAGGCAGGAGAATCGCTTGAACCTGGGAGGTGGAGGTTGTGGTGAGCCGAGATCGCGCCATTGTACTCCAGCCTGGGTGACAGAGCAAGACTCCGTCTCCAAAAAAAACAAAACCGAGAGAGAGCTGTCCCCTTGCAAGTCTTAAGGCAGCCACACTCTTCCCATCTAAGCCTAACTTCCCTCCCCTGCCATCTGTGGCAACTGCAGCTTCCATTAGGCATCCCTGATAACCAAGAAACTGTTAATTTTTCTTCCTGCCCCCTTCCCCAAAGGAGAGCCAGCCTAGACTGGCCATTCTTACAGGATTCAAGAATGGAGGAAAGTGCTTTTTCCCTCTTTCAAGTTGCCTCTAGTTCATGGTTTATTTTTTCAGTAAGTGTTTGTTGAGTGTCTACTATATGCCAAGCACTGTGGTGAACTTGGGAAACACAATATTGGATAGGACCAGAAGGACCCTGCTCTCAGGGAATTTACTTTCTAATAAACAAACAAGGTGGCCGGGCGCAGTGGCTCATGCCTGTAATCCTAGCACTTTGGGAGGCGAGTGGATTGCCTGAGCTCAGGAGTTTGAGACCAGCCTGGGCAACACGGTGAAACCCCGTCTCTACTAAAATACAAAAATAAAATAAAATAAAATTAGCCAGGTGTAGTGGCGTGTGCCTGTAGTCTCAGCTACTTGGGCAGAGGTTGCAGTGAGCCGAGATCGTGCCACTGCACTCCAGCCTGGGCAACAGAGTGAAACTCTGTCTCCAAAAATAAAATAAAATAAACAAACAAGTTAACTTCGGGAGGTGTCGAGTGCTATGATGCGACTAAACAGAACGATCTGTGAGCATCATGGGCATGTCCTAAAGTTCTCTCTGAAAAGAGGATGACTGCCTCGAGACTTAAAGTGAGAAGAATCAAGCTAGCAGGGATGGCATTCTGGGCAGAGGAAACAGTATGTGCAAAGGTCCTGGAGCAGAAAAGGGCATGCTGTGTCTAAAGAACAGAGAGAAGGCCAGTGTGGCCCCAGCACAGTGAGTGGGAGGGAAGCTGGAGCTGTAGCCGGAACTGGACTGTGCCGGGCTTCATAAACTGAAGTAGAAGCAAAAGCAAAATGTAAATTAATATTGCAAGGGATTGTCCTGAGAGATATTGTCAGCTACTAACATGCAAGTCACTCACTGAAGTATAGTATCCAAGGACATCCTTGGGTTCTCACCCAGGATCTGTAACTTGTTACCTGTGTGACTCTAAGCCAAGGGTTCTCAAACTCAGCTATGCATTTGAATCACCTGGAGGTCTTGTACAATGGGCTCCCGGGCCCCACCCCAGAGTTTCTGATCTGGAAAGGGCCCAGAGTTTGCGTGTCTACCAGGTTCACAGGTGGTGGTGACACTGCTGGTCCTTGGACCACATGTTGAGAACCATGCTCTAATGATCCTCTCCAGCAAGTCAGTGATTCTCTCTGAGCCTTTTTCTTCCGTGAAAGTGCCCTTCTGACCTGATTGATGTGATCATCAGATGAGATAAAATACAAAGCATAAAGCCCTTTTTAAAGAACAAAAAAAGACAGACACACAGAATGATCACCTTAACGGTGTTCACTAAGCTCCCTTCCTGTGTGTTTCCTTCACAGCTGATACAGAATTTCACATATGGCAAGAGCAGCTGACTGCTTGGGAGCAATGCCGGTTTTATTCCATTCACTCTACGTTTATCTAATTCTCTAAACACATAGGAGAACCTCCGGTGCTGAAGAATAGAGAGCTGCCCGCCCCGCCTGGGAGAAACCTTCAGATGCGCCCCCGTTGTTCCCCCGCCGACAGAGGCTTGATGCCGCTTCAAGTGCCCGCAGTTATTTTTGTCAGCCATCCTCTCCTCCCACTCCTCCCAAAGAAAGCATTCAGTGAGTCATCGGGAGACCCGGAGACATCTGACGGTTGCTCAGCTGGTATCCGGCCACTGAGGGGAAGGAGGAGTGTGTTGATGTCCCCTTGGACTCTCCTTGAAGAAACTGCATAGATTCACAGACTCCTGGAAAATCAGAATCCAGAATGTGCACATGATACACGTTTGGTGTGTGTGTTTATTTGTATTCACTCACGGATTCAACAAATATTTGTTGATTACCTGCCATCTACCAGACTTGTTTTAGACTCTGAGGACACAGCATGTACAAAACAACAAAGCCCCTCTCATGGGGTTTATGTGCGTAATAGTCACTCATAGAGCATGTACTGGAAGTCGTGAGGTGTGTAGTCTGGCAGGGAAGAGAGTCAGCCATCAGATGGATGTGGTGAGTGTTATGGCACTGAGATGGAGAGATATACTGGGTGGCGTACGGAGAAGCACAGGAGGAAGAGGCTTCCAAATGGGCACCCTGATAAGTGGACGTTAAATGGCGTGTGGCATCTTCCAGGTTCACTAAGGGAGGCTACTCTCCATTGAGTTAACCTCAAAAATGCATACATGGAAGTACCCTAACACGTGACCCCTTTCTCCTTTCCAATTTCTTTCTATGCTGGCCCCACCCCTAGGTCTTGGAGGTACATAGCTTGTTGTCCGGTTTCAGTTTCACAGCTGGAGAGAAACTTTGCCTCAGGAAGAAGTATACTGGGAGCCTCACCCATACTGGGTTTAGATGAGATTTAGATGAGATTTTGAACTTAAAAGTTGGTGCTGCAAAGAGTTAAGATTTGGAAACTGTTGGGATGGGGTGAATGTATTTTGCATGTGAGAATGACATTCATTTTTAGCCAGAGGGAGAAGCGTTATGGGCTGAATTATGGTCCCCCCAAAATTATTCATGAAGTCTAATACCCACAACCTCAGAATAGGACCTTATTTGGAGATAGGTCTCTAAAGAAGTAATTAAGTCAAAATGAGGTCATTAGGGTGGACCCCAGTCCAGTAGGATTGGTGTCCTTATGAGGCGATTAGGGCACAGACACCCACAGAGACACCCACAAAGGGATGACCACGCGAAGAGGCAGGGAGAAGATGCCATCCACAAGCAAGGAGAGAGGCCTCTGAAGGAACCAACCCTGCCAACACCTTGATCTTGAACTTCTAGCCTCTGGAATTGGGAAGAAACAACTTTCTGTTGTTTAAACCACCCGGGCTGTGGTATTTTGTTATGACAGCTCTAGCAAACGAATACAGAGGTGTTTGTGAAAAGGAAGCAGCACAGTGTGGTAGGGTAGGGTAGTACACTCTGGGCACCTCCAAACAGTTCTGCAGACTTGGAGTGTAGGGTGCAAGGGATGGAGGGGAGGCTGGAGAGATGGGCAGGGGCCCGGCCATGAAGGGCCTCTGGTGACAAGGATTTGGGACTTAATTCAGCATTCAAGGTATTGAGGTATTGAGGATGAAGTCAGGCTGGGCGCGGTGGCTTGCGCCTGTAATCCTAGCACTTTGGGAGGCCAAGGCAGGCAGATCACGAGGTCAGGAGTTCAAGACCAGCCTGGTCAACATGGCGAAACCCTGTCTCTACTAAAAATACAAAAATTAGCCCGGCGTGGTGGCAGGCACCTGTAATTCCAGCCATTCGGGAGGCTGAGGGAGGAGAATCACTTGAACCCGGGAGGCAGAGGTTGCAGTCAGCCAAGATTGTGCCATTGCACTCCAGCCTGGGCAACAAAAGCAGGACTCCATCTCAAAAAAAAATAAATAAATAAATGAAAGGAGGAAGTCGGATACAATGCTGTATTGCAGATATAGTACAATGCTGTATTATAGGAAGATCATTTAAAGGAGGCATGGAGGAGCTAAAAGGAGAGAAGAACTGGAGGCAAGAAGATAGGGGTCACACTAACAGACATAAAACATGGGTCAGACACCGTGGCTCACGCCTGTAATCCCAACACTTTGGGAGGCTGAGGTGGGTGGATCACGAGGTCAGGAGTTCGAGACCAGCCTGGCCAACATGGTGAAACCCTGTCTCTACTAAAAATACAAAAATTAGCCAGGCGTGGTGGCACGCGCCTGTAATCCCAGCTACTCGGGAGGCTGGGGCAGGAGAACCACTTGAACCCAAGAGGCGGAAGTTGCAGCGAGCCAAGATCGAGCCACTGCACTCCAGCCTGGGTGACAGAAAAAGACTTTGTCTTGGGAAAACAAAACAAAACAAAACAAAAACATGATTCTGGCTGGGACTAAGGCAAGGGTAGCCAGGATGGAGAGGTAGGGTCCCAGAGAGATGCTGGGAATGTAGAATCCACAAGAGTTGGCTGCAAGTTGGATGAGGAGCAGGGAAATGCTGAGGGAAAGAGAAGCGAGAGGAGCAAGGGTGTGGGGAGGAAGCGACCTCCACCCTGCACGTGTTGAGTTTGAGATGTGATTGTGCTCTGACTCCACACGCGCAATTGAGAACCAGCTCCTGCAGAAGGGAACTGAACCAAAGGCCTCGGAGGAGACTGCCTGGGAAGAGAAGCTGGACAAGGGCAAATCAGTGGACCAGTGTGCCATGTGGTATACTGAAGGAAGGGGGGATTCTCTGAGGAAGATGGAGAGGTGATGTCAAAGAGGAAGAAGGCAAACTAGGAAGGAGCAGGGTCTTGACCCCTACTGCATTGAGAAACAAGAGGGTGGAGAAAGCCCCAGACAGGAAAGAGCAGTCGCAATGGCAAATGCGGCAGACAGGTCAACATGAGGACTTGGAACTTGCCCAAGAGAGTGGCTCAAGAGAGTGAACCGAGCCCCTGCCAATAAATAAATATTTGTAGAATGAAGGAAAAACCCCTGGAAGGTGAGACTATGAGCACCATCTCCAAAGAGCGATCACTGCCGTATCATTTTATGCCTTTCCAATCTCGTACCGGGAATCCCCATCTTCCAAGTTGTCACTGAAATGACTAAAAGAGTATGAAAGTAGAGGGTGATTACACTAGACATAGAAGAAAACGGCCGCTCAGGCCTCAGAGACCTCAAGGAACTTCTGCGAGGCATGGCGGAAATAAGAGTAGATTCAAAGAAGTGCCTGCAGACCTTTAAGTCACCATGTGCAGAGAAAAGTGGAAAACCTCAGCAAAACCCCAGCAACACCCTGAGCATTGGCAAAAGGCATATTCTGTTACACACATCACAAGCAGGGGCATGCCAACCACTGTGCCAGGTACGGAGGCACTGCAAGAACCAAGACAGATGGAACCTGGCCCTCAGGGAGCTTAATTCTGGTAGGAAAGGTGGACAGTAAACAAGTAAACAAATCAAGCAAGGAATCACAGAGTATGATAAGTATGATGAATGAAATAAATGGCCGGGCGCAGTGGCTCACGCCTGTAATCCCAGCACTTTGGGAGGCCGAGGTGTGTGGATCACCTGAGGTCCAGAGTTTGAGACCAGCCTGACCAACATGGAGAAACCCCTTCTCTACTAAAAATACAAAATTAGCCAGGCGTGGTGGCGCATGCCTATAATCCCAGCTACTTGGGAAGCTGAGGCAGGAGAATGGCTTGAACCCGGGAGGCGGAGGTTGCTATGAGCCAAGATCATGCCATTGCACTCCAGCCTGGGCAACAAGAGTGAAACTCCATCTCAAAAAAAAAAAAAAGAAAGAAAGAAACTAGGATGGGCCAGGCACGGTGGCTCACGCCTGTAATCCCAACACTTTGGGAGGCTGAGGCGGGTGGATCACCTGAGGTCAGGAGTTCAAGACCAGCCTGGCCAACATAGTGAAATCCCGTCTCTACTAAGAATATACAAAAATTAGCTGGACATGGTGGCACGCATCTGTAATCCCAGCTACTTGGGAGGCTGAGAGAGAAGGACCCCTTGAATCCATGAGGCGGGAGTTGCAGTGAGCTGAGATTGCGCCACTGCACTCCAGCCTGGGTGACACAGCAAGACTCCATCTCAAAAAAATAAAAGAAACAAACTAGCATTAGCCAATAGAAACTGGACAGGGACTAGTTAAGATGTATGGCAGTCAGTTTATCTTGCTGAAATTTTTCCAGCTTGAGTTACATGACAGATCTCATGTATCATCATGTTGTAGGATCTATCACATTTTGCACAGTTAGAATTTTCTCCTGTCACGTTTTGGACAGCCACCACTGCCAATGTAGGAGTGGTGGGGGAGGGGTTGTTGGAAAAAAATTCTGTAATTTGCTCCCTGAGGCTACACTTTGATTCCCTGGGTCAAAGTAGCAGGGATGGGAGGCAAAGATGAGCCAGCAGAAGTGGAAGGGGACAGTGACCATATCCCAATGTCACAGAGTACATGCAAGAAACAATGTACAGCCATTTTTTATGCCCATTCCTTATTTCTCCTGATAATACAGCCTGCTCCAGGCACAGCAGGGATGCTCAACCCAAGTCCCTCCCAGAATTTTCAAGTGAGAGACAGGGAGGACGCTTCCTCTTTGGCCCAGCAGCTGTGAGGATATGAGCTTAGAGATCATGATGCTTTTTCCCTGCTGTGTGAAGAGGCTTAACTGCACAAAGAGAGAATGAAGCCAACACACCCAGAGCAGTGGGGATAAGAGGTGGAGAAAATGCGCCCTGCTGGTCCAGCTGTCCCTGCGGCCAGCTGCACCCCATCACTTCCTGTGCTTTGGTTCTCTGAGCCTCTTCCCTTTTCTGCCTAAACTGCTTTCAGGTGAGTTTCTGCAATTTGCAACTGTATTAGGGTTCTCCAGAGGAAAAGAACCAACAGGATGCGTGTGTGTGTGTGTGTGTGTGTGTGTGTGTGTGTGTGTGTGTGTGTAGAGAAAGAGAGAGACAGAGACAGAGAGAGATTTATTGTAAGGAATTGGCCTGTGCAATTATGGAGGCTGAAACTTCCCAAGATCTGCAGTCAGCAAGTTGAAGACCCAGGAGTATACATTCCAGTCTGAAAGCCACAGGCTCAAGACCCAAGAAGAGCAGATGTTTCTGTTTGAGACCAAAGACAGAAAAAGACCAATGTCCTGGTCCCCACAGTCAGGCAGGAAGGGGTTTCCTATTACTCAGCCTTTGTGTTCTACCCAGGCCTTCAACTGATGGGATGCAGCTCACCCACATTAGAGAGAACAATCAGCCTCACTCAGTCTACAGATTCAAATTCTGACCTCGTCCAGAAACACCTTCACAGACACAGCAGAATAATGTTTGACCAGATATCTGGGCATCTAGTGGCCCAGTTGAGCTGACAGATAAAATGGACCATCGGAGTAGCCTAAGTGTCTAATCGTGATGACGTAGCTGAAATCACACAGAGTGGGGATCATATCACAACCTACTCCTGAAGTCAAGGCTGTACTAAACAAAGCAAGGGCCCCTTGATGGCAGGCTTGAACTTGCGCTGCTCCTACCATTTAGCAGAGGGGACCCAAGCTAACCTCAGGGGCAAAGATCCCTGCCATGTTTGCCTCATTCAGAGCTCTCTCTGCTTCCTAAGGCTCCTAGCATCAAAATAGGCTCTTGGGGATTGGCTGTTTACTGGCTAGGGTGAGCTAAGCTGCTGTGACAAGTAGACCTAAAGATGTAAATTGGCTCAAACACAGGAGTTTATTTCTCACTCACATAAGCGACTGCAGCATGTGTTTTCAGCCGATGGGCAGCTCTCTGCCATAGGGCGATGCAGGGATCCAGGCTCCCATCATGGCTCTCCCATACAGCCTAGTTGTCATCTACATCTTGCCAGCAGAAGGGAAAAGGGAATTCTCAGAAGCCTTGGCCAGAGTGGCACACATCACTTTAGGTCTTGTTCCATTGGTGGGAGCTACTGAAATGGCCACACTAAACTGCAAAGAAGGCTGGAAAATGTAATCTGGTCTTGCATCTTGTTATAACTTCCATCACTACAAAAGGGGAACATGATTGGGGTGGGCAGAAAAGTCTGCTTTCTGAGAGAACTAAATGGCTGGCACTGGGGCATTTGGATTCTAGTTCTAGACCAGGATTTCTTAATCTTGACACCATTGGTATTTTAGACTGGAAAATTCTTTTCGCGGAGAGGAGGCCGTCCGGGCATTGTAGGATGTTTAGCAACATCCCTGGCCTCTACCCACCTGATGCCAGTAGCTCCCTCAACCCCAGTCATGACAATGGAAAATGTCTCTAAACATTGCCACATGACCTTTGGACACAAAATCACCCGCCATTGTTCTAGACAACAAGAGGAATGGTCAGAATCTTCTGTCAACCGGAGAGGAAATGTAATGAAGTGGCATGCTCACACTTCCTCTCTGTCACTTGGAAAGTGTGGCTACTAGTTTTTGCTCACAACATTGACAGAATAGCTGAGATGCTGACTTGAAGTTTCAGAGAGAACTGAGTGATAATGACTTCGAGCCCTCAGACTCTTTAGTGAGAGAGTAATGCCATGAGAATAATGCCCAGGGATTCTGCAAATGCTCATCACAGCCAGAACAGCACGAAAGGAAATGCCCTGTTAAGTTTCTTCACTTCACGCCGCACAAAAGTCAGAACAGGCCAGGTGCAGTGGCTTGTACCTGTAATCCCAACACTTAGGGAAGCCAAGACAGGAGGATGGCTTGAGTGCAGGAGTTCGAGACCAGCCTGGGCAACGTGGTGAGACCCTGTCTGTACAAAAATTTTTTTAAATTAGCTGGGTATTCGCCGGGTGTGGTGGCTCACACCTGTAATGCCAGCACTTTGGGAGGCCGAGGCGAGTGGACCACCTCAGGTCAGGAGTTCGAGACCAGCCTGGCCAACATGATGAAACCCCATTTCACTAAAAATACAAAAATTAGCTGGGCATGATGGCACGTGCCTGTAGTCCCAGCTGCTCCGGAGGCTGAGGCAGGAGAATTGCTTGAACCCAGGAGGCGGAGGTTGTAGTGAGCTGAGATCGCACCACTGCACTCCAGCCTGGGTGACAGAGTGAGACTCTGTCTCAAAAAAAAAAAAATTAGCTGGGTATGGTGGCATGTCCCTATAGTCTCAGCTACTCAGGAGGCTGAAGAAGGGGAATCACTTGAGCCCAGGAATTTGAGGCTGCAGTGAGCCATGATTGCGCCACTGCACTCCAGCATGGGTGACAGAGCAAGAACTTGTCTCAAAAAAAAAAAAAAAAAAGGCAAACTCATACTAGCTTTTCTGCAATGAACAGACTTTCTGAGTTATTTGTGTGGATTCTCTGAAACGTCTGTGAGAGACAAGATTTTTTGATACTTGCCTAACACAAGACGATGTTTGTAAACACTTGTAAAGTTCTTGTTATTTCTGAACATTGTGAGCTATAGAGTAGACAGACCCCTAGGAAAGATATTTCTTTGCAGGAAATGGACTGCCCTATTATAACAAGTGAAAATTCTTTGCAGCCTGGCGAAAACCAGAAATAATACCATCCAGCAAAGCTTCAGGATGCTTTACCTCCTGGAAACCCAGCCGTATTGTTCTAACTTCATAGGAAACTGATTTTCTGGCTGTAGCTGATGGGGATTACTTCGTGTTCCATGGGGATCTTTGGGACAAGCTGTAGTCTCAGACAATGAACTGTGGGTTTCTGTGTCACTGCCAGCATAAAATATTAGTCTCCTGATTCACGGAGAATATGCTAGACTCTTGAACATTAAGTAAAGACAGTTACATAAGTATTTTTTATTAGAAAGCTACTTGCGAGAGATAAACTACAAGGTCATAATCAATAAGGCTCAATTTGAAACACTGCTGAGAAAAGAGAATAGAGACTTTTTTTTGCTGCTGGAGTTGCAGACTTATGTCAGACTGAGATTTGTGTGCAAATATCTAAGTATTCATACTCCTCTGGCTGAGTGCAGTGGCTCAGGCCTATAATCCTAACACATTGGGAGGCCAAGGTGGGAGGATCCTTTGGGGCCAGGAGTTCAAGACCAGCCTGGGCAAAATAGCGAGACTCTCTCTCTACTAAAAAATACAAAATTAGCCAAGTGTGTTGGCATACACTGTAGTTCCAGATGCTCAGTAGGCTGAGTTGGGAGGATCCCTTGAATCCAGGAGTTCAAGGCTGCAGTGAGCTATGATCATGCCACTGCACTCCAGCCTGGGCAACAGAGTAAGACCCTATCTCAAAAAAAAGAAAAAAAAGAAAAGGTACTCTTTCTGATTATGAGCAATTTGGGTCAGAACAAGCATTTGATATTTCACAAACCCATGTCCATCATTCTCTCCAAACAGGCCTGAAAACACTAGACTTTTAGGCTTTTTGCCAGTTTCTACATAGTCTGGAAGCAAGAATGAATAAATCGGATAAGTAATCTTGCATTGCCGAGTGATGGTTCTAACTTCAAGGCGATCCTGTCACCCTCCTGCTCAGAATCTGTCCTATAGGCCATTCCCATGGCCTACAGGGAGTGTCCAGCACCTCACCCAGCCAGAGACTGACTCTCTGTAGTCTGGCCTCTGCTTCCTTCTCTACCCTATCCGCTGCTGGCCCAGGCTTCCTCTGTCACCTCGAGCCCCAAAGAACCAAGTGCAGAGCCATGAACACACCACGACATGTCAGGCCCCTGCATTGCTCAAACTTCTCCCTCCCTAACCCCCGAAGCTTGGTGACTACTTGTTCAGGCTTCAGAAATCAGGTCACATGTTACATTTTCCAGAAAGGCTTCCTGACTCGCACTGTAGCCTGCCAGAAGAACCAGCCACTCCCTCCCCTATATTCCTCAAGTCACCTGTAGGCTTTTATTACCCAGAATACTCTAGAGCACTCTGTTGCATACATTGCTCAACTGTGTGCCTTGTCCCTCTGAAACCATGAGCTCTGAGGACAGGGACAGTGTCTTATTCTTCTTGGGAGCCCCAGTGCCTGACACAGGATCTGGAGAATGCTTATTCACTAATAAGAGTTTATTGAGGCCAGGCATGGTAGCTCACACCTGTAATCCCAGCACTTTGGGAGACTGAGGTTGGAGGATTGCTTCAGCCCCAGAGTTTGAGATCACCCCGGGCAACATAGTGAGTCTCTGTCTCTATGAAAAATTTGCTGGGCATGGTGGCACGCCTGTAGTCCTAGCTACTTGAGAGGTTGAGGCAGGAGAATCACTTGAGTCCAGAAGTTTGAGACTACCGTAAGCTATGATCATGCCACTTCACTGCAGCCTGGGCAAAAAAGCAAGACCCCATCTCTTAAAAAATAATAATAAATAAATAATTGTTTTTAAAAAAGAGTTTATTGAACAAAAAAATGAACAATACTGCACATGCAAATGCTGATATGTCACTCTTCATTTTTTTAATTGTGGTAAAAAGTACACATAACATAAAATTTACTATCTCAACCACTTTTGAGTGTACAATTCAGTAGTGTTAAGTACATTCACTTTTTTTTTTTTTTTTGAGACAGAGTCTCACTCGGTTGCCCAGGCTGGAGTGCAGTGGTGCAATCTCAGCTCACTGCAAACTCCACCTCCTGGGTTCAAGCAATTCTCTGCCTCAGCCTCCCGAGTAGCTGGGATTACAGGCGTGTGACACCATGCCTGGCTAATTTTTGTGTTTTTAGTAGAGACGAGGTTTCGCCATGTTGGTCTCAAACTCCTGACCTCAGGTGATCCACCTGCCTCAGCCTCCCAAAGTGCTGGGATTACAGGCGTGAGCCACCGCGCCCAGCCACATTCACATTATTATGCAACCATCACCATCATCTGTCTACAGAACTCTCCCCATTTTAGAAAACCCAGACTCTCCATCTATCTACAGAACTCCACCTCCTTCTTAGGAAACAAAAACTCTACCCATTAAACAGTAACTCCCTATTCTCTTATCCTAGCCTCTGGCAACCACCATTCTACATTTTTTTTCAGTTTAATTTAATTTTTTGTAGAGAGAGGTTCTCACTATGCTGCCCAGGCTGGCCTCAAACTCTCAGCCTCAAGCAATCCTCCTGCCTTGGCCTTTCAAAGTGCTGAGATTATAGGCATGAGCCACTGCACTAGGCCCACCATTCTACTTTCTGTCTCTATGAAATTAACTACTCTAGGTATCTCATATAAGTAGAATCTTACAATAGCTCTTCTTTTGTGTCTCGCTTATTTCATTTAGCATAACGTCCTCAAGGTTTAGCCATGTTGTAGCATTTGTCAGGATTTCCTTCTTTTCAAGGCTGGATAACATTCCACTGTCTGTATATTCCACATTTGTTTATCCATCATCTATTGATAGACACTTGGGTTGCTTCCTCCTTTTGGCTATTGTGAAGAATGCTGCTGTGAACATGGGGTCACAAGTATCTGACTGAGTCCCTGCTTTCATCTCCTTTGGGTATATACCCAGAGGTGGAATTGCTGGATCACATGGAAATTCCATCTTGAATTTTTTGAGGCACCACCATATTGTTTTCCACAGCTGCCACGCCATTTTACATTCCCACCAGCAGGGCACAAGGGCTCTAATTTCTCCACATCCTGGCTAACACTTTTTATTTTCTATTAGGAGGCTTCTCTTATACTGACCCATGAAAAAAGGCAAGAGCACAACCGTGGTAGGCAGAACAATGCCCCTCTCCCCAAGCAGACTCACAACCGTATCCCTCAAACCTCTGAATATGTTACCCTACATGGCAAGAGGGACATTGCAGATATGATTGTATTAAGGATCTTGAGATGGGAACATTATACGAGAATACCTGCGTGGGCCTACTGTAATCACAAAGGTCCTTAGAAGATGGGGGCAGGAGGATCAGGGAGAGAAAGATAAAAACAAAAACAGGCCAGAGTGATGTGATTGCTGGAAGGGGCCATGAGCCATGGAATTCGGGCAACTCCTAGAAGCTGGGACAGGTGAGGAAACGAATTCTCCTGAGAGCCTCTATAAGGCGGGCAGTCTGCACACCTTGACTTTAGCCTTGCGAGACCCACTTCAGCTTTCTGACCTCCAGAACTGTGAGGTAATAGAACTGTGTTGTTTTAAGCTGCCAAGTTTGTGGTAATTGCTTACAGCAGCTCTTGGTACCTAATAGAACCACCTAATCGAAAAACAGACAAAATATGTGATCAGGCATTTAACTGAAAAGGAAAGAGATGGGCCGGTAAACAGATGAAGAGATGGTCAACAGCACCAGCTGTCTTAGTCAGCTCTGGCTGCCCTAACAAAATACCATAGGCTGTGGGGCTTATACTGCAGTCATTTATTTTCTCACAGTCCTGGAGGCTGGAAGTTGCAGGGAAACAATTCGGGTTCCTGCAAGGGACCTGCGTTCTTGGCTTGTACACAGCCGTCTTCATGCTGTGTTCTCACATGGCCCTTTTGGTGGATTGGGTGGCACAAACTCTCCATGGTCTTCTTACAAGGGCACTAATCCCACACTCAGGACTTCAACTAAATCTAATTACCTCCCAAAGTTCCCATCTCCAAATATCTTCACCCTGGGGATTAAGACTTTAATATACAAATTTTGGGGGACATAATTCAGTCCGTAGCATTTCACCCCAGTGACTCCCCCAAAATTCGTGACCTTAAAGCATACAAAATACATTTATTCCATCCCAACATAACCAAAAGTCTTAACTCATTCCAGCAACAACCCTAAAGTCTAAAGTCCAAAGTCTGATCTGAATGTTATCTAAATCAGATACGGGTGAGACTCAAGGTATGATTTATCCCAAGAAAACATTCCTCTCCAGCTATGAACCTGTGAAGCCAGACAAGTAAGCACTGTATTATGTGCTTACAAAATACATTGGTGGGACAGGCATAGGATAAACACTCCCATTTCAAAAAGGAGAAATAAAAAAGAAGGAAGGAGTGACAAGTTCCAAGTAAGCAAAAACCCAGCCTATGGTATTTATGTAAATGAAGGCCCAAATTGGATTCCATTTTAGTTGGCCAGGTAATCAGAAAAAATTAATAAGCTTATCAATAAAAGCATTGGAGGGGAGCAGAGGATATGGATGAGGGGAATCCAGTGCTACAGGGGAGGGGAAGTAATTTGCTGTAGCCACTTTGGAAAATAATCCAGCATTAATCTTAAAGTTAAATAATTCCACTCCTAGGACTATACCAGGTGTAGGAGGAGAATGTGTAAGAATATTTGTAGGCCAGGCGTGGTGGCTTATGCCTGTAATCCTAGCACTTTGGGAGGCCAAGGCAAGCGGAGCACGAGGTCAAGAGATCGAGACCATCCTGGCCAACATGGTGAAACCCTGTCTCTACTAAAAATACAAAAATTAGCCAGGTGTGGTGGCGCGTGCCTGTAGTCCCGGCTACTCCAGAGGCCGAGGCAGGAGAATGGCTTGAACCCAGGAGGTGAAGGTTGCAGTTAGCCAAGATTGCACCACTGCACTCCAGCCTGGGTGACAGAGCGAGACTCCGTCTCAAAAAAAAAGAATATTTACAGCAGCGCCCTTCACAATAGCAAAAACCTTCAACTTGAATGGCCATCTAGAGGCGAGTGGAGAAATAAATCAAGATACAAAGGACACAGAATGAATGAACTCCAGTGACAGGCAGCAATGAGGATGATTCTTACCAATACAATAGTACATGGGGAAAAAAAGTCTCTTCAAAAAAAAAAAAATACTGCAGGATGTATTTTTATCAAGTTAGAGACAACCAAAATAGAAATAGACACCCTTTAGGGACAAATATAAGTAAAATACAATGGCTTAAAAATGTGGAAACAGAGGAAATGTGGGGTGGGGGTAGGATAAAGCAAGGCAGGGTATGATTTGAAGTTAAAATGTGGACACAGGTACATGTAGTTTCAATAGACTAGTCTCTAGTTTTGTGTATTTTTGAAATTTTCCATTATAAAAAAGAAAGTTTAAAATAATATGAAGAGAAAAGGAAGGAATGATGAACATCAGATTCAGGATGCAGATATTGACATGGGGGGAGGCAGAGCAATGGGATGGCAGAGAACCCTATGAGTCAGTCACTTCTTGTCAAGGACCTGGCTTGGTTCTGTTTTGTTTTGCATGGTGAGTTCATGGACACCTCTTATGTAACAGATTAAATAACCAAATTAAAGTAAGCCATGCATGGAGCAATGAAGAAATAATTAGAGAATAGAGGGGAAAAGCACGAAGGCAGCTCACCCACAGTTCTCAGTGGCACTCAGTGGATGGGTCCCAAGATGCGTCCTTCTGGTGTTCTGTTTGCAAGAAGAGAGCTTATACCTCATGGAGACCTGGATGCCAGTTCTCCTGCCCTCCACTGGCTCTCTCTCCTGCAAAGGACATTTCTCTCGTCAGTGTTTCTGAACATCTGACAGTATGCTGTCTGCCAAAGGCCTGGGCGAGGTATCCTATGGCTTCTAGGTTCCTGATTAAAAGCCGGGCTGGATGTTTGGGATGTCACACAGGCGTTTTCTTGTACTGTCTAGTTTTTGGATGAAAATGTAGGGGTTTGCATTCATCCCTGGCATACGTCATTATTTAGGAACTCTGAAACATTTTACCTGGTCACCAAAAGAAGTCACCAGGGTTGGGGCCAAGCGCAGTGGCTCACACCTGTAATCCCAGCACTTGGAGAGGCCGAGGCAGGTGGATCATCTAAGGTCATGAGTTCGAGACCAGCCATGGCCAGCATGGCGAAACCCCATCTCTACTAAAAATACAAAAATTAGCCAGGTGTGGTGGCAAACGCCTGTAATCCCAGCTAATCAGGACGCTAAGGCATGAGAATCGGTTGAACCTGGGAAATGGAGGTTGCAGGGAGCTGAGATCGTGCCACTGTACTCCAGCCTGGGTGACAGAGGGATACTCTGTCTCAAAAAAAAAAAAAGAAAGAAAGAAAGAAAAAGAAATAAAAGAAGTCACCAGGTTTGGAAGAGCTGCCAAAAGAGAAGTGGGCTAACCTGGGCACCCTAGAAAAGGGGTGGGGTGTGTCTTCTTTGAGAAGAAAATAAACTTATTAAAAAAAAAGTTATGGCCGGGCGCGGCGGCTCAAGCCTGTAATCCCAGCACTTTGGGAGGCCGAGGCAGGCGGATCACAAGGTCAGGAGATCGAGACCATCCTGGCTAACACGGTGAAACCCTGTCTCTACTAAAAAAAAATACAAAAAATTAGCCAGGTGTGGTGGCGGGCGCCTGTAGTCCCAACTACTCGGGAGGCTGAGGCCGGAGAATGGCGTGAACCCAGGAGGCAGAGCTTGCAGTGAGCCGAGATTGCGCCACTGCACTCCAGCCTGGGCGACAGTGAGACTCTGTCTCAAAAAAAAAAAAAAAAAGTTATCCAATTATACATAGTGCTATAGTTTAGATGTTTGTTCCCAAAAACCTCATGCCAAAATGTATCCCCAGTTTGGGGGGTGGGGCCTAAGGGGAGGTGTTTGGGTCATGGGGACAGATGCCTCATGAATAGAACAATTCCCTGGGGTGGTTGGGGGTGAATGAGTTCTCGCTCCATTAGTCGCTGCCAGAACTGGTTGTTGAAAAGAGCTCCTCTGTCTCTCTCACCTCCTCTCTTGCCATGTGATCTGCATACACCAGGTCCCTCTCACCATCTGCCATGAGTGGAAGCACCCTGAGGCCCTCACCAGATGCCTAGTCTTGAACTTTTCCAGACATCAGAATCATGAGCCAAATAAACCTTTTTTCTTTATAAGTTACCCAGTCTCAGCTGTTCCTTAAACCAACACAAAACAGACTAAGACACTTGGTAAATCATGGTAAGGAATACTTTATTCAGGACCATTGCAATAGGCGTAGGGACCATTGCAATAGGCGTAGGGACCACTGCAACAGGGTCTTGCAGTAGGGTGAGAGATTGGGCTCAACTCTGAATACAGCTGGTGCAAGTGGGAGTTTATAGCCAAGGAGCAGGGTGGGGGTCAGTGGACGGGAAATTACTAAGAGGAAACATCAGAGGTAAGGGGGATTCTGGCTAAACGCACCTAACAGGATTCTTGCTGAAGACAGGCCAGGGTAAACCAGGTGTCACCTGCGGGATGGTGGAGGCTGAGGAACCTGATCCGATATTAAGGGTGAGGGGATTCTTGCTAAACTGACTTAGCACGGTTCTTAGCTAAACTGGATTTTACATGGAAGTGCACAGATGGGCCTAGGAAAAGGCTCAGGAGCCTGACTAAAGTTTGGTCAAGCAGAGAACCTTTGTCAACTAATGGACAGGGATCTCTTTGTTGTGTGAGTGTGTGTGTGTGTGCGTGTGAGTGTGTGAGAGAGAGTGACTGTGTGTGTGTGAGTGTGTGTGTATGTATTTGGTGTCCCCTCACAGTCAGTACTTTCAATGACACCCTAAATTCCTCTGAGTCTAAAAATGGTTCTGTCCTCTTGGAAATCTTAATGAGACCTCAGGAGAGAAAAACTCTCATTTACCTCCTCCCCACATCCCAGCTCTTCTGGCTCTCCTCAAAGCGTGGTCCTCAACCTGACCAGCAGCATCTGCATCCCTGGAAACTCCTGGGAAATGCACATGCCCTGCCCTGCTGAATCAGACACTCTGGTGCTCAGCAGTCTGCGCCTTTACAAGCCCTCCAGGGGATTCCGATGCATGCTCAAGTTTGAGCACCACCTAAACCAGTGGTGCATTGTACCCGTCCCTGGATTCCTTCTTGCTTCATCACCTTTCCAGACAATATTTCACAGGTCATGGTGTCCAGGACCTGCTATCACCCATCTTTCCCCATCCCTCCATCACAAATGAATGCCCTAGGAAACCTCAGCAGGGAATCAACCTCATCCCCTATTTCTTGAGATGTCAGGAGCAGTCAGAGCAAACCTCATAGCCGCAGGATGCCACTCTGAGCTCCTGTCTCCTGCCTCTGCAGAAGCTTCCCAGCTGTGGTCCCTTGACCAGCTCTCTCCACACGCCCATGCCCTGCTTTTCTCCCCTGCATTTTAGCAGGTAGTTTTGATGGCATTGAAAAAAAGAAAGTAAGACTGTAAGGCCAAAACTCCTCCAATTTCTCTTCCATCTGCAAACTTGTTTGCATCTCTCCTCCTCCTTTTCTTTTTTTTCTTTCTTTCTTTTTTTTTTTTTGAGACGGAGTCTCACTCTGTCGCCCAGGCTGGAGTGCAGTGGCGCGATCTTGGCTCACTGCAAGCTCCGCCTCCCGGGTTCACTCCATTCTCCTGCCTCAGCATCCCGAGTAGCTGGGACAAAAGGCGCCCGCCACCATGCCCGGCTAATTTCTTTTGTGGTTTTTTTTTTTTTTTTTTTTTTAAGTAGAGACGGGATTTTACCGTCTTAGCCAGGATGGTCTCGATCTCCTGACCTCGTGATCTGCCTGCCTCTGCCTCCCAAAGTGCTGTGATTAAAGGCATGAACCACCACGCCCGGCCTCCTCCTCCTTTTCTGAATCAGTGCGAGTCTACCTGGCGCACATCAGTGGCTCATCCCTCCAGCTGTACCAGGTCATCTCCCCACATGGGCCCAGGGGACTCAGGCCTCACCTGTGCTTCCTCCCTTCCCAGGTTCTCTTCTTATGTTTAAAAACAAACAGCAACTATGTGACAACGTTTTCAAACACATTATTTTTAGAGACAGGGTCTCACTCTGTCACCCAGGCTGGAGTGCAATGGTGGGATCATAGTTCACTGCAACCTTGAATTCCCAGGCTCATGAAATCCTCCAGCTTTAGCCTCCCAAGTAGGTGAGACTACAAGTGCGTGCCACCACACCCAGGAAATTTGTCTTTTTATTTTTTGTAGAGACAGGATCTTGCTATGTTGCCCAGGCTGGTCTTGAACTCCTGGGCTCAAGTGATCCTCCTGCCTTGGCCTCCCAAAGTGCTGGGATTACAGGTGTGAGCCACTATGCCTGGTCCAAATTTTCAAAAAATATAAACTGAGAATCTATATTCTCTAACATAGTGCAGACATAGTTTTGAATTCCAGCTCTCCAATGACTATCAAGGAGGCATTGGTCAAATTATTTACTTTTTCTATATTCCAGCTTCTTCTGCTGTAAAAAGAGGTATCATAACAACTTTTGTATGATTATTAAGAAAAGGGTTAAATATTACAAGTGTAAGTTTTTTTGTGTGTGCTTTTTGTTTGTTTGTTTTTGAGACAGACTCTCACTCTGTCACCCAGGCTGGAGTGTAGTGGCGCCATTTTGGCTCACTGCAACCTCCACCTCCCGGGATCAAGTGATTCTCCTGCCTCAGCCTCCTGAGTAGCCGGGACTACAGGCACGCGCTACCATGACCAGCTAATTTTTGTATTTTTAGTAGAGATGGGGTTTCACCGTGTTAGACAGGATGGTCTTGATCTCCTGACCTCGTGATCAACCCACCTTGGCCTCCCAAAGTGCTGGGATTACAGACCTGAGCCACCACGCCTGGCCCAAATACAAATTTTTTGAGGGGGCAGGGGACAGAATTTCGCTCTTGTTGCCCAGGCTAGAATGCAGTGGGGCAATCTCGCTCACTGCAGTCTCCACCTTCCGGTTTCAAGCAATTCTCCTGCCTCAGCCTCCTGAGTAGCTGGGATTATAGGCGCGCGCTACCACGCCCGACTAATTTTTGTAATTTTAGAAGACATGGGGTTTCACCATGTTGGCCATGCAGGTCTCGATCTCTTGACCTCGTGATCAGCCTGCCTGGGCCTCCCAAAGTGCTGGGATTACAGGTGTGAGCCACCGCGCCCGGCCCAAATACAAAATTTTTAATCAAAGTGATAAGAGCTTGACATGTCGAATAAAAATATTTACAGCTTGATCCATATGTTAGATTTTTTTATTTAAACATTTATATAATATGAATGATCTTTAAATTTCATTAGGCATCTTATGGTTCAAATCCTTACAACATGATCAGAAACTGAAGTGGATGTTCCAAGTAAAGTCACGATGAGAATTTTTTAATTCCAGATTTGATGGTGAGAAAAGTCCAATGTTTCTATATTACAGAAATTACTTGCTTATAAGAGAATTATTCTTGAGAGGATAAATTCCATGATTATCTCTTGAATAAGGTGATCTCCCTTGTTAAAAACCTAAAAACAACAGCAACATCAACAGCCTTCTCTGCCCTGTACCCCTCTGGTTATTGTCCTATTCCCAATTGAGTTTCTTGACAGAACAAGCTACAATCACGCTCTCAACTTCTTTACCTGCCTTCTGGTTGCTCTCTCATTCCCTGGAAACTGATTTCCTGAAGATCATCAATCAGTAGCTTCCATGTCAACAAATCCAATGGGCATTTTAGCTCTCTGTTTCATTCCATCCCTTTCATTGAGCACCTGCCCTATACTGAGTTCCTGGCATGAAGCTAAGCCATTGGAGGTGGCCATGGAGTTGCTTCATTCAGCAAGTATTTATGGGGCTCTTCCAGTGCGCCTGGTGCTGTGCTGTGTCGGCACTGATGGACAACGGCTCCCACTAATAACAATCTGGCCTTGAGAGACTTATAGCCATTACTGTAGAGTCTGGTGCACACAATGAGACTCAAAGAACACATGAGAGGGACTCCTGACTTTAGCTGGTGAGAGCCAAGGGAATCCTAGAAGCCATCCCTGAGGAGGAAACACGAGTTTAGTCTAAAGGTCAAGGAGGGATTAACCAATGAGGGGATGAAGAAGGATGCCCCGAGCAGAAGCGCAGCAAACAAACAGGAGAAGCACAGTACAGGATGTGCTTTCCTATTCACAGAGCCTTATAGTCACATAAGGGGACGTGGGGGCACTGGGGGAGGCTTCCTGAGGGAGGTGATATCTACAACGAGCCTTAAGGGATGGCCAGGTATCTATTAAGGAGGTGAAGGACACCCTAGGAAGATAATGCCACATGTACAAAGGCACAAAATGTGGTGTCTTGGGAGAGTGGTAGGGAATGTGGAATGATGACTGATGTCAAGGACATGAGGACATGGTAGCACCTCGGGATATCAATGCCATCGTATGCAGTTTAGACTGAAAGTGACAGAAATCACTGAAGGGGAGAGGGAGACAGAGATTCTCTTCTACAATGATCACTCCAACTGTTTTGTGGAAGATGCATCAGAGGAGGCAAGGCTGGAGGTGGGGAGACAAGTTAGAAAGAAAGTTAGGGTGAAAATGACAGATCCTCAACCAAGGCAGTGGCTGTAGGAAGGGAAAGTATTTTAAACGTAGGACCGGCAGGGCATGGTGGCTCACGCCTGTAAGCCCAGCACTTTGGGCAGCCGAGGTGGGCGGATTACGAGGTCAAGAGATCGAGACTGTCCTGGCCAACATGGTGAAACCCTGTCTTTACTTAAAAATACAAAAATTAGCTGGGCGTGGTAGCATGTGCCTGTAGTCCCAGCTACTAGGGAGGCTGAGGCAGGAGAATCGCTTGATCTCGGGAGATGGAGGTTGCAGTGAGCCGAAATGGCACCACTGCACTCCAGCCTGGGTGACAGAGCAAGATTCCATCTCAAAAAAAAAAAAAGGAGGATCAAGGCCAGGGACAGTGGCTTATGCCTACAATTCCAACACTTTGGGAGGCTGAGGCTGGTGAACCTCGTGAGCTTAGGAGCTCGAGACCAGCCTGGGCAACATAGTGGAACCCCGTCTATACAAAAAATACAAAAATTAGCCAGTCATGGTGATGCATGCCTATAGTCCCAGCAGTTACGGAGGCTGAGGTCGGAAGATCACCTGAGCCTGGGAGGTCAAGGCTGCAGTGAGCCATGATCACGTCACTGCATTCCAGCCTCAGTGACGGGAGTGAGACCTTGTCTAAAAAAAAAATGTAGGACCTTAACAATGCTAGCAGACCTAAGCGTGAATCTCAACACTGCCCTTTACTACCTGTGTGACCTTGGCCAAGTCATTTAACCTCTCTAAGCTTCCATTTCCTCACCTGGGAAATCAGGACAATAACAAAGCCTACCTCGCAGCTGTGGAAAGGATGAATTGCCTAATATATGCAAAGAACACACCCCAAGACCGAGCACACAGGAAATGCGCAGCAAATGAGAGCTCCCATCCTTGGCATCATTAACTATCCTTGGTTAACAAGATGCAGGTTAAACAAAGAGTGCACAATGACTCCCGGGTTTCTGGCCTGCTGTTACTAAAAGCGGAGACAGGAGTGGGTAGATTGGGAGGGAGGCCTGGAAGAGGATGCGCTCATTTGTCGAGCATGAAGTGCTCACTATTGGAAGAGATGATCCTCCGTGGGTCCCTTGCACTCTCACACATCTTGCTGTGTATGCCAAGATTGCAAGACCCTGACCATTTTTAACCTGGGCCACTTCTCAGTGCTGTGTTTACAGCGAGCCGCCTTGAGGGATGAGGTACCATCTCCCTGGAGGAGGAAGAGCAGGCTTGCTTACTCCTCCCTGCATAAGCAGCTCCAGGCTCGGTGTTCCTCAGCTATGACGCTAACCAGCTGCCTGTGGAACATCCATCTGGGCCCCCCATATTGCCCCTGTGAGACTTGGAGGCAAATATGCTGATGCACATGCTTCTTGCTGTGCTCTGAGTAACAAAGTCCTATGTTTCTGACCACAGAGTGTCATGTCTTCTTTTAGCATCCATGAATCAATGACAGGTTAATTTATTAGCTTATAAGTTGGAAAGAGTCATCAGCGTGTACATGGCAAGTAAAGCCATGATTACAAATAATATTGCCCAGCAGAGCATGTTGGTAATGTGCCTGTAGTGCCAGAAACGCGGGTGGCTGAAACAGGAGTGTCCTTGAGCCCAGGAGTTCAAGGCTGCAGTGAGCTATGATTGCACCACTGCACTCCAGCCTGGGTGACCCTGTCTCAAATAAGTTTATTTGAGACTCTGTCTCAAATAAATGAATAAATAAATAGCATTGCCTAGGAAGAGATACGGGGTAGTACCCTGCATAAAGGCAACAAGTAAAGAATGAGGGTAAGAAAAGGAGCTCCCAGGAGAACTCAAGAAAGAAACCTAGAGGAGAGTAGTTCCTTGCAAGCCAAGGGAGTAGAGTTTCAATCAAAAGAGTAGGCAACAGGATCAGATGCTGCTTAAAAGTCAAGTAAGATGAAGACTGAATGTGGCCACTGAGTGTAGCAACTAGGTCACTTCTTTAGCTGTTGCTAAAGGCTAAAGGCAAGAGGCATTTTAGTGACATGGTGTGGCCAGAAGCCAAGCTGAAGTGGGTGAGGAACGAATGGAGGTAAAGAAAGAATGACAATAGGCTGGGCGTGGTGACTGATACCTGTAATTCCAGCACTTTGGGGGGCCAAGGCCTGAGGATTGCTTGAGGCCAGGAGTTCAAGACCAGCCTGGGCAACATGGTAAAACCGTCTCTACAAAAAAAAATTACAAAAATTAGCTAGGCATGGTGGCGTGCACCTGTGATCCTGGCTACTTGGGAGGCTGAAGTGGGAAGCTAGCTTGAGCCCAGGAGATCAAGTTTGCAGTGAACCGTGATGGTGCCACTGCACTTCAGCCTGGGCTACAGGGTGAGACCCTGTCTCAAAAAAAAAGAAGGGAGGGAGGAAGACAGAGAGAGAAAAGGAAAGAAGGGAGGAAGGAAGGAAGGAGGGAGGGAAGGGAGGGAGGGAGGGAGGGAAACTAAAAATCTTAGCTGAAAAGAAAGGATAAAGTTGGGGCACTGGTGACTGAAGCAGGCAGATGCAAATGAAATTTTTCAATAGATGGAAGAGAGGTGAGTAGAGCATATCTTGAGGAGAACAAGCCAGAAAACAGGAAAAGTCAGGGTAAAAAAATCAAGAGCAAGGGGAGGAGGATAGAATCAGGTCTCTGAAAAAGAGGAGAGGGCTAACATTCAGATCCCAAGTGAGGGGCTGGTCTGGCCCCTCTCCCATTGAAATGGCATTTGCCCCAACCACACACCCTCAAGCAGGCCAACAGGCTATCTAGGTTGTGTGGTCTGTCTCCAGGTGGGTAGAGCTCACTGTCTGTAGGGAGGGGCCTGGTCAATAGGTGTCCTTGGTGGCCACTTTGTCTGGTGGTCCTGCAGACCAGAGATGAGAGACACATAAGTATTTTTCAAGCTGGGTTCTCTGGAGATGCCAGCAGGTGTGTGCTCCTATGCAAAGGGTTCAGGTAAGTTTGGAAAGTGCTGTCCAAGCCCTGCAAAGCCAGCTTGTAGGAAGACTGAGTGTTCTCTGCTGGCAGAGATGGACATTTGGGAGTGGGGTGGCCAAAGGGAAGAGAATGCCTGCAGGAGAGATGCCAGGACTCATACTCAAGGTACTCAGGGATAACGGAGAAGACACCTATGGAAAACCCTGTGATCACAGAGCAGGAAGAGGAACTCATTTGCAGAACATCTCTACTCTGCTTGAAGTTTATATATTGACAAAGATTCTTTGCTTGGCCAAACTTTAGTCAGGCTCCCAAACCTTCTCCTAGACCCTCTTTGCACTTCCATGTAAAATCCAGTTTTAGCAAAGACCCTGTTAAGACAGTTTAGCAAGAACCCTCCATCTTGTATATCTGATCATCTTCAATATCTGATTAGGTTTATCATCCCCCACCCTCCCCCAGGTGATCTCTGGTCACCTGGCCTGTCTAAAGCAAGAATTCTGTTAGGTTGGTGTTGTGAGTGCCACAAAGTCAGAAATAATCAGGTTCATGCACATGTGTGTCTTTCTACAACGTCAGGCTTTTATTGATGCTATTTCAGTCATAAAAGCCACAAGCCACATGGGGTTCTCAAGGAGGCAAATTCTCCTTAGTTTTCCCCATTCACTTGGTAATAAGAGCTGTGGGCATACAGGCTCAAGTCACTCCACAAGTCAGTCAATACTGCCAACCATACATGGTAGTATACTTAATCAATATATAAATGTTATAGATTACACATTCCACATCAAAGTACATTTAACATCAAGAGAAAAGGGGATAGGGAAGGAGCGGTTAACAATATAGTCCAAGGAGAGTGACTTGGACAAGGGGAGTCTCCTGGCCTGATCCAAACAGTCCTCAGTGTCTTGCAAGGAAGAGTCTTTGATGTGGGCAGAGTGTGGGCAAGATGGGGTCTATCCAGACGGTCATCTCCAGTTGCTGAAGTCCTGCTCTTTTTATGGCTACAGAATCCTCTGGTGAGGACTGATAGCAAAGAGTGTGCCTGTTTATGTCTTTATCTGGTGGGGTGTAGTCTTTATTGATTAGGCGAACATCTGGTTCCTGTTGGCATGAGGCTTTTTCAAATGTAAAATGGACCCTTTTTCTAAGATGGAGTTACTTATGTCAAGGGTGCTCCATACAACCTGTTTAGCCAGAATCCCCCTCAGCCCTGATGTTTCCCTTATTAAGTTTCTATCCGCTGACCCCCACCCTGCTCCTTAGCAACGAATTCCCACTTGCCCATGCTGTAATTGGAGTTGAGCTCAATCTCTCTCTCCCTGCAACTGCAAAATCTCATAGCAGAGGTCCCTACACCTATGGTAATGGTCCTGAATAAAGTCTTCCTTACGATGCTTTAACTCATGTCATTAAATAATTTTTTCCTTTAGCAGTGTCCACCGAGTTTACTCTCCCAATTCTTGGCAGTGTTATTATCCTAGCCTGACAGGAAGAATCAGGACTCAAGAAGCTGAAGACTCGCCTGATACTCAGTGCTCACTAAGTAGTGGGGCTCAGCTCCCTGTGATTTGGGATCCAGCCTCCTGCCCCTACAGCCCACGTGCCCTTACACCCTCAAGCAACACCCAGAGCTGGGGTCAGAGGCGAGCTTGCACAATTGCTTCTGCCCTGCGCTGGGACCAGGGCGGCCTGTGGTCTGCAACAGAGAAGCTCCCCCACCTGCCTTCGCCTTCACTCTGGCAAGCCCTGGCAACACCATGAGATCCCAGGGCTCTGGTCCCTTACAGACTGGGCCTGGCAGAGGCACGGGGAGGAAGGTGGGCCAGCAGGGTGTACCGCTGGGCCTACTCGCAGACGTGCGTTTGCTTTGTTGTACCAGGACTACCCCAGGGACCCTTCTCCAGGGCTGTGAGAGTGAGAACAAGAGAACACAGGAGTTCACACCTCTCCGGTCCAGATGCTTTGAGAGCATGATGGAAGCAACAGGCCCTCTCCATAGAAGGGCACGCACACAACCCATAAGCTCGCACAGTTTCCAGGTTTACGCACCAACCACACCACTACAGCGCCCTGCAAGCAGGCCAGGTCTCAAAGGAGCGTGCATGGGAATCACCCAACATGCTGGCTAAAAAGGCGGATCCCAGGCCCCACCGAGGAGATTATCATTCAGTAGGTCTCGGTGGAGGCCTTAGAGCCTGCGTTTTTAACCAGCGCCTCCGACGATTTGGGCGCTGAGGCTCAGCGGAACCCACCTTGAGAAACCCGACTCTGGGCCTAAGAGAGCCCCCCAACACACACACCCCCATGCTCCAAACTTTCCCCATCTCGCCCGACGCACCGGGCGCGCGGTGGTGGAAGCGTCGGGGAGCCCGGTGGGGACCGAGAGCGACGGCCCATGGGGCCTGCCTGTTCCCCTCGCCCCCGCGCCACGGCCCCGGGAAGCGCAGCACTGCCGCCCGCAGGAGGCGCGACTGCCGAGAGGACGCAGGCAGGGGGCGCCTGGTGGTGGTCCCCAGCCCGGAGCCGCGGGGCGGGAAGGAGCGGGAGCCCGAGAAGAGGGAGGCGCGCGACGCCGCGGAGCTCCGGCGCGGAGGCGGGGGGCGGGGCGGGCCGAGCCGGGCCGGGGCGGGGCCGGCGGGCGGGCCGGCGGCGAGCGCCCGGGGAGCGCGCCCGGGTAGCCAAGAGGGAGGAGCGCGGGGAGCGCCGACAGCCGCCCGCCCGCCCGCCCCCGCGACGCCCGCGCGCAACAGTTCCCCCAAAGTTGCAGCCCGGGAGGCGAGCGCGCACGGGCGGCCGAGGGGCGGGCGGTTGGCGGGGACGCGGCCTCGCGGCCCAGAGCGGAGAGTCCCGGCGGGCGGCGGCGGCATGGGCACCCGGCAGACCAAGGGCAGCCTGGCGGAGAGAGCCAGCCCCGGCGCCGCGCCGGGCCCCCGACGCGAACGGCCGGACTTCTGGGCGTCGCTGCTGCTGCGCGCCGGGGACAAGGCGGGGCGCGCGGGCGCGGGGATGCCCCCCTACCACCGGCGAGTCGGCATGGTCCAGGAGCTGCTGCGGATGGTGCGCCAGGGCCGGCGGGAGGAGGCGGGGACGCTGCTGCAGCACCTGCGCCAGGTGAGCGCGGGGAGGGGGCGCGGGGGGCGCGCCGGGCCAGGGGGCGTGCTGGGCCGGGGGGGGCGCCCCATCCCTAACCGAGGAAGCCGGGGGCACCGAGGGGCACCGCCCAGGGGCCCCTTCCGCGGGGATGGAGCCCTGTCTGGCAGCAGGTGCCTCGGCGCTTCCGCTGAATGTGGGGCCTCAGGGCAGGGCGGAGGAAGGCTGGCCGGGTGAGGCCCGCCGAAGGGGACCTGTTGGCATAATGTCCCCACTGCTCTCCTCCGCAGGCAGAGAAGGAGGCTGGTCTCCGGGGACAGTCGGTGGGCGGGGAAGCAGGGATGCCTGCCTGATCTGGGCCAGGGCTCTTTTCTTCCTGTCTGCCCACTGGCAGTCACTCCCGGCCGAGGGTCCTCAAGGAATGCGGTTATCAGTTGGACCTGGCTTGGCTTCCCGAGAGCGAGTCCAGGGGCACAGCCCTGGGGCCAATGAGATTCCAGTCCCTAGGTCCTTCACTCGCCTGGGAGGCATCCTGGATTGTAGTTCAAGGAGGAGACTGTTTCCTCTCCCCTGACTAACTTCAGCAGATCCTCAACCATGAGCCCCTGCGGAAAGCGGTAGAGACAGGGGAGCTGGATTTGGTGCCCTGTGTGACCACCTGGCCAGCAGCAACTTCAGGAGACTGCCAGGACTCTGTCCTTAGCCTGTGCCTGTCCCACTGGCTAGGGACAGATGTTGCGGAATTGGCCAGTTCCCTCTGCTTTGGGGCTGCCCTGAGGCTAATGCTATCACTCACCTCTCTGTGGCTTGTTTTCCTTTGTCAGTTTCTTTGGTGGGGAGAGGAGCATGGCCCATGCCATGGATTTTGTTGAGTATAAGACAGGCAGGGGAGTGCAAAGCTGCTCTCCTGCATCACCAAGCAGGTTGTCTTGGCCTGGCTTTGGTGGGTAGACAATCCAGGCCCCATATTCTTGCTAGACTGACCCCATTAGAGGTGGAGTCTACCGTGGATGGCAGAGGGAAAATCTCAGGTGACCTTTCTGGGGTTTTCCAGTCGCTGCTGAAAGAGGCTGTAGGAGCACCTTCTTGGGAGGAGCTTCCAAAATCTAATCAGACCCACATCCCTCTTGGGTTCTGCAGCACTCTTCCCCACCTTTGTATCTGGTGCGCTCTTACCCTAAAGTATGTGTCCCCAAGCTGTGCACTGCACAGGGAGAGGCAAGCAGAGACGAGGGGACTTGGGAAGATGTGGGACTTCTGCTTCTGCCTCTGTTTTCCCCAACAACTTCCAGAATGATGCCCGAGACGCTGCTGGATCCCCATGTGCCTTCTCTGAGTTCAGTCATCAAAGAAAGATGACATTATGCACCACTGAACTTTAGCAGTGTGTATTTCTTTGTCTTTTGAAAATTGGAAGCTGACATATGGCCTTTATAGTAACTCTTTCACTTTTAAACAGAATATTGGGTTTTCCAGACCATGGTATCCTATTTACACACCATACAGTAAGGTTTTCCTGATCACATGCTGTTTCCCCCACCCTGCAATGGGTGCTTTGGGGGATACAGAAGAACAGAGGGAGCTGGCAAGCACTTCTTGGAGGGTGCAAGACCAGAGCGAAGCTTGCATGATGGAGGGCCGCTTGGAGGCCCACGGGAGGAGACTGGACCCAAAGTGGGCAGATACTTTGGGCTCCCCAGTCCCTGTAGGGCTGAGTGTGATTCCACATCCTGGGGACACTGAGCTTCTCCCTGCCTTGAGGGAGAGTAGATAAGCCCCTGCAGCCCCACTGTGGGATCCTTGAAACAAGAAGCATTTCCTCAGACATCTGCACATGGGTCTTATTGGTGTCCTGGTACCCGCCTCAGCTGCAGGACTGGGAGGGCTGATGGGGGGGTGGGAGGGGGCTTATCAGACTTCCCCCTTTTCTGTGAAAGCAGCAGGTCCTCAGGCTCTGGGCTTCTGGGCTCCTGTTGGGCTCCCTTAACCCCTGGCTGGGGATGCAAGGGCCGTGGGCCTGGAGCTGCCCTGTGTGGCCTGGAACGGATGGAGCAGGACCCCTCCCGAAAGTGGTCATGGGCCTTGAGCAGTGTGGGAGTGGAGCACAGGAGTGTTCACTTGCCTATGACAGAGAGGTGGCTTTCTAGGACCCTGAGGCCATTTGGAGGAATGTCCAGCTGGATTTGTGCTGTGCACTGAAGTGGCTCTTTCTCCAAAATTGCATTTTCCTTTCCATTCCAGTTTCCTTCTCTAGTCTGGTGGTGGTGATGTTCAGAAAGGGAATGAGCAGCTAGTGAGAGCCTTGAGAACACACAAGCCTCACAGGGGTCAGACCAGCAAGAACCTCTTCCTCAGCAAGACAGCCAGTAAAGACAGGGGTCTGCAAAGCGTGGGGCACCCTGTTCTGCAGGAATGTCATGCAGGCCTCTGGGGTGGGAGTCAATGAGCAGGCACAGAACCAGGGAGGGGCAGCAGCGAGGACAGTAGCCCTCACCTCCATTCACACAGCATGTTCTCCTGCATTTGATAACTTGGGTTTGGCTGCTGGATTTGTGTATGCCCAGAGCCATATGGCTGGTGGGGACTCGGGAGCCTTTGTTCCTGTGCTTCTTAGCCTCTTTGAGTCCTTGATCTTTTTGAGGCTCTGAAAAAGCTACACACAATCTTCCCAGGCAAATGCACTGACTCACGCAATCTCACAGGCAATTTCGGAGGGTTCACAAAGCCCCTGAAACCCAGCTACAGACTCCAAGCTCAGAATCTCTGCTCCAGTCCAATACCACCCTTCTCCCTGCTGTGACTTGCTCCAGGCTGGGGATCTGGAAACAGGGACCTGACCCGGGTGCATGTGTGGCAGTTCACGGTGGGCTGAAGGATTGTGGCTGCTGGTGCCACTTCTTCTGAATGCCCCTCTTCAGCATCTAAGATTTGGAGGGCGTCTCTCCAGCTTGTCACTTGCTGGAGAGGTATCAGGAGGCCTCATTCAGCACAAATGACCCTGAGCTGTGGCCAGGGGTGCAGGCAGGATGCCAGGCAGCTGCCTTGAAGGAACAGAAAGTAATCCCCTTCCCTTTAAGATAAGTGTAATCTGAGAAGAGTCCAGGGCCAAGGATCAAGTAGGCAGCTCGCCTTCCGGTCCTCAGTCAGCTGTGACCTTGGGCCCAGCAGATAACCTCTCTGAGTTGTGTTTCTTTGTTTCCCAAAGAGGGATCTGGGGTACTGAGCACAGCAAATGCTACAAAGTGAATGAAATGGTGTTGGTGCTGCCATTCAAGACACATTCTCTTGGTGACTGTGAAACAGGAGAATCTGCCTTACTCACTTTGGGTCTGGCCCCAGTAGGGGCAGGGTTGTGGCATCCTTTCTCAGGCATGGCCCAAGAATTTTTTGGATTCCATCTACCTGGCCAGGGTTCAGTCTGGATCAAAAACTCACTGCACATTTAGAAGCATCTGGAGCGAATGCTCGTGGAGATAAAACAAGCCAGCTTTGGATGGGAGAGGCCATTCCTCTGCCCTTTCCTGGCCGCCATCCTTCCAGGCTTTCCCCTTCCCCAGATGTCCTTCCCCTTGGGCTCAGGCCTGCTGTCTTTAAGGAGCCCTGGAGAAGAAATAACCTTCCGCCATTGAGAGAGGGCAAGTGCCAGGCCACCTTGAGGGTGAGCTGTCATCTCTTCACCCCAGCAGTTTCCCTGAGTCCTCAAAATTTTAGACTGAGCTGTCGGCCTGCGTCATGGAGCAGCAGAAAAAGGCGTCTGTTTCCCTGGGATACACCCAGCTGAGGTAGCCCCTGTCTTCGTGTTCACCAGCACCCCAGCTTTCCCATGAGAAGAGGCTGATGGGGTTGGTTTACTCGAAGTGTGGCGCACACCTCTTAAGCAGGGCTGTTCCTATGTTAACTTGTTTGGGCCTCCCAGTGGTATGGCTAGGGCCTGGAATCCTGGTTCCTGCTGCTGTCTGGGGTGGTGAGGCTGGCTTCACTCTGCACCTGGGAACAGGAACCACATCAGCTAATGCCAACAAGAACCACTGAGGCCAGGCGAAATGCTCACACCTGTAATCCCAGTACTTTAGGAGGCTGAGGCAGGCAGATGACTTGAGCTCACCAGTTCAAGACCAGCCTGAGCAACATGGCTGTCTCTACAAATGCAAATACAAAAACTAGCCAAGTGTGGTAGTGTGCACCTGTAGTCCCAGCTACTTGGGAGACTGAGGTAGGAGGATGGCTTGAGCTTGGGAAGCAGAGGTTGCAGTGAGCCGAGATCAAGCCTCTGCACTCCAGCCTGGGCCACAGAGCCAGGACCTAAGAGTTTAACTCACCCCTCAAGTGGAGCTGAGCAATGGACAGACACCTGGAGACTCCCTGGAGATGTGGAGACTGGACAGGTCGTTACTACCTAGAAGCAGAAAGATGAGCATAATGACCTCAGAAGGTCACCTTTTTCCTTCCACCTCCACCTAAGAACACTTCTTTAGGCAAGCAGGTTGGAAGGCTACCAGACACCGAGCAGGGGGGCCCTACGCTGGGCCTGCTCTTCTTCCTCCACCTGGAATGCTTTTCATGTTTCCACTGAATGCACCTTACCTTTCCAGGGCCACCTTCCTGGGCATGTCAGCCGAAGCTCAGAGATCCATGTGGCTCTTAGTTCCTGCCACACTGGGAGGCATTCAATCCATGCAGAGTTTTTCCCTGATGTTCCTTTTGTTTGTCAGATAAGGTCAAGTGCTTCCTGAGGGCGGAGACCCACCACCACCACTGTTATCCACTGTATGGTATTGAAAACCTGTAGGCTCGTGGCATACCTTAGTGAGTCTGTGTGCCGTGAAGATGTGCGTACGCGTGTGTGTCTGCTGCTGTCGTCAGTGTGTCCTCAGAAAGCACTTGGATTCCCCAGCTACGGCTGTGCAACTGTGGGCTGATTTACCAGGCTTGTTAGTACTGTCATGAGACACAGCACGTTTGCTTTCCGTGTGGTTGGATTTCTGGGAGTGATGTCCACAGGGCTTGGCTGTTCCTGGCAGCCTGCCAGGCGGTGGTGTTCTTGGAGAGAGGAGTGGCATGGTGCCCAGGCTCTGTGGCACTACGGGATCCCATCCGGCAGGTGCAGTCTGGGGCCTCTGCCGAGGTGGCGGGAGGGGAGCGGAGCCTGATGGGAGAGTCTGGCCTCCACATTCCTGATCGGCTCTTGTGCTGAATCATGTTCATTTCCTTCACAAAGAGAAACCTTCCTTTTTAAAATCCGCCGCTCTCTGCCTGGGCTGGATCGAGGCTTTTCCAGTGATAAAGATGCAGAGGGATTCCTGTGTCAGAGCCTGCTTCATTGGTTTCCAAGGCTGCCAGGGACACTGGCTGGGGAAATAGCAGCCTCTGTAGTGGCTAAGCACGACCGCAGGGGCTGTAGCTGGGCCGGTTATTCTGACTTTAGGGTCTGGTGAGGCTGTGGGATGGGGTTGGGGGGTCCTTTTTTCTGGAACAAATGCCACCTCCTCAGAGATTACCAGAAACTGCTTTGCTGTCTTCAGAGGTCCTAAAGTACCCTGGCCTCCATCCATGGACCGTCAGGGTGGGTGCACCCTCCCCTCCCCCCAGTGTCATTTCATTGCCATGCGTGCTTTTCTGGGGCAGAGGCCATAAAAACTGGCACACAGTCTGTTTTCAGGAAATTCTTACAGAATGGATTGAAACTTCCCATCAGGCACACACTTCCTCCAGCCTCTGTCCCTGGCGTTCTCTCTCAGGAGACAGCGGGGTTTGGCTCAGACTTCTGAAGTGTTTCTACTGTGACCGTGGGCCTGGGTATTCCCCCACCCCGCTGTAACCTGTGGGGTGGAAGCCATGATTCCTCCCTGCATCCCCACTCCCTGTCTGCAGGGGAGAGACTCCTTGAAGAAGGGTTATCCAGTGACCAGGGTCTTCTCCAACTCCTCCATCAGGATGCAGAGGGGGTGGGGTCAGCATTGGAGATTCTCCCCGCAGTGTGGGGATCCTCAGCCAGCCATCTGTCTCCCCTTCCCCACCAAGAGCAGTGCTGCCGGTGCCCTGCAAGAAAACCACGCATGCGCGCCCACGCATACACACACACACACACACACACGAACACACACACACACACACACACACACACACACACACACTGCTTGTCCTGGCTCCTCCTGGCTGTTCTTGCCGACTGTCTTAGTCCTTTCCGGCTGCTATAACAAAATACCATAAACTGGGTGGCTTATAAACAGCAGATACTTATTTCTCACAGTCTGGAGTCTGGAAAGTCCAAGATGAAGGTGCTGGCAGATTCACTGTGTGGTGAGGCTGCTTTCTGGTGATGGTACCCTCTCGCTGCATTCTGGCATGGTGGAAGGAATGAAGGGTCTCTCTGGGGTCTCTTTTATATGGGCACCAATCCCATTCATGAGGGCTTTAGCCTTATGACTGAATCACCTCCCGTAGGCCCCACCTCCCGATACCATCACCTTGGGGGTTAGGATTTCAACATATACATTTGAGAATGGAGAGGAGGGGACGCAAACTTTCAGCACTGACTGTCATATCCTCTCCCATTAAGAGAAACTGGAATGGAGGTAGGAGAGGGCCCAGGCATCTAAAACAGCACATTTGGTTGCTGCGTCTTGGACTCACCATTACTAGAAGGGCTGGGTGTTCTGAATGAGAACAGAGACCTTGGCGCGCCAAGCAGGGGCGGGGACCCCCTCCTATGGTGCCTGCTCTCCTCCCTACCCCCACCCGGCCCTGAGCAGTGCCCACGTGGCTCTCCAGGAGCATTTCCCAGCTTTTTTTTTTTTTTTTTAACTTTTATTAGCTCAGACTCCTGGCTGCTGCAGCCATATGGAGCTCTGCCGACGGCTGCTGCTCAAAGAGATGTGGCATTTTGTTGTTTCTAACTTTATCTTAACCAGGAGAGACACAGGAGCACAGCTGAGAGTGGGGAGTGCCCTCGTATGTGAGTGTGTTGGGGCCACCTTCAGAGCTGCCCCTCGCTCCTGCTCGGCCCTCAGTGTCCGCGTGTCTTTCTGCCTCTCTGCCTCCCACTCCCTGCAGCTTTTCTTTGTGTCTCTGTTTCTTTCATTTTGTCTTCCCTGCTGTGTGTTTTTCCCTTCCCTGGGTGAGAAGCAGACTCTTGTTCCTCTGCCGGATCTTGGTCAGCTCCCCTCTCAGCCTCCCATCCTTTGCCAGCGGGAAGGTGGGGGAGTGGGGCCATGAGAACTGGAAGTGGTTGGTGGCGGTCAAGAAGGGTGCCCGGCTCGATTTGATTGTCTGAGTGTCAGCCGTGCCTTGGGCAGGAGAGCAGGCATTAGGGACACCTCCCCAATCTGCACATGGCTTTCTAGTCCATAAAGCCTTTTCTCATGTTTATTTTGCTGCTTAGGGGGTGGATTTTTTTTTGTTTTTTGTTTGTTTGTTTGTTTGTTTGTTTTTGAGACGGAGTCTCGCTCTGTCGCCAGGCTGGAGTGCAATGGCGCCATCTTGGCTTACTACAACCTCCACCTCCCAGGTTCAAGCAATTCTCCTGCCTCAGCCTCCTGAGTAGCTGGGATTATATGCGCACACCACCATGCCTGGCTAATTTTTGTATTTTTAGTAGAGACGGGGTTTCACTATGTTGGCCAGGATGGTCTCGATCTCTTGACTTCATGATCCGCCCACCTCAGCCTCCCAAAGTGCTGGGATTACAAGCGTGAGCCACTGTACCCGGCCTCATTAGGTGGTTTTGTGAAGTTGACACAATGTTGCTTAAAGTAAAAATGGTGGTTTTTAAAATATTATAAAAGCAATATACAATTATAGAAAAATGAGAAAATTAGATGAGCAGAAAATTAAAAAAGTAGTATGCATTAAATCATTTATTCAACAATCGAGTTCCTGTTCCTCCAGGCACCAGTCTAGGAACTGGGGATGCAACAGGCAACCCACCAGGAGAAAACCATGGCAGCAGCTGTTTCCCTTCCTCCGGGAGGGATGGCAAGGACCCCAGAAGCCACCACCAGTACAGGTGCGCAGCGTGGCACAGAAGGGAGGCTGGCTTCACTGGGAGCCAGGAGCCCTCAGTTCTGGCCCCAGTGGAAACCCTAACTTGCCCAGCCCTTTCCCTTCTTTGGCCTCAGTTTCCCCAGTTCCAGAATGAAGGAGTGGTGGGCGAAATGACCCCTGAGTTTCCCTACCACTGCTGAGATTCCACCAGGTGCCTGTGGTTTTGGAAAGACCCATTCATTCCCATGTGTGGTCAGTTATTTCTTCCAGGCCCTGAGCCAGATTCACATTCGAACCCTAAGGTCACCCACCTTGGCCTCAGCTGGTGCAAGAGCTGGGATGCAGCGGTCCCAGGACAGAGAGGGGACAGATACCTCCCCACCAGGTACTGGGGCCGACCCCCATACTGCCGAGGCCAACCTGTCTGTGCTGACCGCAGTCCTAGCTGACGGAGGGTGAAAGGCCACATCACATGGTGCCAGGGGCAGAGGCCAGAACCAGGGAACCTGCAGACTTTCACACATGAGCAAAGCCCAGCCCTCACAGAGGCCCGAGCTGCCCTGTGTGCCACAAACCATTCATCTCAGAGCACTGGGGAGGGTAATGAGGCTGGGGCAGGCTCTGCTGGGACCTGCTGTCCACATGACTCAGTGCCTGGCTCCCTTGCCACCTTTCTGCCTACTGTGGGGCTGCTCTGGCCCCTTGCACATCTGGTCTCTCTCCCCTCCCTCTACTTCCCACTCTGGCTTCCTTCTCTGAGGGGCTGCTCTCCATGCTCGTCTGGATGGAGCCTGTCCCCACTCCAGCCTCTGTCCTGTCCACAGAGACCCAGACCTGCCAGCCCCAGCCGAGCTTCAGGACCTTTGCCTTCAGAGGGCAAGAACCCTGCCTGGCACCTGACTGTGCACTAGTACTTGGTTCTTTCACTCAGCATACGTCCCTGGGCACCTAAGTGGAGCTGGCACCAGTTGGGACAAGTAGGGAAAGCAGGGCCGGCCAAGATGCTAATTTCTAGAAGGGCTCAGGGCAGTCGCTGATGCCATAGAGGACTGGCAAGTGACTGCAGGGCTGGCCATGGTCAGATTCCAGCTCTGCCCTTGTCTCTGGCCATGGGGGCCTACACAGGTGCAGGGCACGGCACACACTGGCTGCTGGGCAAACCCCTTTCCTCAGTGGGGCTCATGAGTGGACACAGGCGCTAGGCCCAGGACCTGTGGGAAGCCCCGTCTCCCCCACTTCCTAGGTGGGCTTGCCTGACCTGCTCTGCTGGTGCCTCCCAGCGGCCCTGGTCCTCAAGCCTGTCCCTCTCCTGCCCACTTGGCCTTCCCACGGCCCTCAGCCCAGGTCTCTCCCAGAGCATGCCAGGGACCTGTGGGAAGAGCCCCCAGCTATCTCGGAACCCCCTGCAGTGCCCCCTCCAGGCACATTCCCACCCCATAGCCGCTGTCCCCATGGAGCCTCCACCCACAGATACAGGTGCCAAGGAGGCTTGCAGGACACCCTCGTCCACTGAAGGACACCCAGCACCACAGGGAGCCAGCACTTGCAGCCTGGGAAGTCGGCAACCTGTGATGCCCCCCATCCCACCCCACTGCCCTTAGTTTCTGTCTATGCAGTCACAGCCTCCTGGAGCCCCAGGTTCAGGCCCTACCCAATAGAAAGGGGCAGGAGTGGGGCAGGTTTCTCTCCATTGGCACCGGGGGCAGGTAAGGGCCCAGGAGGTCCTGCCCCACACCAAGCGTAACAGTCAGAATTCCTGCCCTGGACCTAGACCGCCCAGTAGACACCGCGCACCTGGCAGTACCCCCAACACCCCTTTCCCCATGGGGACCTGGGGAGTCCTCTGCGTATGCGGACTATGGAAAGGGCTGTATTGTAGATGGTGGGGGAATCAGGGGAACAGGAGCTGCAGGTGCTCCTGGGGAGGCAGGGCTCTGTGGTGGGCTGGGCAGCTGGAAACAAAACCTCTGTTTCTGATTTCCTCATGGTAAATGGTCAGCCTGGAGCTGCCTGCCCCACTGTCTGGAGGGCCTGTAGCTCAGATGCAGGATGAGGACAAGCACAGACAGGGCTCGGGGAGGAGACATGTCTCCCCTCCTGTGCTGAATGCCAGGGCCATCTTGCCGACCCACAGACACCTTCTCCTGCCAGGCCATCATGGGGGAGGCAGGGGGTAGCCAGTGAATCCTCCTGCAGTGCACCTGCCGGGGCCCAGGTGTGGAAGATTGAAGCTCTGCATTCCTATGGAAGGGCCTACAGTGGACTCAGCATGACAGAGAGATGCTCCTGAAATTGGTTCATAATTTGCTGCTTAAGGCTCTTAATGTCTTCCCGTAGGGATGTTACTTCCTGTATTAGGGTTCTCCACAGAAACAGACTCAAAAGGAGATTTACATGTATAAACACCTACAGTTGACTATCACACTTCCTGTGAGCGGGCAGGAGAGAGCAGGGGCCACAGAGAGGGAAGCATGGAGGGGCTCTCATCTCACCTGGCACCAGGTAGGTGCTGGTACCTGGTGTAGTCCTGTGGCCTTGTAATAGGCTACCTGGCTGCCTTGCACATTGTGTTCTTACCGGCTCTCTCCTGGCAATGGTCCTGGCTCGCTGCCATCAGAGGACAGGCAGCGCTGAGGCTCTAATGTCCTTAGAAGGCCAAGGGGCCTGGATCTGCCTCTGCCCCTCTCCCTCACTGGAGGAAATGGCAGCAGGAGGGGTTCCACGGCTCCTTTGGTGAGAAGACCTGCTGCAGTCAGAGCTGAGATGTTTGACAGAGGCGCACACAGCCCAGAGACAAGGAGTGGCCTGTGCAGGGTCACACAGGACTGGGACCAGGTCCCCAATTCCCAAGACCCTGCCCAGCCCAGTGGTCCCTGGAGAAGTACTGGAAGTGATGCCTGGGTCTGTCCCAGTGAAAAACTTGGTGTTTTCTGAGCTTCCTCAGGTTGGGACAGGTGGCCTGACTTCCCTCGTCACAGGCAGGGTAGAAGAGGGGCTCTGGGGCACAGAGGACCTGTGCTGCCCCTTCCCTGTAGCAGGAGAAGGAGATGGGGAGGGACAGCCTCAGGAGAGGGGAAGAATGGGGAGCATAGTTACCTTGAGTGTATTCCCTGTCAGTGGTCTCCAGTTTTTTTTTTTTGTTTTTTTTTTTTTGAGACGAAGTCTCGCTCTTGTTGCCCAGGCTAGAGTGCAGTGGTGCAATCTCAGCTCACTGCAACCTCCACCTCCTGGGTTCAAGTGATTCTCCTGTCTCAGCCTCCCGAGTAGCTGGGATTACAGGCGCATGCCACCATGCCCGGCTAATTTTTGTATTTTAGTAGATATGGGGTTTCACCGTGTTGCTCAGGCTGGTCTCGAACTCCTGAGCTCAGGCATTCCGCCCACCTCGGCCTCCCAAAGTGCTAGGATTACAGGCATGAGCCACCGTGCCCGGGCAGCGGTCTCCAATCTTTTTGGCACCAGGGACCAGTTTCCTGGAAGACAGTTTTTCCATGGCCCGGGGTGGGGGATGGTTTTGAGATGATTTAAACACATTACACTTATTGTGTACTTTATTTCTGTTATTACCGCATTGTAATATAATGAAATAATTATACAACTCCCCATAATGTGGAATCAGTGAGGGCGCTGAGCTTCTTTTCCTGCAACTAGACGGTCCCATCTGGGGTGACAGGAGACAGGGAGAAATCATCAGGCATTAGATTCTCATAAGTGTGCAACCTAGATCCCTCACGTGTGCAGGTTACAATAGGGTTTGTGCTCCTATGAGAGCCTAATGCTGCCACTGATCTGACAGGAGGCGGAGCTCAGGTGGGAACACTGGCCCACTGTTCACGTCCTGCTGTGCAGCCTGCTTCCTAACAGGTCACAGACTGGTACTGGTCTGTGGCTTGGGGGTTTGGGACCCCTGCTCCAAATGACACTTTTTCAACAGTTTATTTCTTAAAGTAAGATGTTGAGATGGTGGTGGTCATGACAATGATGACCTAGTGTTGGAGGAAGCAGAGAGCAGGACCATGACCTGAAGAGGTGTTCCCAGCGAGGGGCAAGCTTCATGAGCTCGCTGCCTCCATGTTAGATTTTCGCTACAGCTCTGCTGCTGGCAGCCCAGGAAAACCAAGGACTTGGGGGTGTAGAGGCCATTCAGTGACTGAGTCAGGTCACTCAAGGATGCCTATCCCCTTGGTTTCCTTCACTGAGGTGGAATGTGGCTTCTAGCCCATAGAGTGCCTTTATGAGAAGTGGAAGAAGGTGCCTGTCTGGTTGGGCACAGCCAGAGTCAAGGCTTGGTGAGTTCAGCCCCGCTCAGACACCCTTGTGCAGTACATGCCCTGCACAGCTGTACTTGGCAGCCTTGGTGAGACCACACAGAAGTTTAGAGTATCAGCTGAGGCCTTTAATGAGCTTTAGCCCTTCTCCCATGCATCTTCTTGGGCACAGCCTTCTCAAATCACCTGAGGCAATGAACTGTGGAACACTGTGCCTCTCAGGCGGGTACTTGCCCTCTTTCTCTTGAATCGAGGAGCTGAAGCAATTGGGAATCTTCTAGAAAGTTCCAGCTACCAGTCCTGTATGACCCTGCACAGGCCACTCCTTGTCTCTGGCTCTCAAAGAGGATCAGACAGAATCTAAGACAACCTGAGTGGATCTGGACTCACCCAGTCAGGGGCACCGAGGGCACCAGCGGAGGCATCAGGGTTTCCTTGTTGGGCTTCCATGAGCCCCGGACCCTGCAGTATTGCAGGGGTCCAGGATTCCCCTCAAGCTTCCCAGACTGTTCATATCCTTGCCTCTAGCAGTTCTGGGGGAATGAGGTCTGAGTGCTCCCACCCCGGTAAGTAACTTCCACTTCTTCAGGCTTAGTCACTCCAGTCGATTTAGTTTTTCCTAGGACGTGCCAGTCCTCTGAACTTTTTATGATTCTCAGCTGCAGACTTATGTTTTCCACAGCCTTCTGGCATTGTGGCGTTTCGGAGTAAAAACAGTCTTAGGCAGGATTCTCACTGGTGGGGTTTCCAGACAGCTATTGGCCCAAGACAGACCAGCAGGAACTCAGAGGGGTTGGTTTGGGACATGGAAACTCAGACACGAAAGACAGTAAGTTACCTGTTCCAAGAATTCCCATCTCTCCAGAAAAGGTCCAGCAGGGCGAGGCGAATAGAAATGGCTTTGGTGTCGCATGTCTTAGGGAGAGGCCAGTCCATGAGCCAGGACCAGAAGAGGGCTCTCTGAAGGTAATGGGCACACGGAGCAGGGAGGGACTTTGGACTGGAATTAGACTCTTTTAGAAAATGGGAGGCCAGGCACAGCGGCTCACTCCTGTAATCCCAGCACTTTGGGAAGCTGAGGCAGGCAGATCACCTGTAGTCAGGAGTTCAAGTTCAGCCTGACCAACATAGTTAAATCCCATCTCTACTAAAAATACAAAAATTAGCTGAGCGTGGTAGTGTGTGCCTAATCCCAACTACTTGGGAGGCTGAGGCAGGAGAATCGCTTAAACTTGGGAGGCGAAGGTTGCAGTGAGCCGAGATGACGCCACTGCACTCCAACCTGGGTGACAAAGCAAGACTCCATCTCAAAAAAAAAAAAAAGAAAAAAAAAGAAGAAAATGGGCAAGAGGTGGAGTGTGGGCAGCTGGTTGGGGACCTGAGAGCAGGTATGCAGCAAAATGCTCTAAGTCTCTACCTGGGCCATGCTCTGAGGGAGGGAGTCCACCGAGAGAGACCCTCAGGGTGAGAGCAGGGACGCTGGATGGAGAGAGAGGCCTGAGATGCTGCAGGAAGCTCAGGGCCTTTGCCTGACCCATTGCATTGGCTGTCTTGCCTCACCCACCGCCACTCCCACCCACAGCTCCTACCTCCTCCCTCCCGGTGTCTCGAAGCTGTAGACAAACTCAGTGACCACTGAGAAACCAGGTATAGGCCCCTCCCAGCCCTGAGGACGCCACCCCCACCCCATGCCCTCTTCTGCAGCCCGGAAGCCTCGCTGATTTTCCACCTTTGCGGGGAGAATCAGGCCCTGAGAAGCAGGGCCCTAAGATGGGAACTATTCTGCCTGGCTGCAGGGGTCTGGCAGTCTGGCAGCCCCTTGGTGTTCCTCCTGGCTCCTGCTGGGAAGGCCCCTGGAAGGGCATCTGTGGCTCCCTTCCTGGGCCGGCTTCTGCCCTCCCCACTGCCCAGAGCACATTTTTGAAAGGTCTTGGGGAAAGTGGCCAAGCGTGGAGAGGTGGAAGAGCACAGGCAGGGCCTCATCCTGGCCACAGTTGTGGATCCTACGGCCCTCCTCCTCTATCCCGCCTGGTCTCCCCTTCCTGCCTGAAGTTGAAAGCTAGCTGGATTGGAGCTGGATTCCTCATCCAGCATGACTCATCTCTGCTCACCCAGAGGGAGGGCAGCAAGAGGTCTGAATCCAGATTCTTGGAGGTCTGGCCTTGGCCTTGGCCTTGCCTCTGACCTAGAGATTTAAAGTGGTGAAGACGCTTAGCTTGTGATGGTTAATTTTATGTGTCAGCCTAGCTAGGTTGTGGTGCCCAATTTTGGGTCAAACACTAGTCTAGATGCTGCTGTGAAGGTATTTTTCAGATGTGATTAACATCTGAGGCTAGGCATGGTGGCTTATGCCTGTAATCCCAGAACTTCGGGAAGCCCAGGCGGGTAGATCACTTGAGCTCAGGAGTTTGAGGCCAGCCTGCCCAACATGGTAAAACCCCCGGTCTCTACTAAAACTACAAAAATCAGCCAGGCATGGCCGGGCGCAGTGGCTCACGCCTGTAATCCCAGCACTTTGGGAGGCCAAGGCGGGCGGATCACAAGGTCAGGAGATTGAGACCATCCTGGCTAACACGGTGAAACCCCGTCTCTACTAAAAATACAAAAAATTAGCCAGGCGTGGTGGTGGGCGCCTGTGGTCCCAGCTACTTGGGAGGCTGAGGCAGGAGAATGGCGTGAACCCGGGAGGCGGAGCTTGCAGTGAGCCGAGATTGTGCTACTGCACTCCAGCCTGGGTGATAGAGCAAGACTCTGTCTCAAAAAAAAAAAAAAAAAAAAAAAATCAGCCAGGCATGGTGACGGGCACCTGTAATCTCAGCTACTCGAAAGACTGAGGTAGGAGAATTGCTTGAACTTGGGGAGGCAGAGGTTGCAGTGAGCCGAGGTCACGCCACTGCACTCCAGCCTGGGTGACAGAGTGAAATTCAGCCTCAAAAAAAAAAGAAATCTGAAATACCTACATGTGAAATCAGTAGACTTTGAGTAAAAACAAAAGCCAAATAAAGCCAGGTGCAGTGGCTCACTCCTGTAATCTCAGCCCTTTGGGAGGCCACAGCGGGAGGATTGCTTGATGCCAGGAGTTCAAGACCAGCCTAGGCAAACAAAGCAAGACTCCATTTCTACAAAAAAAAAAAAATTTTTTTTTTTGAGACAGAGTCTCACTCCATCACCCAGGCTGGAGTGCAGTGGTGCAACCTCAACTCACTGCAACCTCCACCTCCCGGGTTCAAGTGATTCTTCTGCCTCAGCCTCCCAAGTAGCTGGGATTACAGGCATGTGCCACCACACCCAGCTAATTTTTATTATTATTATTATTATTTTGAGATGGAGTCTTGCTCTTTGCCCAGGCTGGAGTGCAGTGGTGCAATCTCAGCTCACTGCAAGCTCCGCCTCCCGGATTCATGCCATTCTCCTGCCTCAGCCTCCCAAGTAGCTGGGACTATAGGCACCTGCCATCACACCCAGCTAATTTTTATTTTATTTTTTAGTAGAGATGGGGTTTCACCATGTTAGCCAGGATGGTCTAGATCTCCTGACCTCATGATCCACCCACCTCGGTCTCCCAAAGTGCTGGGATTACAGGCATGAGCCACCATGCCCGGCCAACACCCAGCTAATTTTTATATTTTTAGTAGAGAGGGAGTTTCACCATGTTGACCAGGCCGGTCTCAAACTCTGGACCTCAGGTGATCCGCCCACCTCAGCCTCCCAAAGTGCTGGGATTATAGTCGTGAATCACCGTGCTCAGCCCGTTTCTACAAAATTTTTTTTTTTAATTAGCTGGTGTGGTAGCACGTACCTGTAGTCTCAGCTATTCAGGGGGCTGAGGCAGGAGGATCAGCCTCCCAAATAGCGGGACTACAGGAGTACAGAAGTTCCAGGCTGCAGTGAGCTAGGATCACACCACCACACTGTAGCCTGGGTGACAGAGAGACTCTGTCTCAAAAGCATAAATGGATAAAAGCTGATTACTTTCCATAATATGGGTGAGCCTCATTCAATCAGTTGAAGGCTCCAAGAGAAAAGAGAGGTCCCTGAGGAAGAAGAAATTCTGCCTTCAGACTCCAGACAGCACTGCCAGCTCCTTCCTGGGTCCCCAGCTTCCCAGCCTGCCCTGCAGATTTCAGACTCGCCAGCCCCCACAATCATGTGAGCCAATTCCTTAAAATAAATCAATTCCTTCCTCTCTCTCCACACACACACACATCTTATCAGTTCTGTGTCTCGAGAGAACCCTGGCTAATACTTAACTTCCAAGGGCTCATAGAGGCAGAGTCAGAAATTTCTAGGGGCTCTGGAGCGCCCCATCCCTGCCACTAGCTCACTGTATGAGACAACCTTCCAGCCCCCAGCTTTTCACTCTGAGAAATGGGCTGTTCCTATGAAGACACTCCTGCTTGGAACTCAGGTTGTTAGGGAGCCAGAAGGATCCTCTAAGTCGTTCCTCTACCTCTTTGCCATTTTACCTGAAAATCCTTTGAGGATGAACCAAATGTTTCTCTCTTTTTTTTTTTTTTTTGAGACGGAGTCTTGCACCGTTGCCCAGGCTGGAGTGCAGCGGTGGCACAATCTTGGCTCACTGCAAGCTCCGCCTCCTGGGTTCACGCCATTCTCCTGCCTCAGCCTCCCGAGTAGCTGGGACTACAGGCGCCCACCACCACGCCCGGCTAATTTTTTGTACTTTCAATAGAGACGGGGTTTCACCATGTTAGCCAGGATGGTCTCATCTCCTGACCTCGTGATCCACCTGCCTCGGCCTCCCAAAGTGCTAGGATTACAGGCGTGAGCCACCGCGCCCGGCCTCAGGATGAACCAAATGTTTCATTTCACTTGGGCAGAATGTACTGCAGAGAGGGACAAATGGACTTGAATGCATTTGCCAGAAGGTATAAACAACCGATTCAGATAATTTCCCAAGCAGAGAGATTAGGAGGGCGCTGGGATGGGTGACAAAGTGCTGAGAATTTGTGGAATGTAGGGGCCTGTGGACCTCAGAGACCATCTGGCCCCAGGCATACTGCAGAATCTGAGTCCCACAAGAGGTCCTGGGGAAGCAGGGGAGGTGCTTGGGAAATAAATCTGGGAAATACTGCAAATGCCACCACCCTTTCGGAGTCATAAAACAGTAGCTGAAACGTCCAGCAGGAAAAGGAAAATGGTTATTTGTTGAATTCTTTGTGTTCCAAACCTATTTGGTCCAAGTCCCTCTTCTGCTGCCCTCTCCAACTCTGGAAGAATGAGCTGGTGCAACCTTCTCATTTGTAGGTGGGGAAGCTGTGGTGTAGGAGGGTGGCTTGCCCAGGGCCACACAGTGACTTAGGATCTAACCCACGTCTGTCCCCCACCGTCAGCCACGTGTGGGCAGAGCCATGACCATGGAGGAGCAGACAAAACCCTTCATATGGCTTGATGCGCCTCCCAACTTACTTTAGATTATTCTGAAGAGAAAGCATCCTTTTGATATTTATTTGTTGCTAAAGCCGTTTCTCGGATTTTAATTAAGTTACACTTGGCAACGGCTGGGCATCTGTTTCCAGAGGCCTGTTTCACACAGAGGGTGTCATTTTTTAAGACTTCAAAGTTAAAACACAAACAACACACAGTCATGAAGCCCCTCACTGAGCAAAGCTGCCAAACATCGCTGCCCAGCCCGCTGACTCCTGCTGGGCAAGGCAGACCTGGTGGCAACACTCGTCACCGTCGAGGAGGGCCAGCCTGCCGGGGTGCCTGGCTTCAAAAACCTGCAGGGGCCACGTGGCCTTGGACAGGTGGGAGAGTCATGAGCTGCCCCTGGACCCTCAGGTGGGACCAGAGAACCCCAGTCTTTACCTCTCATCCCTCAGACAGGCTGGGCAAGTCTGGTGGAGCGGGGAGTGGGTGCCAATGACCCCCCACCAGCAGTTTCTTGGCTCAGACCTCTGCAGAGCAGCCCTCCCTGGCAGCATCTGGCTGACTTCGGTCAGCTGGGTGCTAATGGACACCTCCTTGGGTACCAAACTCACAGGCCTGTGGGGGTGGCGGGCACCAAGCCAGGGTGCCCTCGAGAGGCAACCCCCAAGACTGGGACCAGGAGCCGGGCAATGCCCACCTTAGACATCAGCAGGACTGTGAGGAGGCCTCACCTTCAAACAGGGTTCCCATGCCGTCCAGTGGTTTTGTTAGGGGGAGGGGATGTAGCAGTTGCTTTTATTACTTTTGCTAGTCTGCTTTGCTTTGGTGTCTTCCAAGCCTGAGCAGTGTGCCTCGGGCTCTTAACTGCATAGTCCTCCCTGTCTAGCTGTGCTGATGCTCCCTGCCCTGGACTCTGCAGGGTGCCCACCTCATCTGCATTATCTGTCATTAGTTATTCTTGGGGCGCGCGCGCACACACACACACACACACACAGACTACTTACAACGACTTGAATTTTCTCAATATTCAATATATATTGAAGTGGAAATTTTTAAACCTAGTGTTTCCTGAAGCATTTAACATACCAATTTCATTATTCCCCTCACGAATCTAGTCCATTTAAATGTCGATGTTCAAGGGTAGGGGGTTTATAACTTAAGTAATTAAATTTCTTTAAATATCTTGATGTAACTTTATAAATTTAACATAACCAGTGTTCTTAAGTTTATAAATACTCATCCTAAAAAGCAGGACTTTCCTGGGTTCCTAAATAGTTCTTGAAATTTAATAAGCTGATAAATATGATGACTATTAGTTCTCTGAAACATTTCAAAACTTACAAACTTGGCTGAATCCACTTCCGGTGTTCTGCTTAAAATCATAAGCTTAAAATCAGCTACTCAATTACCCGTTTTAAATGGGGATTGGAAGGCCAATCTGTTAGATACTCTGATACGCCTAATTCTCCTTAACATGACAAATGTGTGAAATACCAGATTTCCGTATGCCCCAGCGCATTAGCACTCACTTTGCTCCAGGGCCACCCTGTGTAACTGTGGCACTTTTGGGGCCAAAAACGACAAGGGGGCTAAAGGCGCCTTGTTGCTGCACTGAGGAGCAATGCCCCTCTCTGGAGCAGTCAAGCCCACTGGTGCCACTTCTGCTTTTGCACCCCACGTACCCCTCCAGTGGGGGGGTCTCAGTCCCGGTCTTCAAACTGCATCACCAAACTCCTGCTCGCCTTCCGCCATCCACGCAGCTTTGTCACTGGCTTTTTGTTGCTTTTTTTTTCTGCGTTCTTTTGTGGTTCCTCTCGCCAGGCCCCACATCTTGTAGCTACTTAGTGGCACCTCCTTGGATGCCAGGATGCTGCATCCTGGGCCATGCTGATGAGAAGAGTCACAGGGGGCCAGAGGGCAACCCTTAGTGGCCACCTTCCTTGTGGTCCAGAAATCCTGCCTCAGCAGTGCCGGCTGATGAGTGTCTCTCCTCTGCTTGTATCCTTCCAGTGACAGTGAGCTCAGCACTATTTTTTTATTACGATAAAATATACAAATATAAAATACCGTTTTAACCATTTTAGGTGCACAGTTCAGTGGCATTAAGCACATTCATATTGCTGTGCAACCATTACCACCTTCCATCTCCAGAACTCTTTCATCTTCCTCAAACTGAAACCCTGTCCCCACCCAACACGAATTCCCCCTTCCCCAGTCCCAGCAACTGCCATTTTACCCTCTGTCTCTGTGAATTTGAGTACTTTGAATGATTAGATACTCTTGGTCCCTCACGTAAGTGGCCTCATGCGGTATTTGTCCTCTCGTTCCGAGCTTATTTCTCTTAGTGGAGTCTTCAAGCCTCATCCTTGTCGTGGACAGTGTCAGCATTTCCTTCATCACCTGTTTTTAAAGGTTCTTTCCCATGTTGAGCTGAGAACCACCTTGGGGATCCTATAGGAAGCATTTCTGACTAGTACAGCCCTGCCCCTGGGAGCAGACAGCAAAGGAGAGTGTACCCACAGAGGCTTCAGGGCTGGTGGAGACAGCAAGTTGATTTCTGGCAATAACGTCCTTGGTTGCCCACAGCTGTGCTCTTGGCTGAGGTCTGCAGCTGTGGAAGAAGGGAGGGGTCCCGGCCACTTGCCTTGATCTCTTCTCCCTTTTGCCTGGTGTGCCCCTGGGAAAAATGCCACCTCTGTCCTGATCCAATCTGGTGCATTCATTTCCTGGGGCTGCCGTAACCAATGACCACTGGCTGAGTGACTTGGACCAACCGAAACATATTCTCTCATGGTTTGGAGGCCAGAAGTCTGAGATGAGAGTGTCGGCAGGGCCGTGTCCATCCAGAGATTCCAGGGGAGATTTCACTCTTTCTCCCTTCCAGCTTCTGGTGGTTGTGGCCGCATCACTCCCTTCTCTGCCTCCACCTTCACATTGCTGCCTTCTCTGTGTCTCTTGTAAGAACACTTGTTTTGGATTCAGGGCCCACCTGGATAAACCAGGATCATCTCATCTCAGGGTCCTGAAGGTAATCTGTGTGTGAAGACCCTTTTTCCAAATGAGGTCACATTCACAGTTTCTGGGCACAAGCGCATGGGCATGTCTTTTGGGGGCCACCATTCATCCCACTGCATCCTGTATCTGTTTCTCTCATTAGGTGCATAGGTCTGTGCCTGGCATCCCTCCCTTCCTTGTCGCACATGGGGAAAGAATGAAGTCTCCCCCTAGAATCTCTAGAGGGAGTGCAGCTCTGCCAACACCCTGATTTCAGATTTCTGGTCTCCAAAACTATGAGAGAATACATTTCTGTTGTTTATGATTCCGTCCTTCTTCTTATGAGACCATTGTCTTCCTAGAGAAGCAAGTCTTCTCTGTGCCCAGCTCCTTAACTCTGGGATGTCCCAGCTTCTCTCCCTGGGGGCTTCCTCAGGCTGTGTTTCCCTAACAGCACCTGACATTTCCCTTCCCTCCCCTGGGTGTCCCCCAAAGGCAAGCCGGAATGTCACGGGGAAGAGGACAGGAGCCCTGGCACCCAGCTGAGGCCTGGCATCCCCCAGCCTTGTCCCTCCCTTAGCAGTGGCTGCCAGTGATGTTCTAGAGCCAGGAGGGGGAGCAGCCTGGTTCTGCTTCCTGCTTGCTCTCCGGACTCTAATTAATTTCCTTCTGGTAGACTGTGTTTGATTACACCCTCATTAAGTAGCTTTGCACATGCGGGTCCCGGTGGTTTCGATATTGAAGCATCTACCTTTGCTGGTTAATATTCAGCGCTTGCTGCGTCCTCCTTTCCCCGGCTCTGTTGTTGCAGAAACTGTGGAGTCATGCCTGGAGGAGAGAGACAAATGAAAGCTAATTTCCCGCGGGGCCTTCCTTCTGGGAGTGGGGTTAAAAATGAGTTTAAGAGGGAAGGGGGGAGTTGAGGTTTAAAATAGAGTATGGCTGACGGCCTCCTCTGTGGCTTCCCCTAGCTTTCCCCTAAGACACCTAAGACGATGCACCAAAAAAAGACAAACACTCAGCACACTGGAAACAAAGACAGGTGGGCAGTCTGAGAGGAGCCTCCTCACTGCTAGACACATGGAGCAGGGCCAAGAAAGACACAATGCAGCCTTCCTCCCAGGAATCTGAGACCTCCGGAAGGAAGGGAGGAAGCCACTTTCTCCCTTAGTCTGTGGACTGTGCCAATCAGAAAGCCAGGCAACTGGTCCTGTACCACGCAAGTGACAATTTGGAGGTAAAAGGAGGGCTCTTCCACTCCCCTCTCCCTTCATCCTCTCCCATGCCTCTGTCTGCATCGGTTCAGAGACAGCAACTCCCAAGGCGGGAAGAGATGGCATCTGAGAAGTCCAGTGCAGCCAGCCAGTGGGCTTACCCAAGGACAGGAAGTGTCCTGAACATACAGACATTGTTATAGATTTCCATGGACTTCACTGTTGTGAGTGTTGGAGATTCAGGCCATGAAGTGGGTGAAGATGTCCCTTCTCAAGGTCAGAGTCACATAAGCACAGTGCCTGAGACTCATCCTGGGGCTGGACTCTTCTGCAAGCCAGAGCCCTGAGAGGTGGACTCAGTCCCAACCCAAGGAGGCCGTCATGGGGACAAGGATGCGCTGATAGACGTGGGTGTCACTAGATCTTGGCCTCTTTGAGAGTGCACAAGCTGGGGAGGGGGGAAGCCTGAGCGTAGGATAGATACCCTGGAACCTGAACCCCGACCTCTGAAAATGATCTACAGCACGATCCAGAAGAAATGAACTTTGTGGGAAAAGAACAAAAGGCCACCCAAAGAGGCCAAGCTGTGATGGAAAAGAAAACCAACAGGATGAGATGAAAGGGGAGATTAACAAGCAAAATAAGAATTGCAAGGAAATGAAATGCTAGGCGACTTACAATCCTTCTTGGGGGCAGTGAGAGCGGTGATGCTGGATGTGAAATCAGTGACATGGAAGGCAAACTGGAAACCCTGGATGAAAGTGTATCATGCACAGAATACCAAAAAAGATAAATCCAGAAGACACAGAGCCAGTGTTGGTTTTCCTGAGGAAGAGACAGCTTGAAAAAAGGTCTGTGTTTGCAGACCAATACCTGAAAGTAAATCCAAAGGAAACAGATCCGCCACTAGACACATGGTGGCAAAAATGTTTAATAACCAAGTGTCAGGGGTAGAAAAAGAATGGCCAGATAGAATGTGCACCCTCCCCTGCCCCCTCCTATCCCAAGAAGGTGTCTATGTTTGCCTGCCTGGGGGTCTGGCTCTGTCACCCAGGTTGGAGTGCAGTGGCACCGTCATAGCCCACTTCAGCCTCAACCTCCCTGGCTCAAGCTGTCCTCCTGCTTCAGCCTCCCAAAGTGCCGGGATTACAGGCATGAGCCACCGGGCCTGGCCCCTTTTAAAATTTGTGGTAAAATACACATAACATAAAATTTACTATCTCAACCATCTTTAAGCATACAGCTCAGTGGTGTTAAGTACATTCACACTGTTTACTGTGCAGCTGATCTCCAGAACTCTCATCTTGCAAAACGGACACTGTGTCCTCATTAAACAGTAACTCCTCCTTCCCTTCCCCCCAGCCCCTGGTAGTACCCACCATTCTACTTTCTGTCTGTATGAATTAACTAGTCTACATACCTCATATAAGTGAAACCAGACAGTATTTGTCCTTTTGTGTCTGGCTTATTTCACTTATTTGTCCCTGTGTCCTCAAGGTTCACCATGCTGTAGCATGTGTTGGAATCCCCTTCCTTTTTAAGGCTGAATAATATTTCGTTGCGTGGCTAGACCACACTCCGTGTACCCATTCATCTGTTCATGGCCACCCGGATTGTTTTCGCCTTTTGGCTACTGTGAATGATGCTGCTGGAAACATAGCTGCTGTTTGAGTGCCTGCTTTCAGTTCTTTGGGGTATATATTCCCAAGAGTGGAATTGCTGGATCATATGGCAATTCTGTGTTTAATTTGTTTAAGGAACTGCCACACCATTTTCCATGGTGGCTGCACCATTTTGCATTCCTACCAGCAGCGCACAAAGTTTCCAGTTTCTTCACATTCTTGCCAACCCTTGTTATTTTCTGGGATTTTACGGGGCTTTTTGGATCTGAGAACTGGATTGGCCAGAGAAGTTAAGTTTATTTGTATTAGAAAGATTTTGGCTGGGTTTTCAGGGTGGAAATGAGAAAGTGGGGGATGTTGGAGTAGTAAGAAAGATACAGGGAAGGGATTTTAGGAGTTTGGGCGATGTCAAGAATGAGATGTCCCTTTGGTGACTTGGAGAAGTTGCTGTAGAGATATCAGTTGCTTCAGAGGCCTCCTATATGCTGAACTGATATTCCCAGGAAGAGGACAGTGTGCTAGGGCTGTCCAGTAGGCACAGTGGGGTTTTGTGGCAAGGACAGCCCTACAGGCGCCAGGGCCGAACAAGCAGCTAAAGAAACAAAAATCAGATAGCCTCATTCTCATCTGCAGGACTGAAAGTCAGAGGGTAGCCAAGTCTGCGATATTTTGCAGGGAGTTTCTGTTGAGCCAGGTTGTCTTCAGGTGTGTCATCAACATGAAGGAATTCTCAGGGAGGCCAGAGCTCAGAAGAGAAAGCATCTGTGTATTCCTCCTGGGGGGAAACATGTACTGGGTGACTTCCCTACTGCACAGGAATACAGAGTGAAGGTGTGAGTCCAACTGTGGGGAGGCATCAACGAGTGAGTGGCAGTGATCATGTACACTCCATGCCATTACCTTGCACACACGTGAATGCAAAATGCCAGCTGTTACATTCATAGGGTTGTTTTCACATCTAAAAAAAATAACAGCAGCTCCTTACAGTGCCTCACGCTTGTAGTCCCAGCTACTCTGGAGGCTGAGACAGGAGCATCACTTGAGCCCAGGAGTTCAAGGTTGCAGCGAGCTATGATCGCACCGCTGCAATCCAGCCTGGGTGACAGAGCAAGACCTTGTCTCAAAATAAAAAATAACAAGTTCACAAGTGAAAAAATAAATTTTTATGAAAATAACTATATTTTCCAAAGGAAAAGAAAAACCAAGTGAGGAGAGTGGTGTTGCTCCCCATTTTTGTGACTCTCTTTAGTCTCACTTTCTAGAAGACGGCTATCAGACTTGCGCTTTTGCACTGGGTCTTGCGACAGGTTGTTTTAATTGACATCTATGAAGAAAATCTGGCATCACATAGATATGTCATTGGAAAAGAGGTCCCCACAGCACCCCTAAAATGGTCTTAAGGGTGCTTCCCCAAAGTCTACAGACCACACTTTGAGAAATGCCATTCTGACTGCCCTGTGTAAATCTCTACTCACTTTTTGGAAACATGCACCCCTATTCCCAAGCCCATCATCTCTTCCCATTGCAGCGAGTCCCCAGACCTGTTTATCCAAGCTCCAGTTATGTAGGGCCCCCTTCTTTGAAATGCCGTGTGCTGCTGTGTGCTGGGTCCGGCAGCTCGGAAAGGGAGCCGAGAGTGACTCGGTGTCAGGCCAGCCACACTCTCCGAGCGTCACTCCCCACCAGCAGTGACTCAGGTGCACCTGCTGGTGTTCCCAGACATCCTGATGAGGAACTGTCCACAGGCACAGTTCCTAGAGGTGGTACCGTTTAGACCTATCATGAGGAAAATGGGATTGTCCTCAATGCCTTGTGCTTTTTAAGACAAACCAGCCCCTCCAAGACTAGTACAGTGCACAGGAGGGGCTGCAGGGACCACACCTGGATCTGATTCTTCCACTTCCCTTGCACATGCAGCAGGCCTTGTGTGCCTACCCCCATTCTGTGTCTTCCTGAGAAGGAGGGCAGGCCATGGGTGCCGAGTCTGAAAGGAGCCCATTCCCAGGGCTGTGGCCCAGGCTGCAGCCTCCTGAGACACCTGAGGATCTGGTGACCTCTCCTCCCTCACACCCAGCCCTGTGGGTAGTCCCAGCAGCTGGTGACACCATCATCTCCAATAGCCTGGCTTAGGGGAGGGGGGATGGAGAGGACATCAAGGAGGCAGGAAGTAGCCCAAGGTCCTCAGGACTATGAAGTGCCCTCAGTTAGCACAAGCATCCTGTGGGCCTAGGTGGGGTTGAAATAAAGCAATAAAGCAATAATGTGTGCCATGGCCTTTGGCCAGCCTCTATCTGGCTTTCCCTGTTGTAGCCCTGGGACCTTGGGGAGCCCCACCCCAGCTGGAATTCACAGGGCGGGCCGGTGTTGGCCGTGACTCACAGTGACCCTGAGCTGCCTTTCTAGGAGACCCTCCTCCTTCCCTCCCATCCTGCCTCTACACTCCTTTTCCCCTCCTAAGCAACAACCACATGAACCCAGACAGTGCTCCAGAGAGGCAGAGCCACAGTCAGCAGCTGGGCAACCAGGGGGATGGCGCGGGGAGACGGCAGGGGAGTGGGCTCCGGAAAGGACATTTGGCATCTTCACAGACCTGCCCAACCTCCTGGGTTGGCAACTGGGATTTTCTTGGTCCTTCCAGGGATGGCCTAGACTAGCTTGGAGATGTAGGGGGTCCAGGAAGATGGGGCAGGGCTGGTAGGAACACAAGAAACCCAGGCAGTCATCTGGTCCAGGGCTTTCAAGCTTTTCTTTGGAACAGAACTGCGTTCATTTGTTTGTAACCAGGAGCTGCTTTGTAAGAGCTGCAGCCCACAGCCCTGCTGGTTCCTCTCACCTCTCTCGTCTACCGCAGCCCCTGACCGTCAGCCTCAAGATCTTGGAACACAGTTTAATAACCACTAGTGTGGTTCATCTGCCCATTTCACAGATAGGGAAATGAATCCCAAGAGGGAAGTCTCTTGCCACAGACTTACAGCGAGTTGGGGCTGGCCAGGGCCTAAAATCCAGTGCTATTTCCCAGGGTCATTTAGGGACAGACTGCAGGGACAATTGTAAGGGGGAGACCACTAGGTGCCAGGGGTGCTCACAGAGGAGAGGGGTGCCCAGGGGCAAAGCAGAGGAGGCATAGAGGCTGGCATTAAGTTGCCAACCACAGAGGAGCAGCCCAGCCTGCTCGACCGAGTGTAAAAGAAAAATAGCTCCATGCCTCTGGCCTCCTCCCCGTGGCCACCAGTGCAGCCTCTGACCATGGGAATAACCACCCCTCTGTTTCCACCTCATCTGCCCTCCTTCTCCAGCTCCCTGTCCCCAGGAAGGGGAGCCTCAAGCTGTAGGCAGGGACTGGCTGGCAAACCAGGCACTGGGCCACAGCTCGTTTGACCACACAGGCCCTCTGAGACCGTAGAACACAAGTCCTTTGACTTTCGGCCTTCCTGTGTCCCCAGCTTCCTCCCGCCTCAGGGAGGCAGGGCTGTGATTTTGCACATTAGTGGGTGATAGTTTGTGTCCCGGGGTCCCTCGTGTCCACACGGCTCTGACACACCCTCCTGACCATGAGGCCAGTGTGGACTCTGTGTGCTCAGGTCCCCGCCCAGCCCTGACTCCAGAATTTTTCTAGGGAGAGAGCTCATGGCTTTTGACACATTCTCAATTGGGTCTGTGGTCCAGGAGATCGAGAACCCCTGCAGAAGGTGAGGACGGGCCTTCCAGGGAGGAGGGGGCAGAAATGTAGTAGAAAGGGCACTGCTGCTTTCTCTGTTCCCTGCCAGAGGCTTTACATGTAACACTTGGTCTTGTTCCCCTTGCCTCCTTGTGATGCTGGGGTCACTGTCCCCGTTTTACAGATGAGGAAACTGAGGCTTAGCATTGTCAGGTTGCTTGCTTCAGGATGCAGCCCTGGCTGAGGGATTGAAAAAGCCAGGGCAGGGCCAGAGGTCAAAGGCGGGTATTGTACCTGCTTCTACAAGGGGGTGCAGCTCTAGAACCTGTACCAGCCAGTGCTTCAGAAGCCTCCCCTGACTGCATCCATGACAGACCTTGAGCCCCCAGGTCCTGGTTCCCAGCAAATTTTTTCAGCAGCCAGAGAGCCTGGCACAGGACCTGGCAGTTCGCCTCCAAGGTTCATTCCTGCCATATGGAAAACAGCCCTCACAACTGGCCTCTTGTGTCCTCACTGAGGCGTTAATGAGGGTGGGGGCAGAGTGCCCCCTAACCACGGCAGGTAGGACCTGGCTGGCAGTTGGGCTCCAAGGGGCTCCCCACAAGAGGCTCCTCCCACCCCCAGGCATGACACCCAGGCCCTCCAGAGCCCCCAGCAAAGACTCTTTTTTTGCTTGTATCAATGTCAGCTGCCAGACCGCAGAGCCCGTCCCTGCCCGCCATCTGTCCAGCTCAGCCACCCTCTCACCACCCCCTGGCAGATAAGAGCAGTGCAATCTGCAGAACATGCCCAGGGCTGAGGCCGTGCCCCACCCCCATCCTTCCTGAAATTCCAACAGCACAGAAGGCGTGGGCCTTGGTGTCTCCATCTGTAGAGAATATATGATGATGTCCAGCCTGCGTGCCTTCCAGGGATTTCTAAGAATCATGTGGGGAAGGTATTTTAAAAGTTCAGAATACAAACAAAATGACAAGGAGCAAACTCAGCTGGTTACCCACACATTCCCTGCCCAGACGTCCCGTCCCCAGGGCACTGGACCCCAGCCACCTGGGCTGGGAGCCTTTCTCTGGGCTGTGCTGGGGCAGCTGTGGGAGCCCCCAGAATGAGGACAGCCTGCAGTGGGTGGGCCTGCTTTGCCTCCCTACCCAGGGATGTCTCATGTTCCCCAGGATGGTGTGAGGACAGTCTCCGGATGGGAATGTCAGCATTGCCTGGTCTGTGCAGGGCACCAAGCTAGGGTCAGGGACTGTCGTGTAGCTCATACCCAAGGATGGCAGAAATTGGGAGGGGGGGGCTTGAGGAAAGGGAGCAGGCGTACCTCCCCCTTTCACGTGGAGTGGCACGAAGTTTAGTCCCCACCCCAGGGCAGGCACGTCATGTCTCCTTACTTCTCCAAAGCCGATCACTCCGTTTTAAGCTCAGGGGTCTCATGACCTACTTTAGATGAAGGTCACAGGATTCTTCAGGGCCTGCTTTGGGGGAGAACAGCAGTCAGAGAGACCTTCCTGTGTCAGCTGCCTCCTCAGATGCCAGGGTACCATATTCTGGGGTGGTGTGTCCTGAGCCCCCAAACCCAATTCCTTCCTCAGACCCAGGGAAGCTCTGCTCCAGCGGTTTCTGCCGCGGCCCCACCACACTTAGTAGCACTCGCCTCCAAGCTGCTCCCCTCCCATCGGGAAGATTCCACTCAGTACCTTTCTGAGGGAGTCCTGATGAGGTTTCCTTCTGGGTGCCTGGCAGGATCTGCTTACAACCCCACCACTCAGAAACCCCCAAGGCAAAGGAACACTGAGGCTGCATCGGCTACAGAAGGAGCAGTAAAAACAACGTCAGAAGCAGGAAGAAAACACAAATAAATATCATTAAACCATCCTGTCACAAGGCAGTTAATTCCAAATTTTGCCACCATAGAGAAGCAGCTGCTTGCACCGAGGCAGGCCACCCTTGGCTTCCTCCTCTGGAAAACCAGAGAGACAAAGGTCAGGGGCTGTCCTAGGAGAGGGCCACAAGCCAGGACCTGCACAAACTGCAGAGCCTGCAGAGGCCAGTCCCTGCTCTTCCTCAACTTGGAGGCAAAGACAAACAGGAGAGGCCTGCCCCAGCCCCTGAGGGAAGTTCTGCAGATGCTCCCCACCGGGGCTCTGGGAGGCAGAGTCGCCTCTAGGGGTCTGTGCCTACTTCTCTTGGGGATGGTGGGCGAGCTGGGTGGGCAGCCAGCCCTGACCTCTGGGCATCCTTTGCTCTTGCAGGACCTGGGCATGGAGTCGACCTCGCTAGACGACGTTCTGTATCGCTACGCCAGCTTCCGGAACCTGGTGGACCCCATCACACACGACCTCATCATCAGCCTGGCACGCTACATCCACTGTCCCAAGCCGGTAGGGTGGCTGTGGTCCGAGCCAGCCAGGTCCCGGGGTGTGCGGTGGGTGCCTTTCTGGGCAGAGCAGCTGTATGCCCAAGGAGGACTGGCAGACAGGCCCAAGGAGGACAAGCCCGTCCTCCAGGCACCAAGAGCTTGAGGTGCTCTCCCTTGGTGCCACTAGCACAGATTGGTTTTGTTTGGCCCAGGGGGTGAATTCATTGCCAACATTTAAAAACCAGAATTTTTCACATGATCCCTGTATTCAGCTGCCCTTGAAAAACTGGAAGCTCCAGCAACATGAAGCCCTCATTTCTGCAGGGCTGGAGCTAAGTAGCCATCCCTGTTATATGGGGCCAAGGCCACCACATACAGTTGTACAGGTTGTACCTTGCACGAAAGCATGCGTACAGAGGGGTAGTGGGGTAGGGGGAGGCAGGGGAAAGTTCAAATCCAGCCCTCTCTCTACCCACCAAGCCATGAGCCCTGGTGCAAGCCCTTGTCTCCCTGGAGGTGAACTTTTTCTTATTTGCACAAAGGTGTCATAGAAGGCCGTCCGGGGCCCTGCATGGGGCTGTCCGCTTTGCCTCAGTCCCCACCACTCCCAGATGTCTTCACCTCTGAGGCTGAGTGTCCTTTGACACCCACCCCTTCACTCATGTCTTCTTCCTACTGGCCCTGGGAGCTCGGAAGGGAAAGCTCCATGGCTCTCCAGGCTCCAGATCTGCAGCTCAGCCCTGCCTGGATGGGAGGTTCTGCCATGTTCCTGCAGCTCCAGGTCTAGGCTCCCCCAGGGCTATGCAGCCCGACCTGGCGGGAAGGGGAGGGCCGGCTGGGGACATTTCCACACTTGAGCGCTTCTCTGTTGCTTTGGTTTTTTTCTGTCTCATCCCTCAATTTCCAGTGGCTTCCAAAAGAAGTGCTTCCCCACTGGCAGTCAGGAAACCAGAGCAGGACGAAGGGGTGTGGGAGGGAAGTTTTTCCTTTTGGTGTAGGATCTAGGCCGGGAGTGAGATGGTTCCCAAGCCCACCTGTCGCTCGGCCTGGATACAGACTTGACTGTGGTCCTACAGTGAGCTGGAGCCTTGCTCTGGAAAGGTGTTTCCTGGGGCTGAGCTCCATCTGCGGCTTTGTCGGGGGCCTTCTCTCTGACTCTGGGGCTACCTGATGCAAAGGCTCTGAGGTGGGGCCCAGCTGTGGAGGGCTGGGAGCCAGCCAGGGTCAGGAGCACAATGTTGCAGAAGGCAGGGATGCAGGGCCCAATGGGAGGGGAAGGAAAGCTGGTGTTGAGGAAGCCTCGAGGCCTGATTGGTGCCAGGAGCCACAGGGAGCTGGCTGGGGCTGGCGCCTCCGTCGCTTCTCATGCAGTTCCACCCGGTTCTGCCTAGGGAGGTGGGAAGGGACGGGAGTCAGGCCTGTGAGGAGGCCTTGCCAGGTGCCAGACTCTGCCTTTCCTAGAGCAGCAATGGAGTTGCTCACAGATGAGAGGGTGAAAGGCGATGGGGCTCTCAAAAAAGCAAAAAAGAAATAGGAGGGCTATGTATATGCCCATCTTTGAGTTAAGGAAAACAAAATTCAGGTAATCAAGTGATCTGAGCAAGGTTACACCTCCGAGGAGAACCACAGGTGTGATTTGGGCCTATGCAGTGACCCAGAGCCGGGCGGGACACAGGCCGGTGGTCCCTGGGTGGTCAGTGCCCATGGGGGCAGGAGGAGGGGCCTGGTGGGAGCAGCCGAGCTCCCCTCCCTCCCCAACCTGCCCCTCACAGGTTGCCTCATGGACAGCCTGTGTGGGGAGAAGGACCCACCCTCTCAGAGAGAGAGGCAGGCCAGGGAGTGGGTAAGGGCCACTGTGAGACCCTGTGAGACAGGACCAGGCAAGGCCAGGAGGAGGGGCGGGAACTCCTGCCTTCTGATCTTCCCTTTCCATCTGGGTAGAGGCGGGGCCAGGGGGTGCATACCTGGGTTGTTGTGGTCCATTCAGGTGGCTGTAACAAATTATCGTAGACTGGGTGGCTTACAAACAGTAGAAATTTATCTCTCACACTTCTGAAGGCTGGAAGTCTGAGATCTGGGTGCCAGCCTGGTTGGTGACTGGCAAGGACCTTTTTCTGGGTTACAGACAGTCACCTTCCTGTGTCCTCACATGGCAGGAAATGGGCAAAGGAGCAGGAATCCCATTGTGAGAGCTCCACCCCCCTGGCCTAATCACCTCCCAAAGGCCCCACCTCTAAATACCATCACCCTGGGGATTAGGTTTCAACACGTGAATTCTGGGGAGATACCAACATTCAGTCCATTGCATGGTGTAACCTTCCTCAGACCACTTCAACACCTGGACTTTGTTTTCCTCAAAACAAAATCAGAGCCAGCCAGAGTGGGTGAGCCCTGCTAAAGCCCAGAGACCTGGAAGGCCCCTTTCGTGCCCATGTGGCAAGCGAGGCTCTCTGGATGAGGCAGGGGTGGGAGGTCCCCAGGCTGGTGGTAGGAGCAGCCCCTCCATCCACCCCAGAGGGCTGACCAGGACATCCTGGTCAGAGCAATTTGCATCTGAGAAGTTCATGTCAGCCCACGTTATGGGTCTAGAGATTATAGGCAGAGGTGTCAAGACCGGAGAGCTCGTTCCAAAGGTAAATTGGATACTACACGGACCTCACTGAACATCCTTTAGTGAGGGGCTGTGCTGTAGTTTAAACAAAACCCAAACTCCTCATCTGGCTTTGCCTGAGTCTCTTGAGCTCCCCTCTCCCACTTGCCACCCTGCGAGCTCTGCTCTAGCACGTGGGCCTCCCTCCTCTGTTCCTGACACCTCCACACCCTCTCCTATCTTAGGGACGTCGCTGCTCCCTTTGACTGCTCCAGCCTCTTCTGTCTGAGTTGCCTTCTCCTGAGTTCAGACTGAGCCTACGGCCTCTGAGAGGCCTTCGTTGACAAGCCTGCCTAGTGTAGGCTCCTGATCAGCCTGTCTCGAGCCCCATTTATTTTTCCATTCGTTTCTCTGTTTTACTTACTGGTCTCTGAAATTACCTTGCTTATTTATTTGTTGGCTAATTTATTGTCTGTTTTCCCCACTAGAATATAAACTCTGAAGGGAAGGGTGTCTGTCTTGTTCATAATTCCAACCTGCACCAGGCAGGAAGCAGGCAACATATTCCATTGTGAAGTTTGAAGAGAGTTTAGTAAAGGGTTGAGGACAGGATAAAGGAAGTCAACAGGGGACATTGAGACATCCAAAGACAGCAGTAGTAGGAAGTTGTTTCACAGGAGGACAAGCTGTATTGCCAGAGGCAGGGTGAGAACACCTGGTCCAGAGCCACGCTGCATTATCCATTGCCATATAGCAAACTACCCCAAAACTTAGTGGCTTAAAACAACAGACATTTATTGTTATAGTCTCTGTAGGTCAGGTTTGCAGGGGCCGCTTAAGTAGGTAGTTTAGCTTTGGGTCTCTCAAGACATTGGTCAGGGCTGCAGGTGTCAGAAGGCTTAACAGAAGTTGGCAGGTCTGCCAGTCTCGGTGGCTCACACCTTTGGGAGGCCACCGAGCACTTTGGGAGGCCGAGGCAGGTGGATCATCTGAGGTTGGAAGTTCGAGACCAGCCTGACCAACATGGAGAAACCCCATCTCTACTAAAAATACAAAATTAGCCGGGCGTGGTGGCGCATGCCTATAATCCCAGCTACTCGGGAGGCTGAGGCAGGAGAATCACTGGAACCCGGCAGGCGGAGGTTGCCGTGAGCTGAGATCGCGCCATTGCACTCCAGCCTGGGCAACAAGAGCGAAACTCCGTCTCAAAAAAAAAAAGAAGTTGGCAGGTCTACTTCCAAGGCGGCACACTCGCCCTGTAGCCTCTCCATGGGACTGCTTGAGTGTCCTCACATCATGGCAGCTGGCTTATCCCACAACAGGTGATAATATAGAAGCCATAATGCCTTTCTTTCTTTCCTTTCTTTTCTTTCTTTCTTTCTTTTGACAGAGTCTCGCTGTATCACCTAGGCTGGAGTGCAATGGCGCAATCTCGACTCGCTGCAACCTCTGCCTCCCGGGTTTAAGCGGTTCTCCTGCCTCAGCCTCCCAAGTAGCTTGGGATTACAGGCACCTGCCACCACAACTGGCTAATGTTTTGTATTTTTAGTAGAGACGGGGTTTCACCATGTTGGCCAGCCTGGTCTCAAACTCCTGACCTCAGGTGATCCACCCACCTTGGCCTTCCAAAGTGCTGGGATTACAGGTGTGAGCCACTATGCCTGGCCTTGCTTTTTTGTTGTTGTTGTTGTTTGTATTTGTTTGTTTGTTTGTTTTGAGACAGGGTCCCACTCTGATGCCCAGGCTGGAGTGCAGAGGTGTGATCATAACTTTCTGCAGCCTGGAACTACTAGGCTCAAGTGATCCTCCCACCTCACCTTCCCAAGTAGCTGGGACTGCAGGCAGGCACCACCATGCCTAGCTAATTTTTTGTTTTTTTTTTTCTTGTAGAGACGGGGCACTCACTATGTTGCCAAGGCTGGTCTCAAACTCCTGGCCTCAAGCAATCCCCCTCCCTTGGCCTCCCAAAGCACTAGGATTGCAGGTGTGAGCCCAACCCCCACAATACCTTTTAAGACCCAGTCTCAGAAGTCACAAACCATCATTTCCACCATTCTATTGGTTCTAATGATTCTGTTGCTCACTTAGACCAGCCCTGCTACAATGTGGAAGGACATTACACAGGGGCACAGATGCCAGGAGCCGAGAGCAGCAAGGCTGTCTTGGAGGCCGGCGGCTGCACATGCCGAAGTGGGGGAATCAGAATAAACTCCCCCATCCGTCTCTCCTCCTGCCCTCTGGTCTTGCTGCCATTGCTCCCATTAGCTGAACCCAAGTGGAAGCCAGGGGGAAGAGAGCCCAGTGATGCAGTCTCTAGAGCCCAGCCTTCTGAGCAGAGAAGGGCAGAGTGGACTGTGGGGCAAGAGGAAACAGAAAAGCCGGCACACAGTCTCTGCATCTGGAATGGTGTCCAGTGTAATGAGGGGGACAGTCAACATTTGATGAATGTATGAATGAATTTATGGATGAGGGAGGGATAGCCTTGAATGGAGGGCAGTGGAGGGCTGTGCTTGTCGGGGTCCTGGAGCAGTTACAGAGGTGCCTGGGGAGTGAAGATGGCAGATGGTATCACTGCCTGATGGCTGAGAGCCAGAGCAGTGTCGGGTGCTGGTACCCCTCCCAGGTCAGCCTGCAGGTCAGCACGTCATCTTTCCTGACAGATTAATGAGAAGCCCCTCAAACACGTTCTGCCCCAGGACCTGGGCAGCCTCACTGGGAAGGTCTGGAGAGGCTGCTGCCCTGACCTGCACTCATAGTCACTTGACTGTGCCACATCCCACTCCTGCCATCTTCAGGGATCGGGGGAGGACTGCAAAGCATTGATTCAGCACACAGCCATTGAGCCTTCTGGGCGGGTTAGGATTCTGCTGCACATAACAGAAGCCCAGGCGGGCTGGCTCCAGCAAGGAAGAAAATGTGTTCTACAGATATCGAGGTGTCTTGTGGTGCCCACGGGCAGCCAAGTTAGACCAAGGTGCTAGAACTATAGATAAGCACGGTGCAGAGGTCCCTCCTTCCCTCCTCGCTGCTCTACCCTGCCTCCCTCTGTGTTCCCTCTGCACAGACTGCTCTTCCCCCTGCCGCATGGTAGGGAATGTGGCTAGCTATGGCTCCCAGGTTACTTCTCAGGGTTCCAGCCACTGGAGGAGTTAGGGTATGTGTGTCTCAGTGTCAAGTCCAGCTTCCTCCTCCTCTTCCTCTTCCTCCTCCTCTTCTTTCTCCTTCTCCTCTTCTTCCTCTTCCTCCTCCTCTTCCTTCTTCTGCTCCTCTTCCTCCTCCTCCTCTTCCTCCTTTTCCTTCTTCTCTTCCTCCTCCTCTTCCTTCTCTTCCTCCTCCTCTTCCTTCTCTTCCTCCTCCTCTTCCTTCTTCTCCTCTTCCTCCTCCTCCTCTTCCTTCTCTTCCTCCTCCTCTTCCTCCTCCTCCTCTTCCTGATCCTCTTCCTTCTTCTCCTCCTTTCTCCTCTTCTTCCTCCTCTTCCTCCTCCTCTTCCTCCTCCTTCCTCCTCTTCCTCCTCCTACCCCTCCTCTTCCTCCTCCTCTCCCTCCTCTTCCTCCTCCTCCTACTACTGCTACTCCTCCTCCTCCCCCTCCCCTTCCTCCTCCTCCTCTCCCTCTTCCTCTTCCTCCTTCTCCTCCTCTCCCTCCCCCCGTTCCCCACCTTCTTACTGCTCCACTTCTGGGCCAGTGCTGCCTAGTCCTGTTCTCTGCAGGAGGGAGCCCTGGAGGGGTTCTTTGAAAAGTGGAAGAGTTGGGAAAAAATGAGACAGTCTCACTGAAGGCTTTTCTGGTTGTAAATGATAGAAACACTTTGAACTGACCTAAGCCAAAGACAGGATTTCTCACAAGGAGGGCAGCAGATAGCGGTTAGGAGCATCAGCCTCAGAGCTGGCTGACTTTAGATCCTGACTCCGTCTTACAAGCTGGGAGGCCTTGCCCATCTATTTAAGTTCTTTTTGCCTCAGTTCCCTCATTTGTAAAGCGGGGTTATTAATAATACCTGTCTCATAGGGTTGTAGTAAGGTATGGGACTATAGTTTGTAGGGCACTTAGGGAGGTCGAGGCAGGTGGACCACTTGAGGTCAGGATTTGAGACCAGCCTGACCAACATGGTGAAACCCCGTCTCTAATAGAAATACAAAAAAAATTAGCCGGGCATGGATGGCGGGTGCCTGTAGTCCCAGCTACTCGGGAGGCTGAAGCAAGAGAACCGCTTGAATCTGGGAGATGGAGGTTGCATTGAGCTGAGATTGCGCCACTGCACTCCAGCCGGGCGACAGAGCAAGACTCCGTCTAAAAAAAAAAATTGTAGGGCAGAACTGTGTGGTACTTTTCCCTCACTCATTATAAGGGTCATGGCTGACACTCCTATAACCAGACACAGGGTAACAAAAAAGCAGAACAAATGTGTTTAATCAAAATTTTACGCAACATGGGAGCTTTCAGAAATGAAGACGCTCAGGTGAGGCACGGTGGCTCACACCTGTAATACCAGCACTTTGGGAGGCCGAGGCAGGCGGATCGTCTGAGGTCAGGAGTTCAAGACCAACCTGGCCAACATAGTGAAACCCTGTCTCTACTAAAAATACAAAAATTAGCTGGGCGTGGTGGCACGCGCCTGTAATCCCAGCTACTCGGGAGGCTAAGCCAGGAGAATCACTTGAACCTGGGAGACGGAGGTTGCAATGAGCTGAGATGGTGCCACTGTACTCCAGCCTGAGGGCGGGGACAGAGCAAGACTCCGTCACTAAAAAAAAAAAAGAAAAGAAAAGAAAAGAAAAGAAATGAGGACCCTTAGCCCCAGCTACCTGGGAGGCTGATACAGGAGGATTACATGAGTCCAGGAATTCAATACCAGCAAGGCCAATATAGTGAGACCCCCATCTCTTTAAAAAAAGAAAGAAATGAAGACCCCAAACCCCAGGGAAAGAGGTTTTTTTGTTTTTTTGGTTTTTTGTTTGTTAGAATTTGTTTATTTTAATTATATTTATTTATTTATTTTAAAACGGAATTTTGCTCTTGTTGCCCGGGCTGGAGTGCAGTGGCGTGATCTCGGCCCACCTCAACCTCTGCCTCCTGGGTTCACGCGATTCTCCTGCCTCAGCCTTCCGAGCAGCTGGGATTACAGACATGCACCACCATGCCTGGCTAATTTTGTATTTTCAGTAGAGATGGGGTTTCTCCATGTTGGTCAGGCTGGTCTCAAACTCCCAACCTCAGGTGATCCGCCCCCCTCTGCCTCCCAAAGTGCTGGGATTACAGGCATGAGCCACCACGCCTGGCCTGTTTGTTTGTTTGTTTTTTGACAGAGTCTCACTCTGTTGCCCAGGCTGGAGTGCAATGACGTGATCTCGGCTCACTGGACCCTCCACCTCCTGGGTTCAAGCAACTCTCCTGCCTCAGCCTACCAAGTAGCTGGGACTACAGGTGCCCGCCACCATGCCTAGCTAATTTTTTGTATTTTTAGTAGAGATGGAGTTTCGCCGTGTTGGCCAGGCTAGTCTCGAACTCCTGACCTCAGGTGATCCACCCACCTCGGCCTCCCAAAGTGCTGGGATTACAGGCGTGAGCCACCACACTCAGCCAGCTATCTGTTTTTATACTCAGGCTTGGTAAAGAGTGCACAAGCTTGTAGAAATGCGATTGGACAAAGGGTGTGATCTAATGGTGATAGGCCGAGGGGACCCAGGAAGGCTATCTGCTCAGATTCTTCTTGGCCTCTCTCTGCAGTGTTCCTTCCTACCCCTCTGGAATGGTCTTCAAGACAGAAGGGAGAGAGTGACCTGCCTAGTTTTATGGCTTGCTTTGAGGGAGAGGGGTTCTGGTCTCTGTGACCTGCCTTGGGGAAGAAGAATTCTGGTTTCTCTGACTCACTCTGGGGGAGAAGAAGGGCCAGAGACAGGAGGGCAGCAGAAGGGCAGAAAAACTTTGCTTCTGAGGCCTTCCAATTTCCGTTAGTTCAAAGCTCTCTGCTGGCCCCGGCGCCATGCTTTGGAATTGTGTTCTGAGCCCCAAAATGTTCATGCAAACAGTGCTCAGAGGAGATGCCCAATGCATCGCAGCTGCTCAATACATGTTAGCTGTTGTCAGTTTAGTTCAGACAAGCAGAAGGGAACTCTCACTCCTGAGAGAACATCAGCTCACTTGTGCTCTCAAGGCAACTCTATGAGGTGTCCATATCTATTGTTCCTGTCTAGCCAGTGAGGAGACGCAGGCTCCTCAGTTCTCCCTGGTAGTGGCAGATACACTTCCATCCCGAGCCTGGCCCTGTGCGTGGCTGCCCCCTTGTGGCAATGGCAGTGCAGTGATGCCCCCTTGTCCTCTGTTCTCGTGTGTGTGTGTGTGCGTGTGCGTGTGTGCGTGTGCGTGTGTGCGTGTGTGCGTGTGTGTGTGTGTTTAGGAGTCCCACACCAGTCCCACTCTGGCGCCCAGGCCAGAGTTCAGTGGCGCGATCTCGGCTCACTGCAACCTCCACCTCCCGGGTTCAAGCGATTCTCCTGCCACAGCCTCCCAAGTAGCTGGGACTACAGGCACCCACGACTACGCCTGGCTAATTTTTGTATTTTTAGTAGAGATGGGGTTTCACCATATTGGACAGGCTGGTGTCGAACTCCTGACCTTGTGATCCGCCTGCCTCGGCCTCCCAAAGTGCTGGGATTACAGGCGTGAACTACCGCGCCCGGCCTCTATTCTCTTCTTTTAAGGCTCAGCTGCCCAGGCTGAGAGGGTGGACAGGGATTTTGGCCCCAGATTTTGGAAACCCTGGGAAGTGATTGAAGGAGGAGCTGCAGCTGAGGGGCTCAGTTCTAAGCTTTGGAGACTGGCTACATTCTGTCCTGGGGTGGTTCCAGGAGTGATGCTGGGCAGACCACCTGATCCCACCCATGGTCTTTGAACCAGTGCTTCTCCACCTCAGCTGCACTAGGGAATCACCTGGGGACCTTTTAAAAATCCCCGTGTGGCCAGGCAGGGTGGCTCACACCTGTAATCCCAGCACTTTAGGAGGCTGAGGCGGGCAGATCACGAGGTCAGGAGTTCGAGACCAGGCTGGCCAACATGGTGAAACCCCATCTCTATTAAGATACAAAAAATTAGCGGGGTGTGGTGGCAGGCGTCTGTAATCAGCTACTTGGGAGGCTGAAGCAGGAGAATCGTTTGAACCTGGGAGATGGAGGTTGCAGTGAGCCAAGACCGCGCCACTGCACTCCAGCCTGGGCAACAGAGTGAGACTCCATCTCAAACAAAAAGAAAAAAAAAAAAATCCCTGTGCCTGAGCCACCCACCCATCATTGGGGTGGCCCAGGCATCAGTGTTATTTTGTTGTTGTTTGGTTTGGTTTGGTTTTTTGAGACTAGGTCTCACCCTGTCTGGAGTGCAGAGGTGTGATCACGGCTCACTGCAGCCTTCACTTTCGGGGCTCAAGAGCCTCCTACCTCAGCCTCCCGGGTAGCTGGGACTGCAGGCACATGCCACCATGATGGGCTTTTTTTTTTTTTTTTTTTTTTTTTGAGAGCAAGTCTCACTATATTGCCCAGGGTAGTCTTGAACTCCTGGGGTCAAGTGATCCTCCTGCCTCAGCCTCCCAAAGTGCTGGGATTACAAGAGTGAGCCACAGCACCTGGCCCATCAGTGGACTTTAAAGCTCCCCTGAGATTCCAGGCCGGGCGCGGTGGCTAACGCCTGTAATGGGAGGCCGAGGCGGGCGGATCACAAGGTCAGGAGATCGAGACCATCCTCGCTAACACAGTGAGACCCCCCGTCTCTACTAAAAATGCAAAAAAATTAGCCGGGCATGTTGGCGGGCGCCTGTAGTCCCAGCTACTGGAGAGGCTGAGGCAGGAGAATGGCGTGAACCCGGGAGGCGGAGCTTGCAGTGAGCCAAGATCGCGCCACTACACTCCATCCTGGGCGACAGAGCGATACTCCGTCTCAAAAAAAAGAAAAAAAAGCTCCCCTGAGATTCCGGTATGAAAGATTCCAAGGTAAAGAAGCACAGCTCTAGATGGGCCATCTCCAGTGTCACCTCCTATTCTCTGTTTTATTTATTTATTATTATTATTATTTTTTTTTTTGAGATGGAGTCTCACTCTGTCACCCAGGCTGGAGTGCAGTGGTGCGATCTCGGCTCACTGTAACCTCCGCCTCCTGGGTTCAAACAATTCTCCTGCCTCAGCACTCCGGAGCAGCTGGGATCACAGGCGCCCGCCGTCACGCCCAGCTAATTTTTGTATTCTTAGTAGAGACAGGGTTTTGCCATGTTGGCCAGGCTGATCTCGAACTCCTGACCTCAGGTGATCCATCCACCTTGGCCTCCCAACGTGCTGGGATTAACAGGCGTGAGCCACCGTGCCTGGCCCCTATTCTCCCTTTGAGCTCTAAGGTCGGCTCCCACCATGGCCCCACTCCCTGAACTTGTGCTGGCCATGGCCTCCTTGTTGGAGACCCAGTGGCCTCTGGGTGGGGGTCTAACCCCATTAGTCACTCTTCTTGGTGTCCAGACTCCACTACTCCTGCTGCTCTGATGGAGTCTTCTCTGACTGCTGTGTGTCCACTGTTCTCTCTCCCTCCTGCTTAGCTCATTCTCTGGCCAGGGGTTTAATCTTACTGATGAATGTGTCCAGCCTGGACCTGTCTTGAGCCCCAACCCCATAAGTCCAGTGGCATCCACAGCTGGAGGTATTGTGAGCTCCTCAAACTTACCATGGCCCCACATGAGCAGGTCACCCCCCTCCTGCCTTCTCACCCACTTCTTGTCTTGAGCCCCTTGCCTTCTACTCATGTCCCAAGCCCAAAGCCTAGACCCTCCTCACCCTCCCTGCCCACACCTTCTCCATCCAGCATATCAGTCAGCTGTGTGGCCTCTGTCCCCTCAGCCCCTTCCAATAGCCTGGCCCTGAGTCATCCTCTCCACCTCCTGTCCACCCCTCTCTCCATCTCCCAGTCTGAGGAACATCCCCCTTGAGGGACTCCCCTGCAGCCCCCATGACCAGCTCCTCCTGCTTCACCCGCCTTGCTTCCCTCCACACAGTCATGTGGCCAGGTTCAGCAAGAAGCTAAGTCTAGGAACCAAAAGATGTCAGCTCCAGGGGTGGGGAATGAAGCCGTAAAGGCAGATGCTCACCTGCCCCCACATCTGCAACACACAAGAGTGACACACAGGAGTGACAGGTGTAACACACAGGTGTGATACAGGTGCAAGTGGCAGGTGATACAAGCTTATTCATCAGACAGCCAGGCACCAGGAAGCTGGGGGCAGGGGTGGGGATGGGCTGTGAACTGGAGCCCAGGGGCCTCCTCCAAATCCGTTCTGTTCAGTCTCGGGCCCTCCTTTGCTTCCTGGGTCCCTCCACAGATGCCTCTCTCCTTTGGACATTCAACTGCCATCTTCCCAACTCCTCTCTCTCTTGTCCCCCTTCCTCAGAGTCTCCTTCTCTTGCCTTCCCATCAGCCCCAAGCCCATCCCCAGCCCTCTGGGCCTCAGGCTCCCCCACTGCATAATGGGAATAACGAAAGTATCTACTGCCTTGGGGTGCTGTGGGAATTCCATAACCTTCTTGCGTGATGTCTGGTGTGCAGGGCTGACAGTGGCTTGAACCATGGAGGGACCAGATGTGATCAGGCCCCAGGCCTTCACCTGCCCTCATGTCAGTAACACACCCCACAGCCGCCACATCACCAAGCCCTGCCACAGACTGTTTCCTCCTCACTCAAGGATGCCTCACGTTTTCTTTCTCCATCTGAAATCACTAACCCATCTGCTCTTAAAAGCTGAGCTCAGCCTGGGCGCGGTGGCTCACACCTGTAATCCCAGCACTTTGGGAGGCCAAGGCGGGTGGATCACTTGAGGTCAGGAGTTCAAGACCAGCCTGACCAACATGGTGAAACCCCATCTCTACTAAAAATACAAAAACTAGCCAGGTGTGATGGCGGGTGCCTGTAATCCCAACTACTCGGGAGGCTGAGGCAGGAGAATCACTCGAACCCAGGTGGCGGAGGTTGCAGTGAGCCGAGATCGTGCCATTGCACTCCAGCCTGGGTGACAGAGCAAGACTGTCTCAAAAAATAAATTAAATTAAATTAAAATAAAGCTGAGCTCAAATCTGAGCCTGGGCAGAAGTCATCTTCCCTCCTTGCCCTGCCAGAATTCTCTGTGCTGGTGCCGCTATCACGGTATTCACTTAGAGTGTGCCTGGAGAGCTTGCTGTGGGTTGGGCTCTATTCAAAGCACTGCGCTAGTAGTGACTCATTTAATCCTCACAGAAACTCTTGTGAGGTCTGTACTGTAATCCTTTCACAGATGTGGTTTGGAGCACAGAGAAGTCAAGCAATTGTCCAAGGCCACACAGAACGGGACAAAGCCAGGACTTGAATCCCCACGGTTTGGCCCCAGGTCTTTGCTCTTCACTACTCAATACACTGCTTGTCCACTAGCAGAGGGGTGTGGGAATCGTAATGACAAAGCAGCCTGTTGAGCACCCACTCCAGGCACCATGCTGAGCACTGTGCGTGGTTAACGTGCCGGACCTCCCCACACCGAGTCGTTGGCCACATGTGGGTTTGCATCTGAGTCCAGCGCTTGCATCCAAGCCTCAGCGCTTGCATCCAAGCCTCAGCACTGGCCCACTGGCAGGAGCACGCTTTTGGTCCTCACTCCCTGGAGGGACTCATGCCCTCACCCTGTCCAGCACGAGTTTGGCTCCGGGGACTGTTGGATTGACTTTCCTAGGGATGTAGTTGGAGTCTGTAGCATCTTTCAGCTGCACCATTTAACCCAGTGTCTGCCATAACAAAAAATCACAGACTGGTGGTCTAAACAGCAGACAGTTCGTTTCGCACAGCTCTGAAGGCTAGAAGTCCAAGGCTGGCTGGTGGGTTTCCTTCTGAGGCTCTCTCCTAGGTCTGTCAGTCCCTCCTCCTCCTGTGTCCTCAAGTGGTTGTTCCTCTGCATGTCTGTGTCCTCATTTCTTCTTCTTAGGACACCAGTCATACAGGATTAGGGCCTACTCCTCTGACCTCATTTTACCTTAGTCACCTCTTTAAAGGCCTTGTCTCCAAATACAGCTGCATTCCAAGGTACTAGGGGTTAGGACATCAACTTGTGATTGTCAGCGGGATACAGTTCAGCCCATGACACCCAGGGTTTCAAACTCAGATGCCAACGGGCCTGACAGGAACGCATGTGAATGAACTGCGCTGGGAAAGACTTGGCCTCCTCATTCATTTGTTCTCACTTTTGAGGGAGACACAGGTAAAAATATCTCATTTTCCCCTTTACTATGTGAAATACAAGGACACGAACATTTGTTCATGGCCATATCCTAGCTTCCTAGAACAAGTGCCTGGCTCCGAGTAAGTGCTCAATAAATCTGCTGAGCAAGAGAATGCACAGAGCGGCCCTGGACATTGGGGAGTGGCAGGGATCATGGTGAGTCTTGGCCAGGGGGTCAGCAGGCACTTGGCTCCAGCCAACTTTTGTCCGATCTCCTGGAATCCAGACTTACATAAATCTGTTTTTCAATGCTAGCAACTAATTCACAAAAACTAAAACCATCCTGCAGATCTGTTTGCAGCCACTGCTGTCTGCCTAGGGTGCCCACCCTAGGCCAGCAGAGCAGGGCCTCCCCCAGCTCAGCCTGGGGGAGCTGGGCTCTTACCCGGGAGACAGGAAGCCTGGGGGCTGAGACTGGTGCACCCAGCCACTCAGGGCCCTACCACCCATGGTTGCCTCTGCAGGAAGGCGATGCACTGGGCGCCATGGAGAAGCTGTGCCGGCAGCTGACATACCACCTCAGCCCCCACTCCCAGTGGAGGCGGCACCGGGGGCTGGTGAAAAGGAAGCCACAGGCCTGGTGAGTTACACTCCCCCGGGCAGGTCTATGCCAGGCTGAGTGTGTGTTACAGGGCACCCCTCCCAGGGATGTAGGGAAGGGAAGGGCGGAGTCATGGGGGGTGGTCATAGAAGCTGCCTGAAGGAGGTAAGATGGAAGGAGGATTCCAGAGTGGGGAAACATCTAGAGGGGGACCCTGGTCTGGTGGGTGGGAGGAAGATGTGAGAAATTTCTAATTCCTGGTGTGCTAAAGTGGGCACTCCCAGATAAGCACAGTGTTTGGCTCATGCCTGTAATCCCAGCACTTTGGGAGGCTGAGGCAGGTGGATCACTTGAGGTCAGGAGTTCGAGACCAGCCTGACCAATGTGGCGAAACCCTGTAAAAATACAAAAATTAGCCAGGCGTGGTGGTGCACACCTGTAATCCTAGTTTCTCAGGAGGCTGAGGCAGGAGAATCACTTGAACTAGGGAGGTGGAGGTTGCAGTGAGCAGAGACAGCGCCACTGCACTCCAGCCTGAGCAACAAGCACTCCCTAGTAACTCCTCAGTTATCTCAGATGTCCCCAGGGGGACCCAGACCCCAGCCCTGTCCCTGGTCCATACAGCAACAAGGGGGTTCAGAGTCCCTTGAAGATTGGTAGGGGTTGAGGGGCATGTAGGACACAGAACCTGTGGGCTGTGATAACACCGTAGGAAGCAAGTAGAGGGGAGCCTGGAAGTAAGGCTTCCTGGAGAAGGAAGCACACCTGTCTTTTTGCAAATGATAGCTGAGTGGTGTGCCCTCACAAAGACTCTGCCAAGGCCTTGGTGCTGGTGCTAGCTCATCCCTGCAGGTCCCTGCAGGCTGGGGAAGGAAGGGCTGTCCCCCTCCCTCATGGAGAAGAAAGAACTCTGGTGCCTCCTTCTGTTCTGGACCCGCCCCCCACCCCCACCCACAACTAGGAGATGGATCCTGGAGAGGCGCATTCCCAGGTGGATGAACAGTGTAAGGCTGTGATGGTGCTGGCTACGGGAGGGGCTCTACCTGGGTAGAGGGGACATATATGGGGATACAGCAAGACGGGGGGCCCTTGGAACCTGGAATGCCATGAGACTGAGCTGGTTCTTTAGCAATGGAAAGCTGGTAGTTTGAGCTCTGCTGGAACCTAAGGGCCTCTCCTGGTTCCCCACACACACCCATGCTCAGTCCATTCTTCATTCGGAAGCCATGTCATGAGGTCTCATTCCCCTCGGGTGGAATCTCATGGCACCTGAATGAAATCCAAGCATGGGCCTCTGATTTGCTCTCCTCGCCCCCTCGTCTCACCTCTCCTGCTCTCCCGCCCCAGCCACACTGGCCTTCCTGCTGGTTCACAGACACACCAGTCCCTTTCCAGCCTCAGGGCCTTTGTGCCCTCTGCTGGAACTTTCACCAAACTCTTTTGATGGCCCATGCTTACTTTTTCATGTGTCAGTCCACACGCTACCTTCTCCTGAGTAGCCACAGCCCCACGCTACAGTATCGCCCCACACTCAGGGTTTTGTTTGTGGTCTGTCTCCCCCTAGTAGAGGAAGAACAGGGATTTTGTCCATCCTGTTCACCACTGTGACCCTAGTGTCTAGGATACTGCCTGGCACACAGATGAGTTTAACAAATGTTTGTTAAAAGAACAAATGGGCTGGGCACGGTGGCTCACGCCTGTAATCCCAGCACTTTGGGAGGCCCAGATGGGCGGATCACCTGAAGTAGGAAGTTCAAGACCAGCCTGGCTAACATAGTGAAACCCTGTCTCTACTAAAAATAAAAAAATTAGCTGGGCATGATGTTGCACGCCTGTAATCCCAGCTACTCAGAAGGCTGAGGCAGGAGAATCACTTGAACCTGGGAGGCGGAAGTTGCAGTGAGCCAAGATCATGCCACTGCACTCCAGCCTGGGCAACAGAGTGAGACTCCATCTCCAAGAAACAAAAAGGAACAAATTAGGGAGGAGATATCACTGTTGTCAATTGACTGGTTAGGATCACCCAACTGGTAAGTGGTGGGGCTGAATTCAAACCCAGCTCAGGCTGTTCACCACCACACTGCTTCCCTGGTGGAATGGGTCTTTATTAATGACATTGATAATAGCACCAAAGTTAAATCAAGCTGCACAGATGGCTGGCAGCATTCCAAGCATTTAAATGTCACGCCTTGAGAGTTTTACTTTCCAACTCCCTGGGGCTGGACCCCAGTCAGAGTCAAAATGAACAAACTGTGGACAGCCTCCCAGCTTAGATCTCAAGGACAAATGTACCCTGTGTTGCCAGGAAGTACAAGCCATGACCTTTGAGCTGTTGACAGTAGCATATGCTCTTGGAGCAGGCTGGGAGCCCCCTCCACCTCCCTCTCCTTCCCAGCACACTTAGAAATGCGGAAAATGGGGCCGGGCACGGTGGCTCACACCTGTGATCCCAGCACTTTGGGAGGCTGAGGTGGGCTGATCATGAGGTCAGGAGATCGAGACCATCCTGGCCAACACAGTGAAACCCCATCTCTACTAAAAATACAAAAAATTAGCCAGGCGTGGGGGCACACACCTGTAGTCCCAGCTACTCGGGAGGCTGAGGCAGGAGAATCGCTTGAACCCAGGAGGTGGAGATTGCAGTGAGCAGAAATGGCGCCACTGCACTCCAGCCTGGGTGACAGAACAAGACTGTCTCAAAAAAAAAAAAAAAAAAAAAAAAAAATGCAGAAAATGGCCAGGCGTGTTGGCTCATGCCTGTAATCCCAATGCTTTGGGAGGCCGAGATGGGTGGATTACCTGAGGTCAGGAGTTCCAGACCAGTCTGGCCAACATGGTGAAACCCCGTCTCTACTAAAAATACAAAAATTAGCCAGGCGTGGTGGCAGACGCCTGTAATCCCAGCTACTCAGGAAGCTGAGGCAGGAGAATCACTTGAGCCCGGGAGGCAGAGGGTGCAGTGAACCAAGATCGTGCCATTGTACTCCAGCCTGGGTGACAGAGCGAGACTGTCTCCAAAAAAAAAAAAAAATGTGGAAAATGAACATCTCACCACTGCACCTGGGCCTTGGAGCCAGCAAACAGATGGCGGGGGTGGGGTGGGGGGTGTGCAGGGAAGGGCACACTTGCCATCAGCTTGAACTGCCTGGGCTCTGTCCCAAGAACAAGCAGAAGCAAGGAGCAAGGCACTCAGCCTCCAGGAGTCAGCAGCTGCCACCAGGCTCAGAGCCCCTGAGCCCTGCCCTGCCTGCTGTCTTACAGGCTCCCCATAGGGAATCCTTCTCTGGTGGGGAAGATGGTCTTGAAAGAGGGGACTCAGAGATCCTTTGTGCCATTCATGGGGGCTGAGCTGCCACCCCAGGGTGGTAGAAGTGGGAAGCTGAGTCCAGGTGATGAATACAGCAGCAAATGTTTATTCCTCACTCGCCTACTATACAAGGCACCATTTTGCACTTATGAACTTCTTCCATATATCAGCCCAATGGTACTCTTAACTCAATTTTTCTGGTAAATAGGGGCAGCCACATACCTCAGGCTACGGCCAGCTGGGCCCTGACAGCTGAGACGTGCGGCAGTGTCAGGGGACTGAGGTCCCTGGTTGCTCCCACCTCTGCACTTGTGGCATCCGACATCCAAGTGTTTCGTAAAAGCAGTCCCTAGCGTCGGAGAGCCGAGCAGAGGCTGGCACTGCAGCTTCTGGGGGAAAGGCCTGCCCTATGTGCCTGAGCCTTGTTTGTCCTTTTTCCCTTCAGCCTCAAGGCTGTCCTGGCCGGAAGCCCCCCAGACAACACAGTGGACCTGTCGGGAATCCCACTGACCTCCCGAGACCTGGAGCGGGTGACCAGCTACCTACAGCGCTGTGGGGAGCAGGTAGACAGCGTGGAGCTGGGCTTCACAGGCCTCACGGACGACATGGTCCTGCAGCTGCTGCCAGCACTCAGCACCCTGCCCCGCCTCACCACACTGGCACTCAATGGCAACCGGTTGACCCGGGCCGTGCTGCGCGACCTCACTGACATCCTTAAGGATCCCAGCAAGTTCCCCAATGTCACGTGGATTGACCTGGGCAACAACGTGGACATCTTCTCCTTGCCCCAGCCCTTCCTGCTCAGCCTGCGCAAGCGCTCCCCAAAGCAGGGCCACCTACCCACCATCCTGGAGCTGGGTGAGGGCCCAGGCAGTGGGGAGGAGGTCCGGGAAGGGACAGTAGGCCAGGAGGACCCTGGAGGGGGCCCTGTGGCACCTGCCGAAGACCACCATGAGGGCAAGGAGACTGTAGCTGCAGCTCAGACGTGACATGGAAGTGAAGGGCCTCACCAGGGAGTCCTTGTTGGGTAGAATGGGCAAGGCAGGCAGGGGAGGGCGCTTCTCCTATCAGGTGGGTTAAGGATATTGCCAAAAATTGGCCTGGGCCACCCACCTACAGAAAGGCAAACCATATCATCTGGGGAAGGGGATTTGTGTTAAAACTTCCCGTTGGTCCTCTGCATCTGCCCCCTATCCCATTATCTGCCATTTGGTTCTTAAGTCATCCCAGGCCCCAGAGAACCCTCTCAGCTCAGCTCATGGCCTTCCCCAAAGACTTGTGGAAATGGGCACATGGCTGGAGGTACTGTAAGCCTGAGCCATTGTGAACACCAAGAGCTTTCCCCCAGAAAAAGAATACAGTAGGGCCCCTACATGTACTGCATTACATTTTTCATTTAGGGGAACAAGCTCCAACCAGAGGAATGTGTCCCCACTCAAGGAAGGTGGGAATCTTTAGCAAAATTCCTGTAACTCCTGGTTGCCCGAGACCCCAGTTCCATCTATGCTAGGGGTGGACTGAACGTGGCCTACCTCCTTATGGAGACCCAGCCCTATTTCTGAGGCCCACCTTGATTCTAGGCATCTGCCCATAGGACCAGCTATCGCTATATCCTTTGACAGAGCAGCCTACGATGCCATGTGGTAGTGCTCAGGACAGACATGGTGCCCATGCATACAGGCATAAAGTCCTGTTCAGAAATCCCCTATCCACCTTCCCTACCCACTGCTGGCTGAAAAACTACCAGACTTCTATGTGGGCTCTGATGTCCTTAGCATGCAGGGTAAGTGACAAACCTGGCTTCCTTCTTGTCACTTGCCAGTATGACTTCACTGACCTAGACAGGCCGTAAGAACTCTTTCCCCATAACTCTTAAGTAATCCACCAACACATTCCAGAAAACCGACTGCAGAAGGTGGGCTTTAAAACCTTAAAAACCTAGGACAATGAAGGAGTCCAATCCCTTGGCAGATCCAACAAGATGGCTGGGGAGAGGGAGAAACAAACTGGAGGCTCCCAAAGGAACCTAACTTAGCAAAGGTTCTCATCTTATACCCTCCCCTTACCCAAATACTGTCCTACTGAAAGGGCCCTACCAGTTAAGGGATCTCTTCTAAATAACAGGCAACCCCTAGATCCAAGTAGTTCAGTCCAGGAAGACTGGGAGCCAATCACTCTTGAACCTTGTGGGCAAACAGTATGGGGGAGGACCCTCTTGACAGGCCTTGGTAGGCAAGATTCCAACACAGGAAGACAGCAAGATGGGGCCTAGAGTATGGGGCCCTACATGCTGTTAAGGTTGTGGTTAGGAATGGTGCAATGCTGCAGGAGCTGGAACAAAGCTACACCAAGGAACAGAGCACAGAGCAGCAGGGGCCGAAATTGAGGAGGCCTTAAATGCTTTGAGCTTTTGCCTTCAGTCTAAAGCTGTAGAATAGGGGGTTAAGAGCTTAGGCTGACCACAGGGAAGTTTACAAGCTAGAGCGAATATCTGGACTGCTAATATCTGACAACAGTAGGCGAAATTTACTTTTTCTTCAAATACACATTTTCAAGAATTGACACCCAAGACCATCCTTTATTGTAGTATTAGTTCATGGTAACTGCATGAAAAAACATTTCAGGAGGAATTTACAATTTCCAGCTTAAAGAACTTTGCCCACCAACATAACCAATTTATGAAAGTCAATTCATTAAAAGGTATAGAACCTCTTGTTGGGCATGATGGCAAGGGACAAAGCTACAACTTGGCCTGTGCCTTTGGAAGCTGAGGCAGGAGGACCATCTGAGCCCAGGAGCCTGAGACCAGCCTGGGCAACATAGAGAATCCGTCTCAACAAAAAAAAAATTTTAGCCAGGTGTGCTGTGAGCTGTAGTCCCAGCTACAAGGTGGGAGGATTGCTTAGGCCTGGGTGATTGAGGATGCAATGAGCTGTGATTGTGCCACCACACTCCAGCCTGGGCAATACAGCAAGACTGTCTCAAAAAAAAAAAAAAAAACCCAAAAAAACTCAAGAATGTAATGAATGATACCCAATGTGCCTTTTCTAGAAAAAGTTGCCAAATATATCTCTTGGATCTGCTGAGCATGTCCTCTGATACATAAGGCAAGCATGTTTCTACACCCAGTGTTGATGCCAGTTAGTTTTCAGAATCCAAACTGATGGCAGCTACTGGTCCTTGGGACTGACATCCTCTGGGAATATAACCTGCAAAGAAACTACATTTCAATCTCACTTTCTGCACCAACTGACAGTCAATCACAGGGTAAGAGATATCTTCAGAAAACCATAGGTTCACCACTACACAATCTGCCGGTAATTCCAGCTATTTTGGGTGATTTCATCATTTGATATCTTTTTTTTTTGAAGCGAGTTTTAACAAGATCAGCTGTTTATTCATTCCACTATGGGGTTGAAGGGATCATTGGCCAGCTCAAGGCTTACCTTCTCTTGGGCTGAGATGCTGCTGCCAGCTCTAAAACAGCACTCTGTTCTCAAAACCTGGGGGAATGGAGAAGGCGCATACACCTTAGAGACTGCAGATGCAGAGCAGGACAGGCATTTCTGATGACAGTCAATTAATGACTTTACAAATTTAAGTCCATCCTAACAAAAGCCCCTTAAGACCTAATTAGAGGTAATTTTTCTAAGTTTTTGTAAATTATTGAGGACTACAAATCTTAATTAGCTTCTCAGTAGGTTGTAATTTTTTTTTTTTTTTTGAGATGGAGTCTCGCTGTTGCCCAGGCTGGAGTGCAGTGGCACGATTTCGACTCACTACAACCTCCGCCTCCCGGGTTCAAGCGATTCTCCTGGCTCAGCCCCCAAAGTAGCTGGGATTACAAGTACACGCCACCACACCCGGCTAATTTTTGTATTTTTGGTAGAGATGGGGTTTCACCATGTCGGCCAGCCAGGCTGGTCTTGAACTCCTGACCTCAGGTGATCCACCCACCTTAGCCTCCCAAAGTGCTGGGATTACAGGCCACTGTGCCCAGCCTCAGGGGAGTTGTAATCTCCATTTCAGTCATATCAATTTAAACTTCACAAAGCTAAGATTACTTTTCCTTTTCACATCTGAGGAAAACTACATCTCAGCAGACAGGTAATTTGCCCGAGACTAAACAGCCAAGAGGTAAATAGAGTAGCCCCTCTTTCTAGGTAATCCACCCTGGCTCCACTGCCACCGGAAACTAAAATCAGTATCTCTGGGATAGGCTACACTGTTACAAGGTATTAGGTTAACCAAATCCAATTGCCAATATTCGACCTGACAGCTAGGCGTGGTCAGCCACTAGCCTCCCCATAGAGCAAGGCTTACCTCATGGCAGGCTCCTGGCTCCAATACTCAGCTGCCAAACATGATGCTGATTCTTCACGAATTTGCAACCTAGGTGAATATAGCAATTAGGTCACCGTTCAAACAAGTTTACTCCTGGGAACCAGCAAGTGGTGAAGACTTGACTGCAATCAGACAGGAGTAGTCTTCGTCAGTTATCGCTTCTGACGGCACTTCCTATTAGTGATTTCATCAGAGCAGTCAAGCACCTCACAACCCTCCAGTACTGTTCCAACCGCAGATCTAGACCCTACCTGAAACTTAAGCTAACCCTGCTACTGGAGACATTTCTTAACGAAGGAGTTTGTTTCTGCATTATCAGTTTGCTTTAAATGCAGTTCTAGGTTAGGACTGTGGCTGAAGCAGCCATCTCCAGTTTCTATTTAAGTTCCACCCTATGCAATGACATGATAACGTTACCCTAAAGTGTATAAAACACCTAAACGTAGAAAACTGTCAAAACGCCAATTTCCGTGCATTCAAGTGACAAAACTACGTTCCATGTTAAACCCTACACCAGAGAGCCTCTCACCTCGTGGCTACCCCGTCTTCAGCACTCTGCAGTGGGTACGCAATCTTAAAGAGGGAGTAAGGACAGGAATTCAGGGCAGGGCTCTGGCAGTTACGGTCAACTAAGTTGTAGAGGTTTCAGCGACTGCGGTCAGATAGACATTAGACGTCGTCAGTTATCGCTTCTGACGGCACTTCCTATTACAAGTATCATCAGGACAGTCGAATAAGTCTTCCAGTAATACTGTTACAATCTTACCGACGTACACCGCCCTCGGGGTACCCCAAACTGCAAGCCGACCCCAACTTACCCAGTTCTCTCGGGTTTGCACACCCCCACTGTGGGCCGGGGAACCGGGTCCCGGCCTTCGCAGACTCCAGGCTCTGGCAGATGTGGCCCTACCACAAAAGAGTGATCCATGAGCCTCAGCCACGGCAGCCGGATTCGGCCCCGCGCTGCCCTGCCAGGCTGTCCAATACCGGGCCGCAGCGCCCGCCGCGAAAGCCACGCGGGCGCAGGAGCCGGGGAGCCACGCCATCTCAACAGCTGCCCTCCGCCCTCTAGACAGGCTTCCCGGGAACATCTCCCCAGAGACCACAGAAGCTCGAGCTCTTTATTTGCTCTTGCCCCCCAGCTACTACTCCCAGATTCCTAGAGAGCCTACCTCCATAACAACGGGAATGAAAAGGTCACACCTTATGTGCGCCAGGCCCTTAAGGAGTCGGAATATCCCAATCCTCACAAAAGGAGGGGGACGCTGGCAAAGACTCATGGGAACTTTCCGCCAAGTAACGATTTAGACCGGCGCGCTACCCAGGACTCCCCCTCCTGTTGAGTCTATGGTCTCTTCCACAGCCCCGGGAATTCTGGGTCACAACACGCGCGGGGAGTTCCAGGGCGCCTGCGCGAGGGCTGGATCGCGCGTTTGGGCCCCACCTCCGCCACTCCTTAGCTGGGTGGTCTTGGGCCAATTACTCATTCTCTTTAAGCTTCCGATTGGTCCTCTAGTAAACGGAGACACCAGCGCCCCAGAAGATCACGTGAGATGACACACGTGAAAGCCTGTAGAGCTGTGGCACAAGGCAGCCATTCATCCTAGTAGCTCCTCCTGAATCTATTGAGCGTTGCCAAATACTCTCCCCACAGCTATTTCACCACATCCACGGGGCTTCTCAAACCCCTGCGCACTGGTCACCCTCATTACTCCTTTAGCACGACCTTTAGGGAACGAGCTGACGTCTTATCTAGATCCACGTCCATCCTCTGCTCGCCTCTGGGGTAAAGCTCTGCCCACCTCCTTTCCTCTCCTCATTCCTTGGGGCCTCCTCCACCTATGCCCCTGCCTCACCTTCCATGGAAAACTCTCTCTACTGTGGCTTTCCTTTCAGCCTATGAACATGCTCAGCTCTCTCCTTGAAAAAGAATCCATGCAACCACGTTTTGCACACACACGTTATACCAAGGGAAAGAAATTCATTTTGACTGCAAAAAACTGGGAAGACAATCATAAGACCTTTTGAGCTGGCCTCAGAAATAAGTGTAGGGTTTTTGTTGTTGTTGTTGTTGTTGCTCGTTTTTGTGTTTTTTTGAGACGGAATTTCGCTCCTGTTGCCCAGGCTGGACTGCAATGGCGCGATCTCCGCTCACCGCAACCTCTGCCTCCCGGGTTCAAGCGATTCTTCTGCCTCAGCCTCCCGAGTAGCTGGGATTACAGGCATGCGCCACCACGCCCGGCTAATTTTGTATTTTTAGTAGAGACGGGGTTTCTCCATGTTGGTCAGGCTGGTTTCGAACTCCTGAACTCAGGTGATCCGCCCGCCTGGGCCTCCCAGAGTGCTGGGATTACAGGCGCCCGGCAAGTGTAGGGTTTTATTTTATTATTATACTTTAAGTTCTAGGGTACATGTGCACAACGTGCAGGTTTGTTACATATGTATACATGTGCCATGTTGGTATGCTGCACCCATTAACTCATCATTTACATTAGGTATATCTCCTAATGCTATCCCTCCCCCCACCCCCAAGTGTAGGGTTTTAATGGAGGAGGGGGGCTTCCAGCAAGAGCCAGGTCAAGGGATCAAGCACGAGGTCTCTCGGCCTGCATGAATTTGGGGAGAGTGCTAAGGAGGGAGGGGCAACAGAGGTGGAGGGGAGGAGGTGTCTGGAACTGCTTGGGCAAAACCGTGGGGGTCTCGGGATGTCAGCTAGGGCATTCTGTGGGTACTGGGGAGCCTCTCAGGCCTTCAGAGCACAAAGAGGACATGTTTGTCTTATGTCTTAGGAAGGCCCTCTGGCTGCCCTGCAGAGAATGGCTTGGGAGGGGTGGGAATTGAGCAAGAAGCTCGGTAGGAAGAGAAAGCAAGAGAGGTGGCTTTAATGGGTTTTCCCAGGTACCTGCCCAAAAGCAGGGTGGGTGTGGAAAGCAAAGGGTGTCGTGGTGGAGAGAGAGGAGAGGTGGCTGTTTGCCCATGTCCATCACCATATATCTGCCACAACAATGGGCACAGCACCTCAGCCAGCTGCCTGTACCCAGGAAGAGGACAGTCCCCAGACTTGGGGATGTGGGGGTGAGGGTGGGGACACAGCAACTGAGGGTCTCTGTGCCCAGGCAAGGGCAGGAGCAACCTAGTCCCATACACAGACCTGTGCACACAGAGACATGCAGACATTGCCAGCTCTAAGGGTCCCAGCAACTCTGCCCAAATAATGTTTCCAGAAGAGTTAGTTAGTGAAAATATATATTTGCCACCAGAATTCACTGGGACCCCAGAGCCAGCAGATGTGGTTGGAAAGATCCTCTGCTCTGTCCTCTGGCCTCCTGCTGCATCTGGGCCATCAGTTGGACTGGAGGAGCTGGACGGGCACATAGTTTTCCTCAGAGGCACCATCCTCATCCTCCTTGGGAGGGGAAGCCAGGACAGGGTTCTCGAGAGTTCCTGTAAACAGATGGCAAGCACTGTAGCTTAACCCTTGAGTGTGTCCCCAGGAAGCAGGCACCAGGGAAACGGGGCCACAGTCATGAAAACACGTCATGCCGTGGGGACAGCCTCAGCGATCCTGGAGGCCAGCAATCCTTCTCCCTGCTTCCCTCACTCCACAAGCATTTCCCAATCCCCTGCCATATCAGGGGCTTCCCCCTGCCCCTGCCACCCCCAGGAGCTTAAAGTGCCTGGAGGTGACAGACTTGTGTGTCAGAGATCAGAACACCTGAGACATGCTGGGGGAGCTCAGAGGAGAGAGGGGACCTGTCCTGCAGGGGCGGTGGCAGATTTGGACATCCAGAGGGGAGGAAGAGCACTTCCGACAGAGACGAATCCAGAGATGAACCAAGGAAAGCAAAGAACAAGGAGTACTGCAGACATGTGGATGGAGGTGTGGGGAGTGAGTTAGACAGCTTTGGGCCCTGACCTCCATTCTGAGCAGTGCGGCCTTCCAGGTAGTGGGAGGCATTGTGTAGCGTGGGCTGCATGTGGTTTTTGTCCACATTAGCAGGACTGCAATGGGTAAGAGTGCAGGCTGGGCCCCCCTGCAGTGGTGCAGAAGTAAGAGGCAGGGCAGGGCAGAGGGATGAGTGGCCGCCTGAGGGGTCAAGGACACTCAGCTCCAGGTGGGAGAGCTGGTATAGCGGGGGGAATAGGCTGAGACTCTCAAGGCCTTCCACCTGGGTGAGGAGGGGGTGGGGTGACATACATGTGACCTGCTGGGGCAGCCCCGAGGCTGTTCCTGTTGGGAATGTCACATTGGAGGCCCCAGCAGGCAGTGGGGTGTGGAGTGCTTGGGGCAAGATGAGGGAGGGACAAGGTGACTTTCAGAGGTGACTTTCCTGGCATTGTAGTGAAGAGAGGGAGATGCAAAGAGAAGGTGAAGGGAAACCTATCTGTATGTGAGGCAGTGGTCACGGCCCAGGAGCCTGGGAAACCAGCAGGCTGTGGGGCAGAAGAGGCCAGAGGAGCCTCCCTACAACAGGGGCCATGGGAGACTCAGGAGGCTATTGTGGGGGGCAACAGGCACAAGCAAGTGAAATTTGTCAGGAAAGAGATGGAGAAAGGAGAGGAGGTGAACCAGTGGAAGGTGGGAGCTATTGAAGGTTCTAGAAAGAAAGGGTATGCAGTGGGGACAGCTAATCCTCAGAACAGGCCTCTGAGGGTGGGAGGAAGGAACCAGTCTTGGTGGAGGCAGCAGGGTGGGGACAGGAGGGGCCATCACTACACTGGAACGGAGAGGACACAGGCCACGGACATGGAGGAAGCATGGGAAGTGGTTTCTCAGAGGTGGGGGACTTGGGGTGTGAAGGGACTAAGGGCCTATGCAGGGCAGTTCCTCTGAGGGTCCAGGGAGATGCTGCCTCTGTTGTAGGCTGCGCTGTGACACAGCCCTTCCTAACTTATTCCCCTGCTGAGTCCCCAGGCTCAGCCCAGGCCTGGCTGGGGACAGACCCTCGATAACCAATTGAATGGGCAAAGGGTGTGACTGACTGGCATCAGAGAGAGGGCAGCCAGAGGCTGGGCTGGTGGAAGCGCTAACAGCCTCAGAGGTTTCCCCTGGTTCCTGCCTGAAAGCAAGGTGTGGGTGGAAAGGAAAGGAGGGAACCACTGTTTTAAGGAGGCAATCCCTCTAAGAGGAGCTGGCATGTGGGGATCTGCAAAGGGACTATGAGGAGGTCTCTGGGTCCTGCCCCAGACTCTCCAAGGCTTTGTGGCCAAGCAGCAGAGACACACACCCCAGGGCAGAGGCTCTAGTCACCAGGCTACTCACGAGGGACACCTGCCCCTGACGGGTCCTCACACAGCGTAGGCAGCGTCTGCTCCCATGAAGCCCAGTTCACCTCCTCCACCCTGAGGGCAACAGAGCAGCTCTGAGGTTTGCCTGCTTTGACCGCCTCCCCTCCCACCCCGGAGAGGGGCGTGGCCCCCCAAATTGGGAGACTATGCAGAGATGCTCTGGTGGACACAGAGGCCCTGAGGAGGACAGGCTTTTTCTCTGCAGGGTTCTGGGCCACCCACTTGGAGCCCTGTCCTGTGAGGCAGGTGCTCACTTGCAGGAATCAGCATCCATCGCTTCTGGCTGTTCACAGCAGCCTGGGTTGCCCAGAACAACCAGAGAAGAGGAATTCAGATCAGGTGTATCTGTGCTTCCGGGTTCTGGGGCCTATCATGGCTGCTCCTCATGCCCAAGACTCCGTCTCTCTGCTCATCTGCTGCCTCACGACAGTGTCTGTTTTTTTTGTTGCTGTTGTTTTCTTTTTTTTTTTTTTTTTGAGATGGAGTCTCGCTCTGTCGCCCAGGCTGGAGTGCAGTGGTGCGATCTCAGCTCACTGCAAGCTCCGCCTCCCAGGTTCATGCCATTCTCCTGCGTCGGCCTCCTGAGTAGCTGGGACTACAGGCGCCCGCCACCACGCCCGGCTACTTTTTTGTATTTTTAGTAGAGATGGGGTTTCACTGTGTTAGCCAGGATGGTCTCGATCTCCTGACCTCGTGATTTGCCCGCCTCGGCCTCCCAAAGTGCTGGGATTACAGGCATGAGCCACTGCACCCGGCCGACAGTGTCTGTTTTTAGCTGTGTGTTTGTCACTAGGTTCCCTCTCCCAGTGTCCCAGCCTTTCCTGGACACAGAAGGGCATGTTCTCCATGGAAGGGGTTGTAGCTCAGAGATCAGGCTGGCAGAATTGGGGGTGGGGGGACACAGAGCAGCCAGGGCAATGCTAGAGTGCTAGCAACCCAAGGGTCCCTCTGACTTCTTGGCCTCCTTACCGTAACACATTTCAGGCTACAAGGAGGAGTCTGAGATCACCAGGAGGGGACCTTCAGTTTAAGCCACTGGGACAGGCAGATGGCCAGTCATGTGGCAGCCATGGCTTGTGAGATCCAGACCCCTGACCTCACCTGCTCAGGCTCAGTCCCTGGTGCTCTTTGGGCCTGCCCTTCCCACCAGACCTGGCTCCTGGCAGCTGTGCCCTGCACTGCAGGGGGGCCCCAGGGATTGCTGGACAGCAAGGCCCCCAGGAGACCCTCCCACCACTCACTCACCTGAAGCACCAGCGCTCATCGGGGCTGCCATCTGGCTTAGTGCCAACGGTCAGCATCACACCTGCCCGCTGCTTCTTCCTGCACCACCAATAGCCATTCTCCATCTCCAGGACAGAGATGGCTTTCTGGGGACAAAGGATGCATCAGACAGAACGTCCTGGGACCCTGCCTGGGGGCAAAGGCACACAAGGCAAGCGGAGCAGGGAAGTGCCGCGCAGCACTTCACAGTATAACGCGAAGTCAACTAAACACGCGGATTCGAATCTGGCTCCAACATCCGGTTACCTGTGTGGGGTTGGGCCCTCAGCCTCTCTGCATCTCAGTTTCCCCATTTGTAGACTGAGGACAAAGTGCCTCAGACAGCTGATGGGAAGTCTGTACCTTATGAGTACTGGACAGCTACTTGCTCTTACATCGTTCCAGGCTCCAGATTGCCACACCACCAGGAACAGAACTTCATTTGCTCACCCCACACATGTGCCTGCCCAGAGGCACACCAGTGAGTCAGGTGGGGCACAGAACCTTGCAGAGGAGGGCACCAAGGCTCAGAGGAGATAAGGGGCTTCCCCAAGATCAACAATGAATTGGCAGCAGGGTGGGGCATGGTGGCTCATGCCTGTAATGCCAGCACTTTGGGAGGCCGAGGCAGGTGTATCACCTGAGGTCAGGAGTTCAAGACCAGCTTGACCAACATGGTGAAACCTTATCTCTACTAAATACAAAAAATTAGTGGGGTGTGGTGGCACATGCCTGTAATCCTAGGTACTTGGGAGGCTGAGGCAGGAGAATCGCTTGAACCCAGGAGACAAAGGTGGCAGTGAGCCAAGATTGCACCATTGCACTCCAGCCCGGGCAACAAGAGCAAAACTCTTGACTCAAAAAAAAAAAAAAAAGAAACACTGGACAGCAATGATGATAAGAGTAGCTGGTAGCACATTGAGCACCTGCTTGGTGCTGGGCACTGTCCTAAGTACATCTATGAGCTTAAAGGAGGTGGGAGTAATCTCAGCACTTTGGGAGGCAAAGGTGGGAGGATCACCTGAGGCCGGGGCAACATAGTGAGACCTTCTTCTCTACAAAAAATAAAAATATTAGCCAAGTGTGGTGGCAGGTGCCTGTAACCCCAGCTACTCAGGAGGCTGAGGAAGGAGGATCACTTGAGCTCAGGAGGCCGAGGCTGCATTGAGCTGTGATCGTGCCACTGCACTCCAGCCTGGGTGACAGAGCAAGACCTTGTCTCCAGAAAAAAAAAAAAAAAAGGAAGAGGAAGACTGACAAGGTAGAGCTGCCCAACCCGGCATCTCCTGGCTAGGGAAGGCCCAGCTCCGCAGGGTCCGGAGCACTCCCCACCGCCTGAGTGTGGGGTGGGGTGGGGGCAGGGAGCCTCTCTGGTGGCACCTGCAGCTTCCAGATGCTCCAGCTGTCAGTGGCGACACTGTTGACGGTCTCGCTCATGAGGGCGATGAGCATGTTGAGCAGCAGGATGTAGGTGAGCAGCACGTAGGCCAGCAGCAGCAGCAGCACCATGCCGCGGAAGTGCAGCTGCTCCTGGAAGGCCAGCTCGCCCATGCCGATGGTGAATTTGAAGAGCTCCAAGGAGGCTTCCAGGATACCCCTGTACTGGGCCCCGTTGCCCTCGTCCTCCTGTCCCTCCATGGGCTGCACTGACTCTGTGGCATTGGGGCCTGTAGGAGCTTCGGGGCGCCAAGCCTCCTGGCTCAGGCTCACCAGGGCTATGGGATGAAGGGAGAGGGGTCCTTAGCCCAGGAGACCGGTGGGCAGCCTTGGGAGTGTACAGGGTGGACAAGGAACGTGGGGAAGGGGGAGGGGGCCGGAGGGAGCCTTTACCTACAGCGAAGCCGAAAAGGAAGACTAAGTAGATCAGAAGGAAGCGCAGCAGGTCCCGCAGGATGACCTGGAACACATGTGCCCAGGGGCCAGGGTGGGTAGCTGGGCCACCAGTCACGACCCCAGAACCCTGCCTCACCCACAGCAGCATGGTTCCCGTGTACACTGCACATACGCACACATACATATGCATATGTGGGCCTGTGGAGCCACACCGAGCAGAGGAGTCTTTTAAAAATATATCTCAGATCTGGCTGGGTGCGGTGGCTCATGCCTATAATCCTAGCACTTTGGGAGGCTGAGGCGGGCAGATTACCTGAGGTTGGGAGTTCAAGACCAGCCTGGCCAACATGGTGAAACCGCGTTTCTACTAAAAATACAAAAAATTAGCCAGGTGCAGTGGTGTGCCTGTGCTTGTAATCCCAGCTACTCAGGAGGCTGAGGCAGGAGAATCACTTGAACCCAGGAGGCAGAGGTTGTGGTGAGCCGAGATCACACCACTGCACTCCAGCCTGGGCTACAGAGTGAGACTTCGTCTCAAAAAAAAAAAAAAAAAAAATATGTATATATATATATATATATATATATATATATGTCTCAGATCACATTGTTTTCCTGCTTAAAACTTTCCAGTAGCTGGGCATGGTGGCACAAGCCTACAGTGCCAGCTACTCAGGAGGCTGAGACAGGAGGATTGCTTGAGCCCAGAATGTCAAGGCGGCAATGAGCTATGATCGTGTCACCGCACTCCAGCCTGGGTGACTGAATGAGTCCCATCTCAAAAAACAAAAAACAAAAAACAAAAAAAAAAAACCTTCCAGGGTCACAAAATAAAATATAGAACTACTGTATGACCCAGCAATTCCACTTCTGGGTATGTATATGCCCAAAAGAATTGAAAGCAGGGACTCTAACAGATACTTTTACACCCTTGTTCGTAGCAGCATTATTCACAATGGTCAAAAGGTGGAAGCAACAGGTGACTGGATCGACAGATGAATGGACGCACAAAATGTGGTGTATCTACACAATGGGATATTATTCAGCCTTACAAAGGAAGGAATTGGCTGGGCGTGATGGCTCAGCCTGCAATCCCAGCACTTTGGGAAGCCAAGGTGGGTGGATCACCTGAGGTCAGGAGTTCAAGACCATCCTGGCCAACGTGGCAAAACTCCGTCTCTACTAAAAATAAAAAAAATTTGCCGGATGTGGTGACACATGCCTGTAGTCCCAGCTACTCGGGAGGCTGAGGCAGGAGAATCGCTTGAACCTGGGTGGCGGAGGTTGCAGTGAGCCAAGATTGCATCACTGCACTCCAGCCTGGGCAACAGAGCAAGACTCCATCTCAAAAAAAAAAAAAAAAGGAAGGCATTTCTGACACATGCTACAACATGGCTGATCCTTGAGGACATTATACTGAGTAAAATAAGCCAGACATTAAAGGACAAATACTGTATGATTCCACTTCTACGATGTAGCTATGGTCATCAAATTCGTAGAAACAGAAATTAGAATGGTGGCTTCCAGGGACTGGGGGAAGGGAATGGGGAGTTGTTTAATGGGTGTTGAGTTTCAGTTTGGGATGACAAGAAAGTTCTGGAGTTGGATGGTGGTGATGGTTATACAACAGTGTGAATGTACTTAATGACACTTAGCTGTATACTTTAAAAAAAAAAGGTTAAAATGGGCCAGGCGCAGTAGCTCATGCCTGTAATCCCAGCACTTTGGGAGGCCAAGGCAGGCGGATCACCTGAGGTCAGGAGTTTGAGACCAGCCTGGCCAACGTGGTGAAAACCTGTCTCTACTAAAAATACAAAAATTAGCCGGGCATGGTGGTGGGTGCCTGCAACCCCAGCCATACGGGAGGCTGAGGCAGGAGAATCGCTTGAACCCAGGAGTAGGGGTTTGCAGTGAGCTGAGATGGTGCCATTGCACTCTAGCCTAGGTAACAAGAGTGAGACTCCATCTCAAAGAAAAAAAAAAAAGTTCCATGTTAGGTGTATTTTACTACAATTAAAAAAAAAAAAGCCTCTGGGGACCTCCAAATCCCTCCCCGTGGAAGGGGCCCCTGGCCCTTCCCTTCCTCCCAACCTCCTCACCTCCACCCTCCTGCCATCTCCCCAGCCACCTAGCCTCCTCACCCTGTCCCAAGCACCCCAAGCTCCTTCTGGCTCGTGGCAGCCACTGCTGTGCCCTCTGCTGAGAATATCTCCTCTTCACCCTGCTGTGGCTGAATCATTCTTTCAGGTCTCAACTTAAACATCCCCTCTTTAGAGAGGCTTCCCAGACCATCCCATCTAAAGGGTACTTGGTCCCAGCCATTCTGCATCACATTGTCCTGTGCTTTTTTTTCCTTCATAGAATTTAGCAGTGTGGAATGTTCTCAGTTGTTTTCTTAAGGTTTTCATTTCCTCCCACCAGAACATCAGCTTCAGGGGAGCAAGGACTTGTTCTGTTCTCTGCTATATTCCCAACACCTAGAACAGGGCCCGGCCCACAGTAGGCACTCCCTAAACATGCGCTGAATACATAAATGAATGCAGTTACATGCCCGCGCCCACACATCGCAGGACACAGACATGCAGATGAGCTTATGCACATATTCTTTGCTCCTTGCTTGTGGAAGGATGCACATGCTCCCGTGTGGACACCTGCAAACACACATATGTACGTTTGTTTGCGTGTGCATGCAGAGCCCTGAGAGAGGTATGTGCAGGCCTGTACTTAAGCTTCCATCCAGCAAGCATCTGAGTGCTGGCGCACAGGCAGATGTACACATGCCCTCCTCTGCCTAGGATAGCTGTGGAGGAAGGCTCTTCTTGCCTGATGAGGCCAAAAGAGTCCCGGTGGGCCACCCCCTTCTCTCACCTTCTGGATCATGACACTGTAGATGCCTGTGTGCTGGAAGCCACGTGTATAGTAAAGCAGGTTCAGCCAGCCCAGCACCAGCGCAGACACAAGCAGGGGCAGGTACCACTCGATGGCCAGGAAACACAGCACCTGGGACACCACTGTGAGCAGGGCCTGGAACAGGCTGTGTGGGAGCAGAATCCAGGTGGGCTTGCGGGCCACTTGGCTCCCTGAGCCCCCACTGGCCTATGCTGACCAAGGTCCTGACCTCCATCTTAGGCAAGACATTTAACCTCTGTGGGCCTCAGTTCCCTCCCACTGTAAAATGGGCATAATAATAATGATGCCTGACTCATAGAGTGTTTTCAAGGACTAAGTGAAACAGGTATGTGCCGAGGCCTAGTAAATGTCACTATCACCATCTACAGTGATGGGAGCACAAGGGGCCCCAGGCTGGACGGCAGCCCAGACTCCTGGGACTGGCCTGTACACAGATCCCGACTTCCTGGGCCCCGTGTCCTCGCCTCTAAAGCCAACCTGGTGCCTTCTGCCACAACTGCCCCTTCCAGACCTCAGAGACAGTTGAGAGAAGGAGGAGTGAGAACCCACGTACAAGAGGATTTCAAAGTAGCTGTCTATGAACGAGATCCAGATGAACACGTGGCGCCGCCAGAAGTACCACAGCTGCGGAGGAAGGGAGGACAGAGGGCTGTGAAACCTGCTCTCCCGCATGCCCCCTGCTGGCCTGGCTGAGTGGGAGCCTGCCACCCAGGCTAGAGCTAAGTCAGCAGCTTTGGTTTTGGGGGACTCATGAATACTTCTGATAGCTGAGATAGCTTGGGACTTTCTTTCCAGAAAGAGCAGCCACCTAGGCAAGGCCGGGGGGTGCAGGTGAAGAGCCTGTGCACTGCATGCAGGAAGGGGAAGAGCACCTTTCCCTTCCCTTCTCCCTGGCCTCACAGGGAGCACCCATACCCCAGCCAACCTGCGTTTGGTGCCCAAGTTCTGCCCACTCTGCGGAGGTCCCAATGTCTTGGTGTCCAGCCTGTGTCCTGCAGGCTTACAGCATTTCCCACTGAAGAGGCCCTACTGGGGGAAATAGCCTGAACCCCACCTACCTCTGGTCTCTGTGCTCCCCAAGAGGGGAGCTTCCCAGCCGAGGGGCCTGGCTAGGGGCAGGCGCTTCCAGCTCCATTCCTGGGGGAGCAGAGTCTGTACTGCCAAGGAATCAGAGAAGCTATCTGCTACCCCAAGGAACCCCAAAAGCACAGCAGAGGGGTTCCTGGGGACTCAGAAGGCAAGGCCAGAACCTCTGGCCCTCAGCTTCAGTGAGGCTGGTTGCTCTGGGTGGGACTGGGTATTGTCAGTGAGGGGATGCAGCTAACTTTCTCTAAGCCCCCTGAAGCAGAATTCTAGGTTTGCTTCTTGGTAGGAGAAGGGGAGGGGCACTCACCTGGCCCACGAGGAGGTAGATCCCCCCTAGCAGGATAAGGATGTGGCCCGTCAGCAGCATGGAGTTTCCAACCTCCGCTTTCAGGTGAGGGGCGGCCTGCTGAAGACACACTCAGATGAGACCTAGGGCCTTGGGTCCTCTCTCGAACAGCTCACCCTTCAGAGCTGAAGCTGAGGGCCTACTCTGAGCCTGAGCTGTGGAGAGGCTCCTCAGAACGGCATGGGAACATGGGCTCCAGGGAAGGACCCCTGGATCCTGAGAGGCACATTGTGTAGCATTTCAGTGTAGGGTCTGAAGCCAGACTCCCTGGATTCAGATTCCCTCTCCACACCACTTCCATTCTGTGTGACCCTGGGCAAGTTACTTAACCTCTCTGTGCCTCCCTTCCCTCTACTATAAACTGGGGGTGATTATAATTCACCATCTCAAGGGTTTTGGGGCACATTAATTAGTCAACACATGTCCATCACCTAGAATCCTTTTTCACATACAGTGAGCACTCAGCAAATCTTCACTGTATCACCGTTAGTACTGCAGTGCTGGCTCCCATAAGCTTGGGAATGTCACTCCAGCAGCCCATGCCTCAGCACTATTACTGCCCCATCTTCCCCCAGGGTTGTTTCAAGCAGGCCTCCCCCAAGATGTGCCCCCCCAAACCTCACGCCCTTGCCTTCTTCAGGGTAGGCTGATGGTAGGCAACAGCGGTGAAGATGAACATGTAGATCAGATTACACAGGAAGTTTAAGAAGAACTTGGGGATGAGCAGATCCCATTTCGCCTGCAGCAGTTTGTTCAGGGGCTCCAAAACGACCATTCGGTGTCGGTGCTGGGGTGGGGAGGGGAGAGCCATGGGTACACTCAACAAGTGCAAATAGGCTGCCCACTCCATGTCAAGATCAAAGCAAGGGCCCAGGAAATGAGGAGAGAGGACAGGGAGCAGGCTTCCACACCCCAGGAGCCCCAAAGGACCTCACGCCAACCCTCCCAGCTACAGTGTGACTAAGGGGCTTGCCCTCCAAATGAGATGCTGGTTAACAGAGAGGACCCGGATGGTTGCCACGAGGCCCTTGGCATGATCCCCGTCTTGGATGGGACTAGAGTATGGATTGAGTATGGGCCCGGTGGCCATGGTCAGGGTCGTGCCTGCTGGGACATGCAGCCACACCCCCACTGGCACAGGAATGGGGCAGATATGGTCCAGCAGGCAGCCCCAATTTGTGGACCTTGCTGGAAACTCTGCTGGGTCCTCTGCGTGCACCCATGCTCCTGTGGGCTCACCGGGCTCTTGCAATGAAAGGCAATGATCTCCAGCACTGAGTTCTCCTCACAGCTGTCCACAGAAGCCAGGTCATACAGCGACACCCGGACAGGCCCATAGCACCACTCGGTGAACTTTCGGGAAAGGTGGCTCAGTCCTGAAAACTCCCGCTGCAGGATGTGCCTGAAAATCTGCAGGGTGGCCATATGAGCTTGCATTCATGGTCCCTTCCTGGCACTGATCCTGGGCCAAGGCTGGGAAACACCCAGGACTCAGCAGCTGCCCACGGTCTGCAGAGCTGCAGCTGACACGTGCACGTACCCCCATACACGCAGGTCCTTGTTTGTCTAAACTCTTAAACACACACACGCACCCAGCCACATCTGCCCCAGCCTGCCAGCCAGCCTGGCTCTTCCTTCCCCTCCCCTGCCCTGTGGCCTTCCTTGAACTCCTCAAATGGCAGATTGATCCCTAGCCCTGGGGTCCTTGAGGCCCCTGAGATCAGAGTCTACTAGCTGTATCTGTGTGTGCACTTTCGCGGTCAGAATCTAGAATTTTCAACAGACTAGAAAGTGGTCCCTAATCCAAACAGGTTAGGAAGCAGTCTGGTTTCACGCGTGAGGAATGGGAAAGGAGGAACAGATCAGGACACTGCTTTCATAGGCCACACAGCAGTGCCTCTAGACAAGAAAGTGAGGTTCACACACCCCAGGGAGCACTCCAAAAAACTTGGGAGGGCAGCGAAAAAGGGTTAAAACTTCTATTTATGTTTATCGTTTCCTTAATCTTTCAAAAATCTCCACTGTAAGCCCATGAGGCCAGCCCTGGTGAGCTATTGGCAAAAGCTATTTGGAACAGGCCATTGGTAAGCTATCTGGAACAAAGTGGGGGCTGCCTCATGTTTACTCTTCCTACCAGAATAACTTCCAGCTAGTCAAAGCTCTAGGCATTAAAAATGCAGCTGCAGGCTGGGCGTTTCGGCTCATGCCTGTAATCTCAGCACTTTGGGAGGCTGAGGCAGGTGGATCACCAGAGGTCGGGAGTTTGAGACCAGCCTGACCAACATGGAGAAACCCCGTCTCTACTAAAAATACAAAATTAGCCGGGCGTGGTGGCACATGCCTGTAATCCCAGCTACTCGGGAGGCTGAGGCAAGAGAATCGCTTGAACTCCGGAGGCGGAGGTTGCAGTTAGCCGAGATCGCGCCATTGTACTCCAGCCTGGGCAACAAGAGCGAAACTCCATCTCAAAAAAAAAAAAAAAAAAATGCAGCTGCAAAAGTTTGGAAGAAAATATGGGTATGAAGATTATATATATACTATATATAATTATAATGTATAATATAATGTATAATAGTTATAACATATATTATGTACATATAATATGTATTATATATATAAAATCTTGTAGCAGGAATTAGACAATAGCAAAACCATGGAACCTTAAAGGAAAAGATAGTCACACTTGCAGATTATAAAAATTTTTAAATCCTGTATAGCAAAAAAAACATAAAATTCAAAAGACAAATGATGAACTAGGAGAAATTTTACAAGTGCTATGGTAGACAAAATACTAAATTCATTATAAAGTTATCAATAAATATGCAGAAACAGAATAGCAAAATAGGCAAAAGATATAAAAAGGCTATCTCTTAATAAAGAAACACAAACGACTTTTAAAAATTCCCAATGTTTGGCCGGGTGCCATGGCTCACACCTGTAATCCCAGCACTTTGGGAGGCCGAGGTGGGCAGATCACCTGAGGTCAGGAGTTCAAGACCAGCCTGGCCAACATGGTGAAACCCCATCTCTACTAAAAATACAAAAAATTAGCTGGGTGCAGTGGCGCGTGCCTGTAATCCCAGCACTTTGGGAGGCCGAAGCGGGTGGATCACGAGGTCAGGAGTTCAAGACCAGCCTGACCAACATGGTGAAACCCCTCTTTACTGAAAATACAAAAAAAAAATTAGCCAGGCATGGTGGTGGGTGCCTGTAATCCCAGCTACTCAGGGGGCTGAGGCAGGAGAATTGCTTGAACCTGGGAGGCAGAGGTTGCAGTGAGCCGAGATCATGTCACTGCACTCCAGCCTGGGTGACAGAGCGAGGGTCCGTCTCAAAAAAAAAAAAAACAAAATTAGCTGGGTGTGGTGGCACATGCCTGTAATCCCAGCTACTTGGGAGGCTGAGGCAGGAGAATCGCTTGAACCTGGGAAGCAGAGGTTGCGGTGAGCCGAGGTCGCACCATTGCACTCCAGCCTGGGCAACAAGAGCGAAACACCGTCTCAAAAAAAAAAAATCTCAATGTTTTATAATGTAATATATTCAGTAGTTCATATGCAATTTATAAATAAACAGAAATATATCAGAGGTACATACTGAAAATTTTCTTACTAACAGGAGTGTTCCATTGAAAAGCAGAGAAGCCACTGCTCTTCACCACCCCCTGGGTTCTTTCTGCAGAAATTTTGGGATGAGACCTACTGCTTCCTGGAGAGGGGAAGTGGGAAGGGGACAGCCGCTCACCTCGATCTTGCCCTCCTTGGCGGCCAGCTTCAGAGGCGTGAGATCCTGCAGGTTGCGGATGTCCTCAAGCTGCACGGTAGGGCAGAGGCGGGCCCCAGCTTGGAGGAGCCCATCATACATGCTGGTCACCAGTGCAATGTTCTCAGCTGAGTTGTCCGAGATCATCACTAGGGCATGCAGGACTGTGTTGCCCTGGGAGTCAGTGGCCTGCAGGCTGGCGGGCTGGTGTGGGTTCTCCAGGAGGTAGCTTACCACATCCCACTGCTTGGTGCAAGCGGCCAAAGAGAGGGGTAGCTCACCTGCAGGCCAAGAGAGCAGCTTGGGCCCCAGGCCTCCTGCTTTCCATCTGCCTACTCCTCATGCTCCTTGGACAAAAGGCCAGCCCTCCTTGAAACAGGTCAGGCTTCTTTACCACTGAAGGGAGCAGAACAGGGGCCAGCCAACCTGCTGCCTTTTGCTGTCTTCTTTGCCAGAGCCCAGGCATGCTGCCTCTTTATTCAGGCTCTGCCTGGCCAAGTCACATGCCAGTGCTAGCAGCCCCTATTTCTTTCCCTGGGTCTGGGTCTGGGTGCATGCCCGTCTTCTGGCCAGACGAGGATGAAACATCTCTTATGACAAATTAATGCTGGATGTGGTGGCACACACTTGTAGCCCCAGCTCGAGAAGCTAAGGCAGGAGGATTGTTAGAACCCAGGAGTTTGAGGCTGGCCTGGACAAAAGACAAACTGCTTTTGCAGGCAGCCTAGTGGTTAGAAGCAGGGCATCGGGGTCAGAAAAACCTAGGTTTAACTGCCAGCTCTGTCATACACTAACCATGTGACCTTGAACCAGGCCTTACTCTCTCTTTGCCTCGATTTATCCAAGAAAGGCTCACTCACCGAAATAAAAGCAAGTCCCTTGGCCCTTCTGGAAGAAGCGGCCGCAGGCCCGGGCATGCACATTGGCCCCATTCTCCACCAGGAGCTTCACACACTGCAGACTCCTCTTCTCAATGGCGATGTGCAGAGCGCTGTGGCCTCGGTAATAGTCATCTGTGCACTGGGCATTTACCAGGGGCTGAGGATTGCCAGAGTCCCTGTCGATCTGCAGCAGTGGCAGAATGCAGGCATTGACTCCGTCCTTAAGGTTCAGCACAGCCTTCATCAGGCACGTCTTACCTGTGGAGCCCTCTGTGGGAAGAAGGGAGGGGAAGGGGCACAGTGGTGCTGAGACCTGGAGTGGCTGGGCTGCCCGATAGCTCTTATAAGCCCAGCTCAAAGTACCCCTTGGGAGGATTAAAAGAGATGCTACACATAACTGGTGGGAGCACAACCATGTTATAGGCTATTAAGGCTCCAAGTAACAGATAAGAAATACCAACAGACATGACTACAATTTCTGCCCTAGAAACGAAATTTCTTTTTTTTTCTTTTTCTTTTCTTTTCTTTTCTTTTTTTTTTTTTTTTGAGACAGAGTCTTGCTCTGTCACCCAGGCTGGAGTGCAGTGGCGCAATCTTGGCTCACTGCAAGCTCTGCCTCCCAGGTTCACGCCGTTTTCCTGCCTCAGCCTCCCCAGCAGCTGGGACCACAGGCGCACACCGCCACACCCGGCTAATTTTTTTTGTTGTTTTGTTTTGTTTTTTGTTTTCAGCAGAGACGGGTTTTACCGTGTTAGCCAGGATGGTCTCGATCTCCTGATCTCATGATCTGCCCACCTCGGCCTCCCAAAGTGCTGGGATTACAGGCGTGAGCCACTGCGCCCGGCTTAGAAACTAAATTTCTAAGACATAAGTCATCATTCGTGAAATGCTGTCTACAGCAGAACATTCAGAGCAGTATTTGTACATGACTCCACCACTTAATGTCTCTATCTCCTCTGGCAAGTCACGTGGCCTCTCTTAATCTCAGTTTTCGTTACTGTAAAATGGGAATGTTCCAGGATTATTGTAAGGTTCAAAGGGAATAATATAAGGCCAGGCGCAGTGGCTCACGCCTGTAATCCCAACACTTTGGGAGGCCAAGGTGGGCAGATCACGAGGTCGAGTTCCAGACCAGCCTGACCAACATGGTGAAATCCCATCTTTACTAAAAATACAAAAATTAGCCAGGCGCAGTGCTGGGCGCCTGTAATCCCAGCTACTCGGGAGGCTGAGGCAGGAGAATTGCTTGGACCCGGGAGGCAGAGGTTGCAGTGAGCTGAGATCACGCCACTGCACTCCAGCCTGGGTGACAGAGCAAGACTCCGTCTCGGAAAAAAAAAAAAAAAAAATGGCCAGGCGCGGTGGCTCACGCCTGTAATCCCAGCATTTTTGGTAGGCCAAGGCGGGCGGATCACGAAGTCAGGAGATTGAGACCATCCTGGCTAAAACGGTGAAACCCTGTCTCTACTAAAAAAATACAAAAAATTAGCCAGGTGTGGTGGCTGGTGCCTGTAATCCCAGCTGCTCGGGAGGCTGAGGCTGAGGCAGGAGAATGGCATGAGCCCGGGAGGTGGAGTTTTGCAGTGAACTGAGATCGCACCACTGTACTCCAGGCTGGGCAACAGAGCAAGACTCCGTCTCCAAAAAAAAAAAGGGGAATAATATAAACAAAGTGGATAGCACACAGAGGGCCTGGCACACAGCTAGTTGAAGCCAAAAACTACGAACAACCTAAAATGGCCATCGATAAGTAAGGAATTGGTTAACTAAATGATGATAAGGACACAAGGGAAAACTCACTCTGCAGTTGTCAAAGTGACTAAGTTAGACATGTACTGAAATGGAAAGTGCTACAAGATGTATTAAGTGGAGGAAAAGCACGTTACAAATTAGTATATGTGTCAAGACCCCATTTATGTAAATATATACTGATGTATTAAGAAAGTCTGGATAGGCCCTGCGCGGTGGCTCACACCTGTAATCCCAGCACTCTGGGGGGCCAAGGTGGAAGGATCACTGGAGCCCAGGAGTTTGAGGCCAGCCTGGGCAACATGGCAAAACCCCATCTCTCCAAAAATAAAAAAGAAGAAAGAAAGAAAGTCTGAACAGATGCATTCTCAAACAATTAATTGGAGCCCAGGATGAGAGACTGTGTTTACCCTTGGCTCTATATGTTTCCTTACTGTTTGAATCTTCTAGAGTACTCATGTTATTTTTCTGATCAGCCCAAACAATACAGATATTTAGATTTTGGGCAAAGAGTGCTTTGAGATGGGTTAAGTATATGGTATGTGCATTATATATTATATCTCAACAACACTGTTATTAAAAAAGATAAAAAAAGATTGCTTTGGGTTTCCATTCAGCCACTGCAATGGGCTAGGGGTGACAGAGGTAGCCAGGAGGCCTGAGGGGTGGGTGGAAGTGGGAGGCACAGCCAAGACTGACAGGAGGCCATCCTTGATTAACTCTGTCCACAGGGCCCCCCAGCCATCCTTCCAGTGGGAGGGCTGCTGAGAACACTCACTCCTCAGCTCCTGACCAGGGATCAAGCCCACACAGCCCACCTAACTATCAGCTCACAGGATGCCTAGCCTTGGATCCACAGGGCAGGGTCTACCTGTGTATTCCGAGTCGGTGAGGTACTTGCTGGTCTTGCTCAGGTACTCTGGAAGTCCAGCCAGATCCTCGGGGACACCCCGGGAGACCGCATTGAAGAGCCGATCTCGGTCAAATCGGTTTGGATCCGGCTGACTGTGGAGGATGTGGTTTGTGACTCATGCTGGAGAAGAACCACAGGCCCCCCCAAAAGCCCTCCATCCCAGGGAGCCCTTTCAGGGAGTCCTGTACACACTGCACACCCCTCAGGCCCAGGAGCCCAGTGAGAGCCCTTCTGAGGGCCTCTATCCTCCTAGAGCCATCCTAGGGGACCCCGGGAGGAGGAAAAGGGGCCTGTCCAGGCACTAAGCTGCTTCATCCCCATGACGCCAGTCATCACAGACACTTTTCAGCATCAGGTGCTTGTCATGTGCCAGGTGCCTTGATGTACCATCTCTCAACAGCCTCGATATCCCACTGGGTCCCCTTCAGCACACACCACTTGTGGTGGCTCTTGAGCTTGGGGCTGGATCTGGATAGGGCTGTGGGAGGTCCCCGCAGACTCACAGTGGCTGCATGCATCACTGCCTTCAAAGAAAGTATGCAGAAAATCTCCCTTCTCCTCTTAGAAACCATCTATTAACTACAGAATATTCTGTGCCTTTCATCTTCACTTCAGCCCTGCTGGTCAGAAACTACTCATTTCTCCATTAGATAAACAAGGAGGTCATGTAACTTGCCAAAGTCACACAGCGCCAAACTGGGAATCTCAGCAGGGCTGTTTAACTTTAGACCCTGACTCTGAATCCCCAGAGAGATTCTAGGCTTGGCAGCAAGAAATTTCCCAGAAACAGAGCATTACCTGGGCCCAACGCTGGGCCCAATGTTGAAACATATCAGACACCACCAAGAAGGCACACCTAATGAGAAATCTCTCCCACAGACCCCGGAAGGGATCTGGTAGCTTGTCAGAATCTAGAATCTAGCAGCGTCTGGTGACTGGAAGTGGGAAGGGCATGAGTCATTCCCTCCTGGGCTGTGTTACTAATCACAGGGGCCAACTTGCCTCTGGGGCTTCTGGTACCACCACCAGCAGATATGCGAAGACAAAGAACAGGGGGTGCTATTTGATGATTTGTAGACCCTCAGGTCCCAGCTTAATGTCTCTTGTGGAATGGGTCAACCAAGTAAAGGTTGGTGACAAGGTGATTGTTGGGATCCGTCACTTTTTTTTTTTTTTTGGAGACAGAGTCACACTGACACCCAGGCTGGAGTATGGTGGCATAATCTCTGCTCACTGCAACCTCTGCCTCCTTGAATCAGGTGGGGATTTCAAGGGTAGACTTTTTAAGCCAACAGCTATGACTGTAATTACAGCCAGCCCTCCTTTGTCAGCACCAGGAAGCCACACATGACCATGAGGGCTCTATCTGCTGCTGACAGGAGCCCTGTGGACAGTCTGGCTGGCAGAAGTGGCCATTTGGACAAAGAACTTTCTGTCACCAGGGTGGCATCATGGTCCTGGGGTAGGGAAGCCCATTGAGGGCACAGATTGAGGTACTGAAAGCATCAAGGGCCCGTCCTGCCTGTGTCGGGCAGGCTCCACAGCTCCCAGAATCTCCTCATGCATCCTCCCCTACCCTGGTGCTGAATCTGACCACTGTCCTCCAGCACAAACAGGAAGCAGCTCTAGCCTGCGAGGCCAAAGCTGGTGGCTGTACCTCAAGCATGAGAAGGGAAGAAGGGGCTTCTGTGGCAGAGTCTAGCCTGGCCCATGAGGATTCTCCAGCCTCACTGGGCAGGCCCCGCCCCCGGGCAGGGAAGTAGGGGGTGCCAAATGCAGCAGGACTGGAAGTGGGACTCTCAGGAATGTGGTGCTCACACAGTCTGAATTGGTGGAAAGACCACAGGAAAATCAAAGTGCAGATGACTCCAAGCAGAAGCCTGTCATCCCCAATCCCACAGTTCACGTCCCCTGAGTGACAGGCTCAGTCTTGCAGAACTGAGGAGAGCCTGGGACATTTCCAGATGTCCTTGATTCTCACTGGATGGAGTGTGGATCCTGCTGCCTTCCCCAACAGGGACCATGACAGGGGTGGGAGTTGGCATGAACAGGGGGATTTGAGGGTCAGTTGAGGACTTAGAGCTCAAGAATGTATCTCATGAAGAACATGACCTCAGAAGGCAGAAGGCCAAGAATGGGGAAGCCTCTGGAAAGAGCAATGCCAGATGGCAGAGCAGAGGCAGCCTGTCGGGCCCAGGAGCCACCAGGGCCAGACTGAGGACTCCACAGGCTGTGGGAAGGGGCACTGGTGCTGGACTAGTCAATGAGTCTCACTCCGGGTGCTCTGCTGGAGCTGGGCAGGGGGCCCCCTTTGCCCTGCCCCCACTTGCTGTCTCACCTGGCACCTGTTCCCTTTCGGTAGTTGAGGTTGACTCTTATCTGAGGGGCGAATTTCCGGTCCTCGCCCTGGAACTGTGACTCCATGGGAGGCAGCCCGCTCCCAAAATCCAGCTTTCCTCTGTCCGCCTCAGAGCCATCTTCTTGGCCTCCATCTAATGTCTCCAACCTGAAAACTGGAGAGCTGGAGGGTGAGGTCATCCTAGGAGGAGGAGGCTGCTCGGTCCAGCCAGGACCTCTGTGCAGATGGAGATGTCAAGGGTCCTGTCTTCCTCCCAGCTGCGCGTCGGTGTTGGCCTGACTGGAGCCTGCAAAAGGAGGTATTAGGTTAGTGCAAAAGGCTGGGCGTGGTGGCTGGGTGTAATCCCAGCACTTTGGGAGGCTGAGGCTGGCTGGTCAGCTGTTAGAGACCAGCCTGACCAACATGGTGAAACCCCATCTCCACTAAAAAAAATACAAAAATTAGCTGGGCATGGTGGCTTGTGCCTGTAATCCCAGCTACTAGGGAGGGTGAGGCAGGAGAATTGCTTAAACCCGGAAGCTAAGATGGCACCACTGCACTCCAGCCTGGGCAACAGAGCAAGACTCTGTCTCAAAAAAAAAAAAAAAAAAAATTGCGGTTTTTGCCATTACTTCTCATTACTTCTAATGGCAAAAATGCCAAGTGCAAGTAGGTCCACCCACTGTGTGGGAGCCCAGCCCCAATGCAGGGGAAGTGGGCCAGGAGGGATGAGCAGCAGGGGTGAGGAGAGGGAGGGAGGCCTGTGGGGTGAGGAACAGGGAACCAATAGGGCCACCCTTTTGATGTTGTCCCCCAGGAAGAGCCATGACTGTCCCCGACTTTTCCTCTGGGACTTCCTGGAATCTGAGGGGTCACAACCCCTGTTACCATTTACATTAACAGCACAACCCTTTCTTTACACAACGTCTTGCCTGGCAGCCAATATTCCAACAGATAAAAGTGCGATGACTGGGATGGGGCCAGTCACTCAACCCCTCGCCAAAGAAGGGGAGCTCTAAGAAGAAATAACTGGGAAAACCACTAGACTATCAAACCCTTCATTTTGCTGCCAAGACTACTAAGGCTTAGAAAGGGGGAGTGGCTTTCCCAAGGTCGCCAGTTGTTGGCAGAGCCGGATCTGACACCATGCGTCTACCATGACGTTCCTCTTCCGTTTTCAAAGCCTTTCAGGGTCTGTCTATATTTTCAGTCTGATTCAGCTCTGAAGGCATCGAATACTACCTTTGTGTGCCTCAGGGCCTCTGGGGGCTTCACGAAGGGAGGGAGGCCCCTAGCCTGTGGCCCAGGCTCTCTCCACCACGCTGCCTCAGGCCCTAGGCTGGCCTAGGAAGCTCAGCAAACAGCACAATCTCACCCTCACAGGAAAACTGAAACCACAGCCTCCATCACTTGGCAAGGGTGGGGCCTCGGTCAGGGTTGGGGAACCCTCATGGGCCCAGTGAGCAGGATCAGAAAGAAGAAGGAGTCAAAGAGTGGTAAGGAGACAGAAGGGTGGAGAAGGGGGCAGGGGGCAGGGGGCAGAGAGCAGAGAGGAGCGGCACCAGCAGAGGGAAGTGGAGAGGGTAGGCTGGGACCAGGCCCTGGGGACCCGGGTGGGGTATTTTCCCATGGAAACATGGGAGGTGGGGAGCTGCCTGGCTGCCTCAGTTTGCAGATGTGACCCACCACCCTTTCTACACACACTGGGGCAGAAGGGTGCTCTTTCCGTTTCATACCGTTTAGCCCATCTGTGTCCCCAACCAAACCCTGGCCCATTCCTCCAGCCCTAGACTCCCAAGCCCCAGCAGCAACAGTTGTCTGTCCAGCCCCCACCCCACCTCCTGGGACCCTCACCCACCCTGGCAGCAGAGGAAGGGGTGTGGAGGTCCAGGGAGAGGGTGCTGGAGCCCCACACAGACCCTGGCTCCAGGCTGTAGAAGCCAGGAGCCCACTAGGCCTTCCCCACCCCATCATTCACTGTCAGGCTTGGAGACCCGGCCCCCTCCAACGTCCCCAGCATTGCCCACCGACTTACCCCGCAGGCTGAGGCCAGGGCGTGGCGGCTGCTGGGATCCCGGAGCTTCTCAGTAGCAGGGGCTGCGGGAGGAAGTGAAGCCGGGAGGGGCTGCCGGCGCTGACAGCAGAGGAGCGGCGGAACCTCCCTCCCCAGCTCTGAGCACTAAGCTCCAGCAAGCAGGTTCTGGTCTCTCGGTCACCCTCAGCCCACCTGGCCAGCCGGCACGGTGGAGAACGGGAGCTTAACTCTCCCCTGTCAGGACAGGCTAGCCACCAGAGACTGACCATCTGGACACACCCTGCTGCGAATCAGGCTCCACCCCCACCCCTCCCCCTTCTAGCCACTAAGGTCTCAGGTGGGGGTGGGTGACACTCAGAGGCAGCCCTTGGATGCTGGGGACTTGCCACCCATGGAAGCTGCCATGGATGGGGGATTCTTCCCCAAGTCCACTGACAGCTATCTCCTCCCCTTCTCCACCACATGCCTTCCAAGCAGCCGTGTGGCCCATAAATGGGCCTGAGTTGACCCATGGCAGGGGAGAAAGCTGATGTGGACAGCCCCCAGGGAGAGGCTCAGCCCAGCAGATGCCCCTGGGAACACAGTCCCACCCACCCATCCACCCAGCAGTTGGGGGACTTTCCCACCTCCCAGGACCTTCTCCCAGCCTCCTGACCCCAGGACTCTGATGGCTAAAGTTCCCCTAAAGGTGCTCCAAGCACCAGCCAGCAGGTGGAGACAAGGAGGTGGGCACGCACTGCTAAAATCAGACCTCACCACCAACGGGGCCCTGGTCTGGACTCAGTCTTGGAGCTTGGGGACCCAACCACCACCGAAGTAGCCCTAGGAATCTCTCTCCCTCACTCCCAAAACCTGGCATCAGCTCTTCCTCCAAAATTTGTCTTTCTGAGTGGTCCAAGCCACTATCACTGCTCCCCTGGGCAACTGCAGCCACCTCCAAACTGGTCTCCCTGCTTCATTCTTGCCCCACACTCATAATCCATTTCTCCTTATAGCAACTGAAGTGACCTTTTAAAAATGGGAACCAGGGCCGGGCGCAGTGGCTCACACCTGTAATCCCAGCACTTTGGGAGGCCGAGGTGCATGGATCACTTGAGGTCAGGAGTTCAAGACCAGCCTGGCTAACATGGCAAAACCCCATCTCTACTAAAAATACAAATATTAGCTGGATATGGTGGTGGGCACCTGTAATCTCAGCTACTTGGGAGGCTGACGCAGGAGAATCGCTTGAACCTGGGAGGCGGAAGTTGCAGTGAGCTGAGATTGTGCCACTGCACACCAGCCTGGACAACAGAGCGAGACTCTGTGTCAAAAAAGAAAAAAAAAGAAAACCAGGTCACCTAACGCCTTGACTTAATCACAAAACCTCACCCATGGTGCTTGGAATAAAATGCAAACTCCATACCATGAGCCCTCAAAGTCCAGATGCCCTTCTCCATCGCTATCCGTCACTCATGGCAACCCTGTCATGCACATTACACTCTAGGCCTGCGCCATCCAATAAGATAGTCACTAGCCACAATGACTGTTTAGATTTAAATCAATTATAATAGGCCTCACGCTTGTAATCCCAGCACTTTGGGAAGCTGAGGTGGGTGGATCACCTGAGGTCAGGAGTTCCAGACCTGCCTGACCAACATAGTGAAACCCCATCTCTACTAAAAATACAAAATTAGTCCAGGCGCGGTGGCTCATACCTGTAATCCCAGCACTTTGGGAAGCCAAGGTAGGTGGATCACTTGAGGTGAGGAATTCGAGACCAGCCTGGCCAATATGGCAAAACCCCATTTCTCCTAAAAATAAAAAAAAATAGCCAGGCGTAGTGGCACGTGCCTGTAATCCCAGCTACTTGGGAGGCTGAGGCAGGAGAATCGCTTAAACCTGGGAGGCAGAGCTTGCAGTGAGCCAAGATTGTGCCATTGCACTCCAGCCTGGACAACAAGAGGGAAACTCTGTCTCAAAAATAAATACATAATAAAATAACAGTAAACATTCAGTTCTGCTGTCCCATTAGCCACATTTTAAATGCTCAGTTGGCACATGTGGCTAGTGGCTACCATATCGGATAGCACACAGATGACAAATTTTTCTTTTTTTCTTTCTTTTTTTTTTTTTTTTCTGAGACGGAGTTTCATTCTTGTTGCCCAGGCTGGAGTGTAATGGCACGATCTCAGCTCGCCGCAACCTCCGCCTCCTAGGTTCAAGTGATTCTCCTGCCTCAGCCTCCTGAGTAGCTGTGATTACAGGCATGCACCACCATGTCTGGCTAATTTTGTATTTTTAGTAGAGACGGGGTTTCTCTATGTTGGTCAGGCTGGTCTCAAACTCCCGACCTCAGGAGCTCCGCCCACCTCAGCCTCCCAAAGTGCTGGGATTACAGGCGTGAGCCACCGTGCCAGCCTGAGACATTTTTCATAAACATAGAGTTCTATTAGACAGCACTGCTCTAGACATTCTGAACACATTTCAGTCTCCCCAGTATGCCATGCCTCTTCTGTTCCACCTGCCAGGAACACACACACACACACACACACACACACACACTGCTCTTGATCTGATCTAGCCAACTCCTGCTCATCCATCATCTCTCAATTTAAGCATCACTTCCTTTAGATAGCCTTTCCTAGACCCTGGACTGGGCTGGGGATCGCCACTATGTGCTCCCATGACACTCTGTACTTCCCCCACATCTCATTATCCGTTACTGTAATATTTATTATATTGTCTGGCTTCACTTTTTTTTTTTTTTTGAGACGGAGTCTCATTCTGTTGCCCAGGCTGGAGCGCAGTGGCATGATCTTGGCTCACTGCAACCTCCACCTCCCAGATTCAAGTGATTCTCCTGCCTCAGCCTCCCCAGTAGCTAGGATTACAGGCACGCGCCACGACACCCGGCTAACTTTTGTATTTTTAGTAGAGACAGGGTTTCACCATGTTGGCCAGGCTGGTCTCGAACTCCTGACCTCAAGTGATCCGGCCACCTCCGCCTCCCAAAGTGCTGAGATTACAGGCATGAGCCACTGTCCCCGCCTTCACCTTTAACAATAAAAAATACTTACGGAGCACTCACTATGCACCAGACACTGTGCTAAGCGCTCAACATGTAACTCCCAGAGCAACCTTATTTCACAGACAAGAAAACTGAGCATGGGTAAGGCCAAGGCCACAAGGCTGGGAGGTGAGAAAGCAAGGATTCAAGTCCAGGGCCACAGGCTTACCACCATACTTTCCAAGGGGTGAGATCTTGCTTTGTTGCTGTATCCCCAGCAACCAGCACAGTGCCTGGCATCCAAGTGGTGCTCAAGAAGGCTTTGAATGACAGGATGGCTTATAATCATAGTGCAGAGGGCACTGCTGTGCTGTTGAGAAAAAAGTGAAAAGTGGACAACCTGAAGTCCTCCAGAGCCATCACCACATCCGGTGAAAATGACAATTGGGTAGACAGATAACCTTAATTGCAAATTCTGGTTACAAAAAGGCCTTGGATTGTAGCCATCAGGGAAAGGCAAATCAAAAGCACAATGTGGTCCCACTTCACACTACTAACATAGCTATTATAAAAAGACATGTAACAACAAAGTGTTGGCAAGGGTGTGGAGAAATTGGACCTGTCCTACACTCCTGGGAGATTGTAAAATGGTGCAACTACTTTGGAAAACAGTCCGGCTGCTCCTCAAAAGATTAAACATAGAGAGCTGGGCGCGGTGGTTCACTCCTGTAATCCCAGCATGTTGGGAGGCCGAGGTGAGTGGATCATCTGAGGTCAGGCATTTGAGACCAGCCTGGCCAACATGGCGAAAACCCTCCTCTATCAAAAATGAAAAAATTAGGCCGGGTGCGGTGGCTCAGGCCTGTAATCCCAGCACTTTGGGCAGCCGAGGCAGGCGCATCACCTGAGGTCAGGAGTTCGAGAGCAGCCTGGCCAACATGGCAAAACCTTGTTTCTACTAAAAATGCAAAAATTAGCCAGGCATGGTGGTGGACGCCTGTAATCCCAGTTACTCCAGAGGCTGAGGAAGGAGAATCACTTGAACCCGGGAGGCAGAGGTTGCAGTGAGCTGAGATCGCCCCATTGCACTCCAGCCTGGGCGACAGAGCAAGAGTCTGTCTCAAAAAAAAAAAAAAAAAAAAAAATTAGCAGGGCATGGTGGCACATGCCTATAATCCCAGCTACTGGGGAGGCTGAGGCAGGAGAATTGCTTGAACCTGGATGGTGGAGGTTGCAGTGAGCTGAGATCCTGCCATTGCACTGCAGCCTGGACAACAGAGCAAGGCTGTCTCAAAAAAAAAAAAAAAAAAAAGGGCCAGGCGCGGTGGCTCACACCTGTAATCCCAACATTTTGGGAGGCCAAGGCGGGTGGATCACGAGGTCAGGAGATCGAGACCATCCTGGCTAACATGGTGAAACCCTGTTTCTACTAAAAATACAAAAAAAAATTAGCCGGGCGTGGTGGCGGGCGCCTGTAGTCCCAGCTACTTGGGAGGCTGAGGCGGGAGAATAGCATAAACCTGGGAGGCGGAGCTTGCAGTGAGCCGAGATAGTGCCACCGCTGCACTCCAGCCTGGGCAACAGAGTGAGACTCTGTCTCAAAAAAAAAAAAATAAAATAAACATAGTTACCATACGACCCAGCAATTCCACTCCTAGGTATGTACTCAAAGAAATGGAAACATATGTCCATACACACTTGTACATGAATGTTTACAGCAGCATTATTCATAATAACCAAATAGAAACACCCCAAATGATGATTAACTGATGACGAATGGATACATAAAATGTGGCATATCCATTTAATGGAATATTATTTGGCCACAAAAAGAGAAATTAAGTACTGATGTACACTATAGCATGGAAGAAACTTGAAAAATTAGGTTAAATGAAAGAAGTCAGTCACAAAAATCACACACTGCATGATTCCATTTATTTATTTTTATTTTTATTACATCCTCAGATAAGGGACACGTCAAACTGATAAGAACAGATACTACACTTGATTTTAGCTGAAAGGTCAAGAAGTAATCTGCGTGATTCCATTTATATGAAATATCCAAAACAGGGAACTGTAAAGTGGTTGTCTAGGGCAAGGGGATGTTGGGGGCGAGTGTAGAAAGGAGGACTGACTGCTAAAAGGTATGAGACTTCTTTTTTTATTTTTTTGAGACAGTGTCTCATTCCATCGCCCAGGCTGGAGTGCCGTGGCACGTGACTGCGGCTCACTGCAGCCTCGACTTCCCCAGGCTCGGGGAATCCTCCTGCCTTGACCTCCCAAGTAGCTACAGGCACATGCCACTACACCTGGGTCTTTTTTTTTTTCTTTTTTTTTTTTTTGTATTTTTTCTAAAGGCAGGTTTTCACTATATTGCCTAGGCTGGTCTCAGACTTCTAGACTCAAGCCATCTACCTTAGCCTCCCAAAGTGCTGGGATTACAGGCGTGAGCCAATGCACCCAGCTCAGGTATGATGCTTCTTTTGCGGGAGATAAAATGTTCTAAAGTTGATTGTGATGACAGCTGTGCAACTCTGTGAATTACACTAAAAGACCAATGAAATGTACACTTTATATTTGTGAATTGTATGTGAATTATATCTTTGTTTTAAAAAGTCCCCTGTGTAGGGAAGAATGCCTGTGTTTTTAGTGGGAAGTGAATCAAGCAGGGAAGCAAGACTTCCTCAATCTGAATACCACTGGATTCATATTTCAAGAAGCTTCACAAATTAGCCAGGCATGGCGGCGTGCACCTGTAGTCCCAGCTACTCTGGAGGCTGAGGTAAGAGAATTGCTTGAACCTGGGAGGCAGAGGTTGCAGTGAGCCGAGATTGCGCCACTGCAGTCCAGCCTGGGAGATAGTGCCAGACTCCGACTCCATTAAAAGAAACGAAAAAAACTTTGGGAGGCCGAGGTGGGCGGATCACGAGGTCAGGAGATCGAGACCATCCTGGCTAACACGGTGAAACACCGTCTCTACTAAAAATACAAAAAATCAGCGGGCGCCTGTAGTCCCAGCTACTGGGGAGGCTGAGGCAGGAGAATGGCGTGAACCCAGGAGGCGGAGCTTGCAGTGAGCCGAGATCATGCCACTGCACTCCGGCCTGGGCAACAGGGCCAGACTCCGTCTCAAAAAAAAAAAGAAACCAAAAAAAAAAAGAAGCCTCACTCAGTCCAGTGTCCGCCTAACGAAAATCTACCCCAAGCAGGCTTTATACCCTATCTTTCCTATTGTGCTTCATTTCACTTTGTAACTTTTTATAAATGTTTCTTTTATTTGAATTTATTTTCAGATAGATTTTTAATAAGAGCAAAGAGAGGTCACCAAAATATGTAGCAGATGTGTCCTCCGGAGCAGGGAACTAGAGGTCAGGGATGGGAAGGCACATAAGGTGCATCCTTTGTACTATTTGAAATTTTTTTATTTTTTTATTTTTTATTTTTATTATTATTTTTTGAGACGGAGTTTTTGCTCATCGCCCAGCTGGAGTGCAGTGGTGCGATCTCGGCTCACTGCAACCTCTGCCTCCCAGGTTCAAGCGATTCTCCTGCCTCAGCCTCCCGAGTAGCTGGGATTACAGGCGCCCGCCACCACGCTTGGCTGATTTTTTGTATTTTTAGTAGAGACAGCGTTTCGCCATGTTGGGCAGGCTGGTCTCGAACTCCTGAGCTCAGGTGATCCACCCACCTCGACCTCCCAAAGTGCTGAGATTACAGGTGTGAGCCATCGCGCCCGGTCTTTTTTTTTTTTTTTGAGACGGAGTTTCACTCTTGTTGCTCAGGCTGGAGTGCAATAGCAGGATCTCAGTTCACCGCAATCTCCGCCTCCTGGGTTCAAGTGATTCTCCTGCCTCAGCCTCCCGAGTAGCTGAGATTACAAGCATGTGCCACCATGCCCGGCTAATTTTGTATTTTTAGTAGAGATGGGGTTTCCCCATATTGGTCAGGCTGGTCTCGACCTCCCGACCTCAGGTGATCCGCCCGCCTGGGCCTCCCAAAGTGCTGGGATTACTGGCATGAGCCACCGCGCCCTGCCTGTTTGAAATTTTTGCCACTGGCTTTAAAAAATAAAATTGGCATCTCTTTTAGATGTAGAAAAATATCCAACTCACATGTGCAAGACATGTCTAAAGCCTGTGCATAATATAAATTAAAAAAAGAGTTGGGAGAGAGCATTTCAGGGTCTGGAAGGTGGAAACTGCCCTGGCCTTAAAAGTAAAAAAAGATGGGACACTTGAGGGTGCTGGGGGTAGGGGCTGGAGCGGTGTAGACAAGCCAGGGCCTGGACCTGCAGCCTTTGCTTCTCTTTGTACTAATTCCGAAACTTGGCCCCAAGCCAGGGCTGGGGCTATGTCTAACTGGCCAGATGAAGCTTCCCTGAGAAGATTGTGTCTGAATCTCACAGAAAAGAAATACGAATAAGGCAGTTTAGCAGGCAGCACAGGCTTCCTGGAGCAAGGAAGACTGAGGCAGCGGAGAAAAAAAAAAATGCTAGCTGGTCCTCAAACAGGGCCAGAGAGGACCAAAGGGGACCAGACACCTCCTGGAGGGCAAGGGGACCAGCTGGCTGGGCACAGCCTGCCCAGCCTGAGATAATTTCTCACGCAAAGCATGGCCCCTTCCCATACCGCCCCAGGGAGCCCCAGAGGCCACAGCTCAGCCAGGCCCGGACGTTCCGTCTCTCCCAGGACCCAGAATAGCTACAGCCAGGTCTTGGCCAAATCTGGGAGCCCAGCCCCAAGCCCCTACCCCTCTGGGGAATTTCCCCAATTTCCGCAGGCACAGGATGCATTCCCAACCGCCTCTGCCTCCCCACCCCTCACGCTTCCACCTGCCTCCCACCGCACCTCCTCCTCCCCCACCACTGACCCCTCCAGCCTTCAACTCCTCCACCCCTTACCCCCCAACCTGCCTCCCACCCCATATCCGCCTCCCCTACCCCTCACCCCCACCTGCCTCCCACCCCACCTCTGCCTCCTCCACCCCTCACCCCACTACCCCTCACCCCCACCTCCCTCCCACCCTCACCTCTGCCTCCTCCACCCCTCATCCCCCGACCCCTCACCCTCATCTGCCTCACCCCTCCTCCGGCTCCTCCACCCCTCACCCCCCCACCCCTCACCCCCATCTCCCTCCCACCCTTGCCTCTGCCTCCCCTACCCCTCACTTCGCTACTTTCTTCTCATCCCACCTCAGCCACGCCTCCCACCCTCGCCTCTCCACGCCCTTCCATCCCACTTCAGCCGCGCCTCCCACCCCTCACACCCCGACCTGCCTCAGCCGCGCCCCCTACCCCGTCCCTCGGGTAGTAGGCTCCACCGCGGTTCTGCTAAGACTCCCACCGCGACCCCAGTACCTCTCGCTACCGAGCTTCAGGCGCATCCCCGCCCCCCGCCCAACTAACTACCCAGAATCCTGGGCCCCCTCCCACTGCGCCTCGGCCGCGTCCCCAGCGCACGTTCCCTGCTCTTTCCCCTCTCGCTTCCCCACGAATCCCGCGAGTCCCCTGCCCTCCTGTCTGACGTAGGCATCGGTCCCCCTCCCGGACACCCCCTCCTGGGACAGGCCTGGGACCCGCCTCCGCAGTCGCTTCGGCGGATCCCGGGTCGGGGGCGGGAACGGAAGGACCTTCCTTTGGACTCCAGCTTCGCCCTCCTCATGCGCCACTCCCTTCCCCAAGTCACAGAGCTGGACTGTAAGGGTGTCAGAGCCTGTGGGCTCCACTCCCCTGCCCTCCAAAGGAACTGGAGGATGCAGGCGGACGGCGGGACCACAGCATTTCCCTCCGGCTTGGAGGGCGGAGGCCGACCCGGGAGCGCGCTCTGGAGCGGTGAGCCAGGCGCCTTGGGACGCTTTCTTTCGAGGCAGGGTCTTGCTCCGTTGCCCAGGCTGGAGTGCAGCGGCCCCATCACGGCTCACTGCAGCCTCCATCTCCCGGGCTCAAGCGATCCTCCTGCCTCAGCCTCCAGTTAGCTGGGACAACAGGCGCGCGCCACTATGTCTGGCTTATTTATTTATTTATTTATTTATTTATTTATTTATTTATTTATTTTGAGACGGAGTCTCGCTCTGCCCAGGCTGGAGTGCAGTGGCATGATCTCGGCTCACTGCAGCCTCCACCTCCCGGGTTCAAGAAATTCTCCTGCCTCAGCCTCCCGAGTAGCTGGGATTACAGGTGCCCACCACCACACCTGGCTAGTTTTTGAATTTTTAGTAGAGACCAGATTCCACCATGTTGGCCAGGCTAATCTCGAACTCCTGACCTCAGTGATCTGCCGGCCTTGGCCTCTCAAAATGTTGAGATTACAGGCGTGAGCCACCTCTGCAGGCCAACACTCTTTCTTTCTTTCTTTCTTTCTTTCTTTCTTTCTTTCTTTCTTTCTTTCCTTCTTTCTTTTTTTCGTGAGCCATGGCGGCCAACTCTTTCCTTCCTTCCTTTCTTTCTTCCTTCCTTTCTCTTTCCTTTCTTTCTTTCTTTTTCTTTCTTTCTTTCTTCTTTCTTCCTTCCTTCCTTCCCTTCCCTCCCTCCCTCCCTCCCTTCCTTCCTTCCCTTCTTTTCTTTCTTTCTTTCTCTCTCTCTTTCTTTCTTTTTATTAATTTTTTTGGAGACGGAGTCTTGCTCTGTTGCCCAGGCTGGAGTGCAGTGGTGCAATCTCGGCTCACTGCAAGCTCCGCCTCCGGGGTTCGCGCCATTCTCCTGCCTCGGCCTCCCGAGTAGCTGGGACTATAGGTGCCCGCCACCACGCCTGGCTAATTTTTCGTATTTTTAGTAGAGACGGGGTTTCACCGTGTTAGCCAGGATGGTCTCGCTCTTCTGACCTCGTGATCCGCCCACCTCGGCCTCTCAAAGTGCTGGGATTACAGGCGTGAGCCACCGCGCCCGGCAGCACCATAATTAACATATAGTGAATTTCCATCACCCCAAAATGTGTTCTGGTGCGCGGTGGCTCACACCTGTAATCCCAGTACTTTGGGAGGCCGAGGCCGGTGGATCATCTAAGGTCAGGAGTTCGAAACCAGCCTGACCTACATGGTGAAACCCCATCTCCACTAAATAGAAAAAATTAGCCGGGAGTGGTGGCACACACCTGTAATCCCAGCTACTTGGAAGGCTGAGGCAGGAGAATCGCTAGAACCCGTGAGGCGGAGGTTACAGTGAGCCGAGATCAGGCCACTGCACTCCAGTCTCGGTGACAAGAGTGAGACAACGTCTCAAAAAAATAAAAAAGTGCCCTGGTGCCCCTTTGCACCCTCCTCACCTGCCGCCAGTCTCTGATAATCACTAATCTGATTTCGATCCTTGCACCCCTGGCTGTGTCTCCACGGGAGTGGAGTTCCGTGATGCGCACCTGTACCCCTGGCTCCTTTGAAGGGACTGTTTCTTATTCTTGCTGCAGTTGCCGTTGGCAGTGTCTGACCTGCCTCCCAGACCTGTAGCCTTTTCTTTTATGGAATGAGACCACCACTTCTCCTGTTGTCCTTCCCAGCTTCTCCCCCACCTCCCCTTTTCCCTAGTTTATAAGACAGGAGAAAAGGGAGAAAGCAAAAAGTTGGAAAGAAACAGAAGTAAGATAAATAGCTAGACGACCTTGGCGCCACCACCTGGCCCTGGTGGTTAAAATAATAATAATAATATTAAACCCTGACCAAAACTACTGGTGTTATCTGTAAATTCCAGACATTATATGAGAAAGCACTGTAAAACTTTTTGTTCTGTTAGCTGATGTATGTAGCCCCCAGTTACGTTCCTCACGCTTACTTGATCTATCATGACCCTTTCATGTGGACCCCCTAGAGTTGTAAGCCCTTAAAAGGGCTAGAATTTCTTTTTTGGGGAGCTTGGCTCTTAAGACGCGAGTCTGCTGACGCTCCTGGCCGAATAAAAACCTCTTCCTTCTTTAATCTGGCGTCTGAGGAGTTTTGTCTGTGGCTCGTCCTGCTACACTTCAAAATTTTAGACGGAGTCTCTCTCTGTCATCCAGGCTGTAGTGCAGTGGCGCAATCACCTCTCACTGCAGCCTCCGCCTTCTGCCAGACTCACAGACTTTAAGGAAAGTTTATTGCTGCTGCTTGGGGGAAAAGGAGAGTGGGCAAGAATGTTTTGCGGAGATGACACATTGGCTAAAGAACCAGGGACAAAGCCAGGCGCAGTGGTTCACGCCTGTAATCCCAGCGCTTTAGGAGGCCGAGGCCGGTGGATCAGTTGAGGTCAGGAATTCAAAACAAGCCTGGCCAACATAGTGAAACCCTGTCTCTACTAAAAATACAAAAATTAGCCGGGCATCCTGGAGTGGGCCTTTGGTCCCAGCTACTGGCTGAGGCTGAGAATCGCTTGAACCAGGGAGCCGAAGGCTGCAATTAGCCAAGATTGCACCACTATACTCCAGCCTGGGCAACACAGCGAGACTCTGTCCCCCACCCCCCACCACCCACCACTGCAAACACACACACAAAAACTGAAATAAAAACTGAAATTGAAAATTGGAAAACACTGCATTAAACAATGTTAAACCAGTTCCTATAAGCTAGAACTCCTTGTTAGCTAGGCATGGGAGTGCATGCCTGTAATCTCAGCTACTCAGGAGGCTGAGGCAGGAGAATCACTTGAGTTTGGGAGTTGAGGCTGTAGTAAACTATGATTGTTCCACTGCACTCCAGCCTGGGTAACAAGGTGAGACAGTCTCTGAAAAAAACAAACAAGCAAACAAAACAACAACAACAACAAAACACACAAAGAAAATAGGATCTTTTTGAGACGGGGTCTTGCTCTGTTGCCCAGGCTGGAGTGCAGTGGCGCCATCTGGGCTCACTGCAACCTCCGCCTCCTGGGTTCAAGCTATTCTCCTGCCTCAGCCTCCCGAGTAGCTAGAATGACAGGCGCCCGCCCCAACCACGCCCCGCTAATTTTTTGTATTTTTAGTAGAGATGGGGTTTCACCATTTTTGGTCAGGTTGGTCTTGAACTCCTGACCTCAGGTGATCCACCCGCCTTGGCCTCCCAAAGTGCTGGGATTACAGGCATGAGCCACTGCGCCTGGCCACTTTTAAATTTTTTAATGATCATTCTAGAGGGATTTGGGCAGGAAGCCATTTTTAAACTGGAAGCCAAACATAACTGTCATATTTCATTTCATTTCTTTTCTTTTTTTTTTTTTTGAGACGGAGTCTCACTCTGTCACCGAGGCTGGAGTGCAGTGGTGCAATCTTGGCTCACTGCAACCTCTGCCTCTCAGGTTCAAGTAATTCTCCTGCCTCAGCCTCCTGAGTAGCTGGGATTACAGGCGCCCGCCACCACGCCCGGCTAATTTTTGTGTTTTTAGTAGAGACGGGGTTTCACCATGTTAGCCAGCCTGGACTTGAACTCCTGACCTCAGGTGATCCACCTGCCTTGGCCTCCCAAAGTGCTGGGATTACAGGCGTGAGTCCCCACGCCCAGCCTATTTTATTTCTTTTTAAAAGACAATCTGTACGTGATGATTTTCAGGACTGCAGAAAAAAAAAAAAAAGGCAATCTAAAACAAAAAAAGGGGGAGGGGGTGGAGACAATGTCTGCAGACCACCCTTTGGAGATGCTTCATTATAGAGGGAAGCAGAGAGGTGGCAACTAACTGGAAGGAGATATGGGGTCCACGGGCAGTGGGGAGGTTTCTTGTTTTAAAGGTCAAAGCCAGGTGCATTGGCTTACGCTCATAATCCCAGCACATTGGGAGGTCATGGCAGGATGACTGCTTGAGCTCAGGACTTCAAGACCTGCCTGGGCAATATAGCGAGACCTGGTCTCTACTAAAAATCAAAAAACTTAGCTGGGCATGGTGGTGTGTGCCCATAGTCCCAGCTACTCAGGAGACTGAGATGGGAGGATCACCTGAGTGTGGGACATTGCCGCTGCAGTAAGCTATAATCACACCACTGTACTCCAGCCTGGGCAACAAAGCAAGACCCTGTCTCAAAAAGAGATTCTAGGTTCTAAGATCTTTCCCTTCATTACTTTGAAAATTCTACTCCATTATCTTCTTGCACCTGGTATTGGTGTTGAAAAATCTAATGTTAATAAATAGGCCTCTTCGGCCTGCACAGTGGCTCACGCCTGTAATCCCAGCACTTTGCGGGGCCAAGGCGGGCAGATCACCTGAGGTCAGGAGTTTGAGACTAGCCTGGCCAACATAGTGAAACCCCATCTCTACTAAAAATACAAAAATTAGCTGAGCCTGGTGGTGGTCGCCTGTAATCCCAGCTACTCAGAAGGCTGAGGCAGGAGAATCACTTGAGCTCAGGAGGCAGAGGTTGCAGTGAACCCAGATGGCACCACGGCACTCCAGCCTGGGCAACAGAGTGAGACTCTGTCTCAAAAAGATATAAATAAATAAATAGGCCTCTTGTTCCTTTATCTGTGATCTCTGACTCTCTGGAAATTTTTAGAATGTTCTTTTTGTCTCTGATATTCTTAAATTTCCCCAAAATGTTTCTCGCTGTAAATTTTTCCTTCTCTCTCCTCATTGACATATTCCAACTCTCAATTTTTTTTTTTTAGACAGGGTCTTGCTCTGTTGCCCAGGCTGAAGTGCAGTGGAGTGATCACGGCTCACTGCAGCCTCCATCTCCCAGGCTCAAGCGACCCTCCTACCTATAGGTTTGCGCCACCACACTGGGCTAATTTTTTTTACTTTTTTTTTTTTTTGTAGAGACAGGTTTTTGCCCACCCAGACTGATGTCTAACTCCTAGGCTCAAGAGATCCTCTGGCCTTGGTCCTCCCAAAGTGCTGGGATTACAGGCGTGAGCTACCACGCTTGGCCAAAAAAATTTTTTTTTTTTGAAACAGAGTCTCGCTCTGTTGCCCAGGCTAGAGTGCAGTGGCATGATTTCAGCTCACTGCAAGCTTCGCCTCCCGGGTTCATGCCATTCTCCTGCCTTAGCCTCCTGAGTAGCTGGGACTACAGGTGCCAGCCACCACGCCCAGCTAATTTTTTGTATTTTTAGTAGAGACAGGGTTTCACCGTGTTAGCCAGGATGGTCTCGATCTCCTGACCGCGTGATCCACCTGCCTCGGCCTCCCAAAGTGCTGGGATTACAGGCGTGAGCCACCACGCCCGGCCACGCTTGGCCAAAATTATTTTTAATAAGGAATAATCCGTATACAGATCTTGTGTTCACACTTCATCTTTTTTCCTAATTCTGAGAATTTTTTCTTCATTATTTTTTCAAATATTTCCTCCTTTCCATTTTTCTCTTTCTCTTTCCAGGAATCCTATCTTCTGAATGTTACCATTTCACTTTTATTCTCCATATCCCTTAGCTATTCTTTTATATTTCCTGTTCTTTTATTTTTTCTTCTTCCTTTTGGGGAATTTCTGTTATTCCAGTCCACTAATTTATTCCTCAGCTCTGTCCATTCTGCTGTTTATTCAATCATTTGTGTTCTTTAGTACAACTGTTATATTTTCTTTTTTCTTTTTTTTTTTTTTGAGACGGAGTCTCGCTCTGTCGCCCAGGCTGGAGTGCAGTGGCACAATCTTGGCTCACTGCAAGCTCTGCCTCCTGGGTTCATGCCATTCTCCTGCCTCAGCCTCTCGAGTAGCTGGGACTACAGGCGCCCGCCACCACGCCTGGCTAATTTTTTTTTTTTTTTGTATTTTTAGTAGAGACGGGGTTTCACCATGTTAGCCAGGATGGTCTCGGTCTCCTGACCTACTGATCCACCTGCCTCGGCCTCCCAAAGTGAAGGGGTGGCCTGCCCCTCCACACCTGTGGGATATCGCGTCAGGTGGGACGAGAGACTGAGAAAAGAAATAAGACACAGAGACAAAGTATAGAGAAACAACAGTGGGCCCAGGAGACCGGCGCTCAGCATACCAAGGACCTGCATCGGTACCGGTCTCTGAGTTCCCTCAGTTTTTATTGATTATTATTTTCATTATCTCAGCAAGAGGAATGCGGTAGGAGAGCAGGGTGATAAGGAGAAGGTCAGCAAAAAAACATGTGAGCAAAAGAATCTATGTCATAATTAAGTTCAGAGGGAGGTACTATGCCTGGATGTGCACGTAAGCCAGATTTATGTTTCTCTCCGCCCAAACATCTCAGTGGAGTAAAGAATAACAAGGCAGCATTGCTGCCAACATGTCTCGCCTCCTGCCATAAGGCAGTTTTTCTCCTATCTCAGAATTGAACAAATGTACAATCGGGGTTTTATACCGAGACATTCAGTTCCCAGGGGCAGGCAGGAGACAGTGGCCTTCCTCTATCTCAACTGCAAGAGGCTTTCCTCTTTTACTGATCCACCTCAGCACAGACCCTTTATGGGTGTCGGGCTGGGGGACAGTCAGGTCTTTCTCATCCCATGAGGCCATATTTCAGACTATCACATGGGGAGAAATCTTGGACAATACCCAGCTTTCCAGGGCAGAGGTCCCTGCGGCTTTTCGCAGTGCATAGTGCCCCTGGTTTATTGAGACTAGAGAATGGTGATGACTTTTACCAAGCATACTGCTTGTAAATATTTTGTTAACAAGGCACCTCCTGCACAGCCCTAGATCCCTTAAACCTTCATTCCATACAACACATGTTTTTGTGAGCTCAAAGTTGGGGCAAAGTGGCTGGGGCAAAGTGGCTGGGGCAAAGTTACAAATTAACAACATTTCAGCAAAGCAATTGTTCAAGGTACGCTTTGGGAGGCTGAGGTGGGCGGATCACGAGGTCAGGAGATCGAGACCATCCTGGTTAAAATGGTGAAACCCCTTCTCTACGAAAAATACAAAAAATTAGGTGGGCGTGGTGGTGGGCGCCTGTAGTCCCAGCTACTGGGGAGGCTGAGGCAGGAGAATGGCGTGAACCCGGGAGGCAGAGCTTGCAGTGAGCTGAGATCGCGCCTCTGCACTCCAGCCTGGGCGACAGAGCAAGACTCCGTCTCAAAAAAAAAAAATGTACAGGTCAAAATGGAACTTCTTATGTCTTCCCTTTCTACATAGACGCAGTAACAGTCTGATCTCTCTTTTCCCTACACCAAAGTGCTGGGATTACAGGTGTGAGCCACTGTGCTCGGCCCTTTTTTTTTTGAGTGGGAGTTTTGCTCTTGTTGCCCAGGCTGGAGTGCAATGGTGTGATCTCAGCTCACCGCAACCTCCGCCTCCTGGGTTCAAGTGATTCTCCTGCCTCTGCCTCCTGAGTAGCTGGGACTACAGGCGTTCACCACTACCCCTGGCTAATTTTTTTTTTTGAAACAGAGTCTTGCTCTGTTACCCAGGTTGGAGTGCAGTGGCGCGATCTCAGCTCACTGCAACCTCCGCCTCCCGGGCTCAAGCAATTCTCCTGCCTCAGCCTCCTGAGTAGCTGGGATTACAGGCACGTGCCACCACGCCCGGCTAATTTTTGTATTTTTAGTAGAGATGGGGTTTCACCATGTTGGTCAGGCTGGTCTCGAACTCCCGACCTCAGGTGATCCACCCGCCTTGGCATCCCAAAGCGCTGGGATTACAGGCTTGAGCCGCTGTGCCCAGCCTCAACTTTTATATTTTCAACTTAGTATTTCTTGTTGGTTCTTTTTGGTGTTTTTGTATTCATTTGTTTCATAGTTCTAGTATTTTCCTTTATATCTTTTAATGTGTTTATTAGGCTAATTAAAAATTCTTATTCTGAAGAATTTCAGTTTATGGTTCTTTCTTTTCAAAGTGGTGATGCTTGTTATTGTGGCCTGGAAATTTATTTCCCTTAATGGGTATATTCTGTTTGGCCAGGCAGGCCCCAGTGAGCTCAGGGCATGGGGGTAGATGAGCCTCAGGGAGGCTCTGAGAAAAGACAGCCAATCATGCCTCACCCCATGAGACAACTCCTTGGGTCAATTTTCACACATTGCTCTCTAGAGAGAAGCAGCATTACGAGGACTCATCCCCAAAATGTTACTCCCCAGCCTGGGTGTTTGGAAGAGGGTGGATGAGTAGGCAACTGCTAGAAGCCAGTTAGTCCCCTTCTGTTTTTCTCAGCATTTCACAAACACAGGATGTCTGGGCAGCCCTGATTTGACTGCAGGTATGCCCAGAGCAGAGATCTGAGTCATTGCAGATGTGGAGGCAGATACCATCTGTTCCAAGGCGATGGCGCAGAACCTCCATGGCTCTGTTTTTATCTTCCGATTTCAAAACAGCACACCCCTTCCCATCACCCCAAGAGCTTTTTCACACCTTTTCCTGCAGGAAAGGCCGGCAGAATGCCAATGCAGCACCTTGCTTGACTCTGGCCTGGCTCTGTATCACGACATATCCCCAGCATCTGTTTATTTATCTGTCTCCACTCTATTCCCAGCGTCTGTTTACTTATCTGTCTCCACTCCATGACTGAGCATATTTGGAGCACTTTGCTCAGGGTAGGAAAGATCAATTTTATTCCTACAAATATCAGGCTTTTCGGTTTAGGTTGAGAACAACATGTTTATTTACTCAGCAGGCATTTTAGACCTGAACTGTAACAGGACACTGGTTCCCCACACAAAGCTGTCAGGCCCCACCTTTCCAGAAAAGAAGAGGTGGTATTGGCCTGTTTCTAGGTGCACCCAAGCCATGACCTGCAGGAAAAAGTCCACGTCTCTCCCTCCCCACAACCCACATTCTGTAGTCCAGGGTCACCCGAGAGAGCCTGTACAGTGTTATATTTACTTTGTGGTATGTCTTAAGGCACGGGCCCCTTATTTTATTATAAATTTCCATGTCATCTGTTTCAGGCCCTGCTCACCTGAGCCCAGTGGACTGTTGACAAAAAAGTATTTGAGGAGATTTATTCTGAGCCAAATATGAGTGATCAATGGCCTGTGACACAGCCCTCAGGAGATCCTGAGAACATGTGCCCAAGGTGCTCAGACACAGCCTAGTTTTATACATTTTAGGGAGACATGAGACATCAGTCAAATACATATAGGACTTACGTTGGTTCCATATGGAAGGGCAGGACAACTCGAAGTGCGTGTGAGGAGTGTATCCAGGTCACAGGCAGATTTTAAAGTTTTTCTGATTGGCAATTAGTTGAAAGAGTTGGCCAGGTGCCATGGCTCACGCTTATAATCCCAGCACTTTGGGAGGCCGAGGCGGGTGGATCACCTGAGGTCAGGAGTTCGAGGCCAGCTTGGCCAACATGGAGAAACCCTGTCTCTACTAAAAATACAAAATCAGCCGGGTGTGGTGGCGCATGCCTGTAATCCCAGCTACTCAGGAGGCTGAGGCAGGAGAATCGCTTGAACCTGGGAGGCAGAGGTTGTGGTGAGCCGAGATCATACCATTGCACTCCAGCCTGGGCAACAAGAGTGAAACTCTGTCTCACAAAAAAGAAAATTAGCCGGGTGTGGTGGCACATGCCTGTAATCCCAGTTACTCAGGAGGCTGAGGCGGGAGAATCGCTTGAACCCGGGAGGAAGAGGTTGCAGTGAGCCAAGATGGTGCTGCTGCACTCCAGTCTGGGCGACAGAGCGAGACTCTATCTAGGAAAAAAAAAAAAAAGAAGAAAGACTTATTATCAGTAGAAAGAAATGCCTGGGTTTTGATAAGGGGTTGTAGAGACCAAGGTTTTATCAGGCAGATGAAGCTTCCAGGTAGCAAACTTCAGAGAAAATAGATTGTAAATGTTTCTTACCAGACTTAAGATCTGTGTTGATGTTAATGCTGGTTGGCTTTTCCTGAATTCCAAAAGGGAGGAAGTTATAATGATGCTTGTGTGACCTGCTCTTCCGTCATGTCCTGAACTAGATTTTCAGATTTACTTGGGAATGTCCTTAGCCAAGAAGAGGGGCCCATTCAGATGGTTGTGGAGGGGCCTTAGAATTTTACCTGTGGTTTACAGGACAGAGCTTGGGACCTCACTGTAGTGCTCTGGCCTGAAATGCAAGTGGAGAGGACAGAGCTAACAATGAAACGAGTGAATTATTTTAAGTGCATGAAGTCAGTCTGCAGAGGAGCAGGCACTTAGAGTGAATCAGCACATTGCGGGAAGCTTTTGAGCAGCCCCAACCTGAGCTCTTGTAGTTTTGTGAAAGGAGAAGAGACAGCAGAAGCATCAGCAGCACAGGCAATGGCCAAGGCCCAGAGCAGCAGACAGGCTGCCATCTACACATCTCCAGGCTCTTCTAGCACCCACTTCTTCAGCTTCTCCCTGCTTGTGTTTGGAGGGTCCCTCTTTTTCTTTTTTCTTTTTTCCTTGTTTTTGGAGAACGGGGTCTCGCTATATTGCCCAGGCAGGTTGGAAGTCCCTGTTTTTCTAAGCTCCCCTGGCCATGTGCTTGAGTGGCTCAGCACCTTCTCCCTTCTCAAGGTCCTGGCTGGTGTGGAGGTAGGAGCCATACTGTTCCTTGCCAACCTACTTCCAGGAAAAGCCCAGAGGGGAGGGAGAAGCATATATAAATCTAAAAGGCCATCAGAATTTCTGTATTAAAGTGTTGTCAGTAAAAGAAGAGCAGACCACTTCAGCTGCTAAAGCAGATTATGCTCAGGCCTGATGCTCAGAAAAACAGCTTTCACAGCGGCTGCTTCTCAGGAAGGGAAAACAGCAGAGTGTTAGAGGCTGGCAGCTAATCTGAAAGTGGGGGTGGGAGCCCTGGGTCAAAGGAAAGGCTGCTTGGCATGATGGGGAGATGACAGTAAGGCCCTCATCAGATAGGCCCTACAGGCCCTTCTTCCCAAAACAGTGCTGAAACATCTCCTTTGCTAGATGCAGCAGTCAGTATTTTCCACTCTGACTCAGAGTGAGCAGAGCAGTTCTGAAAATTGGGAGCGTTATCTTTATTCCTCAAGGCTGGTTTTTGGGAAGCCTGGACCACTGCCTTCCCCTGCTGTGTCCAGCAGAGTCACGTGGTCCCAGAGCTTACTCAGCCCCTCCCGCCACAGCTAATTCATATCCATCCCTACCGCAGGCTTCAGAGAGCAAAGGTGATGGCTGCCTTGCTGCTGCTAAGGTTCACCTTTCTTATTTTATTTTATTTTATTTATTTTGAGATGGAGTCTCTCTCTGTCGCCCAGGCTGGAGTGCAGTGGTGCCACCTCGGCTCACTGAAACCTCTGCCTCCTGGGTTTAAGCAATTCTCCCTGCCTCAGCCTCCCAAGTAGCTGGGACTACAGGGGTGCGACACCACGCCTGGGTAATTTTTGTATCCTTAGTAGAGACGGGGCTTCACCATGTTAGCCAGACTGCTCTCCAACTCCTGCCCTCAAGTGATCCACCCATCTCGGCCTCCCAAAGTACTGGAATTACAGGCGTGAGCCACCGCGCCCGGCCTTGAGTGTATTTCTATTATTAACGATACTGCAGGGAACATCTGTGCTCATACTTCTTTTTACACATCTGTGAGAGTATCTGTAAAATTCCCAGATGTGGAATTGCTGGCACAAAGGGTATGTGAACTCGAGATTTTCTTTTGTTTGTTTTTTGAGACAGAGTCTCGCTCTGTTGCCCAGACTGGAGTGCAGTGGTGCCACCTCGGCTCACTGAAACTTCTGCCTCCTGGGTTTAAGCAATTATCCCTGCCTCAGCCTCCCAAGCAGCTTGGACTACAGGTGCCCGCCACCACGCCTGGATAATTTTTTGTGTGTGAGTATTTTTAGTAGAGACGGGGTTTCAACATGTTGGTCAGGCTGGTCTCGAACTCCTGACCTCAGGTGATCCACCCGCCTCGGTCTCCCAAAGTGCTGGGATGACAGGCACTTCGCCCAGCTGCAGTTGAGATTTTCATAGCTACTTACCCAACTGCCTTCCAAAGAGGTTGTACCAGTTTACACCGACCAACAATACATGAGGATGCATTTCTCTGCACTCTTGTAAACAAAAGTATTAACAGTCTTGTTTTATCTTTGTCAATCTGAAATATTAAAAAATGCCACTTCATACATTGAATGGTCATTTTTCTTATGCTAAGTGAAGCTGCACATCTTGTCATGTGTTTAAGAACAATTTTTGGCCAGGCGCGGTGGCTCACACCTGTAATCCCAGCACTTTGGGATGCCGAGGCGGGCGGATCACGAGGTCGGCGGATCATGAGGTCAGGTGATCGCGACCATCCTGGCTAACATGGTGAAACCCCATCTCTACTAAAAATACAAAAAACAAAATTAGCCTGGCGTGGTGGCGGGTGCCTGTAGTCCCAGCTACTCGGGAGGCTGAGGCAGGAGAGTGGCGTGAACCCAGGAGGCAGAGCTTGCAGTGAGCCGAGATAGTGCCACCGCTGCACTCCAGCCTGGGCGACAGAGTGAGACTCCGTCTCAAAAAAAAAAAACAACAATTTTCTTTTCTGTGAATTGTCTGCTCCTGTCCTTTGTCCATTTTCCTATTGTGTTATTAATCTGTTTCTCATATATTTATAGAAACCACTTATATATTGAAGAAATTAGTCCTTTCGGTGGGTGCAGTGGCCCATGCCTGTAATCCCAGCACTTTCAGAGGCTGAGGCAGAAGGATCATTTGAGGTCAGCAGTTCAAGACCAGTCTGAGAAACATAGCAAGAACCTGTCTCTACAAAGAGTTTTTTAAATTAGCCAGGTGTAGTATGTGCCCCTGTAGTCCCAGCTACTTGGGAAGCTGAGGTGGATCACTTGTGCCTGGGACATGGAGACTGCAATGAGCTGTGATCGTATCACAGCACTCCAGTCTGGGTGACAGAGTAAGATCCTGTCTCAAAAGAAAAGAAAAAAAAGAAAGAAATTAGTCCTTTAACGTCAGGCACAGTGTCTCATGCTTGTAATCCCAGCACTTTGGGAGGCTGAGGTGGGCGGATCACTTGAGGTCAGGAGTTTGAGACCAGCCTGGCCAACATGGTGAAACCCTGTCTCTACTAAAAATACAAAAAATTAGCTGGGTATGGTGGCACACGCCTGTGTTGTAAATATTTCTTCCTCGTTTTTAATTTACAAAATATGTCAAGAGACTGGGCACAGTGGCTTATGCCTCTAAATCCCAATGCTTTAGGAGGCTGAGGTAGGAGGACCACTTGAGGCCACGAGTTTGAGACCATCCTGGGTCATATGGTAAGACCCCACCTCTACAAAAAAATAAAAATCAAAATAAATTAGCCAGGCAAGGTGGCATGTGCCTGTGGTCCCAGCTACTCAGGAGGCTGAGGTGGGAAGATCACTTGACACTGGAATTTGAGGATACAGTTAGCTATGATTGCACCACTGCACACAAGCCTGGGCAGCAGAGTGGGAGCCTATCTCTAAATACACACACACACACACACACACACACACACACACACATACACATATAAATATATATGAAGGGATGCATTTACACCATAGAGTTGTTTACAAATGCCCCATTAGTATGAGTTAAATAAATTATGATATATACAACAGAAAGCTATGCAGCTATTTAAATGAAGATATATATTTATTAGCATAAAACAATGTAAGTAGAAAAATTAAGTTTAAAAAAGCAGGATAAAAAATAGAAAGCATTATATGATAACCCATTTTTTAAAAATCTGTGCTATCAATAGTTACCTCCAGATGATGGGAATTTGGTAATTTATTTAGGTAATTTTACTCTCTTCTTTTTACCGTTCCAGATTATCTGAAAAAAAATTTTTTTTTTTTGAGACAGAGATTTGCTCTTGTTGTCCAGGCTGGAGTGCAATGGCGTGATCTCGGCTCACCACAACCTCCGCCTCCTGGGTTCAAGCAATTCTCCTGCCTCAGCCTCCCTAGTAACTGGGATTACAGGCTCCCGCCCACCATGCCCAGCTAATTTTTTTTTTTTTTTTTTTGAGACAGAGTTTTGCTCTTGTCACCTAGGCTGGAGTGCCTTGATGCGATCTCGGTTCACCGCAACCTCTGCCTCCTGGGTTCAAGCGATTCTCCTGCCTCAGCCTCCCAATTAGCTGGGATTACAGGCATGGGCCACCATGCCTGGCAAATTTTGTATTTTCAGTAGAGACGGGGTTTCTCCATGTTGGTCAGGCTGGTCTCGAACTCCCAACCTCAGGTGATCCGCCTGCCTAGGCCTCCCAAAGTGCTGGAATTACAGGTGTCAGCCACCGCGCCCGGCCCACGCCCAGCTAATTCTTTGCATTTTTAGTAGAGACAGGGTTTCACTATGTTGGCCAGGCTGGTCTTGAATTCCTGACCTCAGGCGATCTGCCCGCCTCAGCCTCCCAAAGGGCTGGGATTACAGGCGTGAGCCACCGCCCCTGGCGTCATGCTATTTTTAAATGTGTTATAAACGTATGAAGCATGGGGGTATCACATGGGGTATTAGGAAACAATTATAATAGTGCTCAGTATGCTTGGCAAAGTATAGCCACATGATATAAAAGGCGTTTGTCAAAGCTACTATTGACACTGGAGTTAAGATAGGCATTAATCAGTAGATTTTTCTTTTTTTTTTTTTGAGATGGAGTCTTGCTCTTATCGCCTAGGCTGAAGTACAATGGCACGATCTCGGCTCACTGCAACCTCTGCCTCCCAGGTTCAAGTGGTTCTCCTGCCTCAGCCTCCTGAATAGCTGGGATTACAGGCACCTGCCACCACGTCTGGCTAATTTTTTTTTTGTATTTTTAGTAGAGATGGGGTTTTGCTATGTTGGCCAGTCTGGTCTCCAACTCCTGACCTTGTGATCCTCCCGCCTTGGCCTCCCAAAGTGCTGGGATTACAGGCGTGAGCCACCGTGCCTGGCCTCAATCAGTAGATTTCAATGGCTCCAGAGTCTCTCTGTCACTGGTTTGTTGATCCCTGGAAGGAATAAATGCTATTATGGTCTAGGGGTTGTGGGATGGCAGGTTTCCTCTTCCTGAAACATCTTTACCCTAAGAAGGTCATTAATTTGATTTCCCCACCCCAGCCCCTGCCCCGCTTTTGTCCCTGCAAATTTGGTCCAGGCTTGGGAGAGGGCTCCAGGGTGTTAAAAAGCTGCCTAGTGGCTGGAGGGGGAGGCTCAGGCAGGCAGAAACCCTGATCGTTTGAGAGGAGCCTCTCAGAGGTCGCTGGGCTCGCTAGGCTCCCAGTCGTGCTTGAGGGTGGCAAGACTTTGGAAAAGACAGTTGCTTGACCCAGCTCCGGGCGGCCAGCCCGCAGAGGTCAGGCGATCATCCACTCTCTTGACGAGTTTCACTCCCACATCTAGGAAAGGCCTCTCTAGGAAGTCCCAGAGATGAGGTCTGTGCCAGCAGAACCCAGGGCGTGAAGACCCAGAATAGGCTGGTTCAGGCTCCTCTCCAGGGCCAAGGCTGCCCCCGCGGCATCCAGGGTTTTATCCCACTCATCTCATCTGCAGGTCCTGCAGAAGAGCGGGCTGCCATGCTGGCTTTGCATCTTCCAGAGACGCTTGGCCAGTTCACCTTCCAGAGCCACATCGTCACGGCTGAAGTAGAAGCCCAGAGAGATGCCAGTTGACCAGGCAGTTAGTGGTTGCCTCCGCCTGGGTGGAATGATTCTGACACATCTGGGAGCTCATGCTTGGGGACAAGAAGCAGATAACCACAAAAACGGTGTTGGCTGGGCCCAGAAGCAGGAGGTTGCCAAGAAGATGGTCTTGGAGGCTCAAGTGGAAAGGAGATGGGAGGCGATCAGAGGCTGGAAGAGGGAGCCCCCTGGTCTGTTCGTTCCAAACACTGTTGAAGCAAAAGACAGAGCCAGAACCCAACATGCTAACTTCAGGCAACGCGCTGTAGATTTCGAATGTGTGTTATGCATAGTTTTTTTTTTAATGTGTGTTATTAATAGTTATCAACAAGCCTTATACCTTCATTTATTCCTTTGGCCCAGAAGCCATAAAGAAAAAGATTGTCAGATGATGATGATGATGATTGAGACAGGGTCTTGCTCTGTCTCCCAGGCTGGAGAGCAGTGGGGAGATCACAGCTCACTGCAGCCTCGGCCCCCTGGGCTCAAGTGATCCTCCCACCTCAGTCTCCCGAATAGCTGGGACCACAGGTGTGTGCTACCACGCCCAGCTAATTTTTTATCTTTGGAGAGATGGGAGCATTTTTTTTTAATTAAAAACTTCTGTTTTTACAAAAGACACCATAATTGAAAAGTGAAGTAAGGCCAGGCACAGTGGCTCAGGCCGGTAATCCCAGCACTTTGGAAGGCTGAGGCAGGCAGATCACTTGAGGCCAGGAGTTTGAGACCAGCCTGGCCAACATGGTGAAACCCCATCTCTACTAAAAATACAAAAATTAGCCGGGTGTGGTGGCGTGTGCCTGTAAGCCCAGCTACTTGGGAGTCTTGAACCCAGGAGGTGAAGGCTGCAGTGAGCTGAGATCACACCACTGCACTCCAGCCTGGACAACAGAGTGAGACACTGTCTCAAAAAAAAAAAAAAAAAAAAAAGTGAAGTAAGTCTGAAAGACAATATTTACCACAATTAGATAAATTATTAGTTGTTAGAACATATAAAGAAGTCATACAAATTCATACTAAAATTGGGCAAAGGAAATGAACAGATAATTCGCAAGACAAATTAATGTTAAATAAACATTCAAAAGGTATCCAATGGCAGAAGTAATCGGGCACATGCAAATTAAAACAATAAAGTGTTCTTTTTGCCCCTCAACGTGTCCAAAGTTGAAATGATTCATAATGTATAATATTAATGAAGTGGTGGAGGACTAGATACTCTCTCTTATGCAGTATTGGTGGGAATTGATATTGGTACAGTCTTTTTAAAAATTGTGATCAGGCCGGGCACGGGGGCTCACGCCTGTAATCCCAGCACTTTGGGAGGCCGAGGTGGGCGGATCACCTGAGGTCAGGAGTTCAAGACCAGCCTGGCCCACATGGAGAAACCCCATCTCTACTAAAAATACAAAATTAGCCAGGCTTGGTGGCGCATGCCTATAATCCTAGCTACTTGGGAAGGCTGAGACAGGAGAATCGCTTGAACCTGGGAGGTGGAGGTTGCAGTGAGCCAAGATCGCGCCATTGCACTCCAGCCTGGGCAACTAGAGCAAAACTCTGTCTCAAAAAAAAAAAAAAATTGTGATCAACTATAAATAACAAAAAATGTACCATTGAAGCCATTTTTAAGTGTACAGTTTGGTAGCATTACTTAATATTCATTGTGTGTGACCATCACCACCATCCATCTCCAGAACTCTTTTCATCTTGCAAAACTGAAACTGTGTCCCCATTAAACACTAACTCCCCATTCCCTCCTTTCCCAGCTCCTGGCAGCCACCATTCTACTTTACGTCTTTATGAGTCTGACTACTCTAGCTACCTCATATAGTGGAATCACACAGTATTTTTCCTTTTGTGCCTGTCTTGTTTCATTTAGTGTAATGTCTTTAAGATTCATCCATGTGGTAATATGTGTCAGAAGTTTTTTTTGTTTGTTTTTTTTTTGAGACAGAGGTTTGATCTTGTTGCTCAGGCTGAAGTGCAATGGCATGATCTCGGCTCACTGCAACCACTGCCTCGCCTCCCAGGTTCAAGAGATTCTCCTGCCTCAGCTTCCAGAGTAGCTGGGATTACAGGCGCCTGCCACGACGACCAGCTAATTTTTGTATTTGTAGTAGAGACAGGTTTCACCACGTTGGCAAGGCTGGTCTTTTTTTTTTTTTTTTTGAGATGGAGTCTCTCACTCTGTTGCCCAGGCTAGAGTGCAATGGCTCAATCTTGGCTCACTGCAACTTCTGCCTCTCAGGTTCAAGCGATTCTCCTACCTCAGCCTCCCGAGTAACTGGGATTACAGGCATGCGCCACCACACCCAGCTAATTTTTGCATTTTTAGTAGAGACAGAGTTTCACCATATTGGCCAGGCTGGTCTGGAACTCAAGACCTCGAGTGATCGTCCCGCCTTGGCCTCCCAAAGTGTTGGGATTACTGGCGTGAGCCACTGCGCCCAGCAGTTTTTTTTTTTTTTTTTTTGAGAGTCTCACTCTGTCTCCAGGCTGGAGTGCAGTGCCCTGATCTCGGCTCACTGCAACCTCCGCTTCCCGGGTTCAAGCGATTCTCCTGCCTCAGCTTCCCAAGTAGCTAAGTGGAACTCCAGGTGCACGCCACCATGCCCAGCTAATTTTTGTATTTTTAGTAGAGACGGGGTTTCACCATGATGGCCAGGATGGTCTGCATCTGTTGACCTCGTGATCCGCCTGCCTCGGCCTCCCAAAGTGCTGGAATTACAGGCATGAGCCACCGCGCCCAGGCAGAAGTTCCTTTTTCATTTTTCAGTTTCTGCTCTGCTAAATGAATTTTCTTCCTTTTAAGGCTGAATAATATTCCATTGTTGTACAGTCTTTTGAAGGGTAATTTCGTAATAATCCCCAATTATTAAATGCCATAATCTTTGATACAGCAATTCTACTTCTAGTATATCCTGAAGAAATACTTGCACATTTGTTACAAGAGACATTTACAAGGATATTAATTGCAGTATTGTTTTAATAGTAAAAAATTAGAAACAATCTAAATACCATCAGTAAGGAGAAGGGTAAAATACGGTGTATCTATTCCATGAAATATTTTGCAGCAGTTTGAAAAGAATAAGGCACATCTATATGTGCTAGCATGGAAATGTCTCCAAGAAAGATGGGTATATAATGTATAATTCCATTTATATATAATTTTTAAAGTATGTTTTTATATAACACAAACATATGTGACACACTGAAAACAATCTGGTGGTAAATACACCAAACTTCTAGCAAGTGGCACAGAAAAAGATGCGTGGGAAGAGGACAGCTGGGAAGGGACGCTGAAAAAGGACTTCAGTGTTTTTACTCACTCTCTATGTATCTGCTGGTCGAGTCCTTACAACTTGTATTGTATCCATTGTTATTTAAGTAAAAAATTAACTGGGAAAAGAGGAAACATGCCAAACTGAATATACTTGGATCGCAGGGATAATGAGTGCTTTCTTTTTCTATATTTCCCAAATTTCCTACACTGAGCATGTATTACATTCATAGTTAGCAATAACATTATTTGAAGGAGAAAATGGTATATCTAGTGTGAATGCAGCTGTGAACAAGGTGAGAGTAACTATATATGGAGATATCTATACACATATGCATGTTTACATTGGCATAGAAGTTCAGAAAGACAGGTAATAAATGGTGGTCAGAAAGAAGGTCAGAAAGACAGGCATTATGGTGTCCTCACACAGCAATTACCAGCAATGTTCCTATTACCTTTTTTTTTTTTTTTTTTTTTTTTTGAGACAGAGTTTCATTCTTGTGGCCCAGGCTGGAGCGCAATGGTGTGATCTCAGCCCACTGCAACCTCCGCTTCCTGGGTTCAAGCGATTCTCCTGCCTCAGTCTCCTGAGTAGCTGGGATTACAGGCGCCTGCCACCACGCCCAGCTATTTTTTTTATGTTTTTAGCAGAGACAGGGTTTCACCATGTTGGCCAGGCTGGTCTCGAACTGCTGACCTCAGGTGATCCACCCGCCTCGGCCTCCCAAAGTGCTGGGATTATAGACATGAGCTACCGCGCCCGGCCCCCCATTACCTTTTTTTTGTTTGTTTGTTTGTTTGTTTTCAGACGGAGTCTCCGCTCTTTCACCCAGGCTGGAGTGCAGTGGCGCGATCTCGGCTCACTGCAGGCTCCGCCCCCGGGGTTCACGCGATTCTCCTGCCTCAGCCTCCCGAGTAGCTGGGACTACAGGCGCCCGCCACCTCGCCCGGCTAATTTTTTGTATTTTTAGTAGAGACAGGGTTTCACCGTGTTAGGCAGGATGGTCTCGATCTCCTGACCTCGTGATCCGCCCGCCTCGGCCTCCCAAAGTGCTGGGATTACAGGCGTGAGCCACCGCGCCCGGCCCCCATTACCTTTTTGTTTGTTTGTGTGTTTGTGTTTTGGAGACAGGGTCTTCTCGCTCTATCACCCAGAGGCTTGAGTGCAGCGGCGTGATCACGTTTCTTCCTTTCCGGAAGGCAGGGGCGCGCTTCCCAAAAGAGGGGTATTTCCGGCGGGAGAAGGAGAGGTCTTTCGCTCCCGCCTCCAAAGTTCCAATTCCCCAAATTCTGCGTTTTCGGGCAGTAGGCTAGGAAGAGCGGGCTCTGCAACCAGTTTCTCAGGCCACCGCGCCTCAGAAGCGGGACGGCGCGGCACCTGATGTCGCGACACCTGGTGGTGACCGTGAAGCACAATTCCCTCTCACATCTCAAAAAATCGCGCGCCCCTCACACACTGGCCAGTTTTTTGTTTTTTGTTTTTTTGAGACAAGTTCTGGCTCTGTCCCCCAGGCTGGAGTGCAGTTGCGCGATCACCGCTCACGGCAGCCTCAAACTCCCTGGCTCAAGCGATCCTCCCACCTCAGCCTCCAGAGTGGCTGGAACCACAGGCGTGCGCCACTTTGCCTGCCAAATGCTTGTGTTTTTTTTTTTTTTTTTTTTGAGACGAAGTCTCGCTCTGTCGCCCAGGCTGGAGTGCAGTGACGCGATCTCGGCTCACTGCAACCTTCGCCTCCTGGGTTCAAAATGCTTGTATTTTTTTCAGAAACGAAGTCTTGCTATGTCGTCCAGGCTCGTCTCGAGTCCTGGGCTCAAGCTATCCCCTCGCCTCGGCCTCCCAAAGTCCTGGGGATTACAGACGTGAGCCACGGTGCTCAGTGAGACCCCCATCTCTTTAAAAGAAAAAAAAAATGCCTCCGCCGGGCGCGGTGGCTCACGCCTGTAATCCCAGTACTTTGAAAGGCTGAGGCAGGCGGATCACGAAGTCAGGAAATCGAGACCATCCTGGCTAACACGGTGAAACCCCCTCTCTACTAAAAATACAAAAAAATTAGCTGGGTGTGGTCGCACGTGCCTATAGTCCCAGCTACTCGGGAGGCTGAGGCAGGAGAATGGCGTGAACCTGGCAGGCGGAGCTTGCAGTGAGCGGAGACAGCACCACTGCACTCCAGCCTGGGCAACACATCAAGACTCCATCTAAAAAAAAAAAAAAAAAGGCCTGGCGCCGTGGCTCACGCCTGTAACCCCAGCACTTTGGGAGGCCGAGACGGGTGGATCACCTGAGGTCAGGAGTTCAAGACCAGCCTGGCCAACATGGTGACACCCCGTCTCTACTAAAAATACAAAAAATTAGACAGGCGTGATGGCAGTCGCCTGCAGTCCCAGCTACTCCGAAGGCTGAGCCAGGGAATTGCTTGAAACTGGGAGGCGGAGTTGCAGTGAGCCGAGATCGCGCCACTGCACTCCAGCCTGTAGGACAGAGCGAGACTCCATCTCAAAAAAAAAAAAAAAAAAAAAAAAAGAAGAAGAAGAAAAAAGTTTTTTAATTAGCCTGGCATAGTGGCAGGTGCCTGTAGTCCTAGCTCCTCGGGTGGATCGCTTCAGCCCGGGAGTTTAAGGCTGTAGTAAGCTATGATTGTGTCACTGTACTCCAGGCAGGGCCACAGAGTGAGACCCTGTCTCTAAAAAATTAAATTTTTTTTTAAAAAAAACGGCAAACACCTAATATTTGTTGAATGAATAAATAAATGAAAACATATACTCTCATTAAACGGTTTCTTCTGGGGATACAAGGAAAGGTGAGAGGGGAGTTTTTACTGGATACTTTTTTTTTTTTGCGACGGCCAGACTGGAATGCAATGGGGAGATCTTGGCTCACTGCAAGCTCCGCTTCCCAGGTTCAAGTGATTCTCCTACCTCAGTCTCCCTAGTAGCTGGGCCTACAGACGTGCACCACCATGCCTGGCTAATTTTTGTATTTTTAGTAATTTTCCAGGTTTGAAAAGCTAGATTTTTAGTGACAAGATCTTGCTGTGTTAGGCTGGCCTGGAACTCCTGGACTCAAAAGCAATTCTTCCACCTAAGCTTCCCAAGTAGCTAGGACTACAGGTATATGTCACCAAGCCCATTTAAACTTTTTTGTTTTGTTTTGTCAAGAGCCCATTGCCCAGTCTGGCCCCAAGCTCTAGCCTCAAGTGATCCTCCCACCTCCACCTCCCAAAGTGCTGGGATTATAGGTATCAGCCACCACGCCTGGCCACATTTGCTTTATTATAAAGATATTACAAAGGACTCAGTTGAAGAGATGCATAGGACAAGGTATGGGGGAAAGGGTGCAAAGCTTTAATGCCTTGCCTGGGTGTGCCATCCTCCAGGAACCTCCATACGTTCACATATCCAAACTCAGTCCTCTTGGTTTTGTAGGGAGGCTTCAAGATGACAGCATTCCTTTCCGCAGAGTATAGGACAGAACCCTCTCTGAAATGGGGGTCTTAGGACTCACAGAAAGGTAGGGGAAGATCAAGAGTCCCGTCTTAGTGAAGGTAAAAGGGCAGAAGTGAAGTGAGTTTCCTGTGGCCTAACACACACAACATGACTATAACAAGGGCTATAGAAGTTATGAACGAGGAACTGTGGGCAAAGATCCGTAAAACCAGAGTGACTAAGGCAGTTTACCTAAAATTATGCGTGAAACCATTCTCAGGTACACTATGAATATCAAAGGTGTATTTCTAGATATGGTATTCCTGCATTTGTGTAATACACCCATGGGTACTTCTTGCGTACCAAACCACTAACTAGAGATTAACTGGCCCGTGATTTAAAGTCCTTACTCTAAGTATGCACTTACCATGCCAGTTTTAGTACCAGAAAACATTATTTCTCTACTATAAACCTGGGAAAAACAGCGCTCCCCACACCATTCCCAATTTTGTGCCAAGATGAGAATCACATTTATTGAAGTTACATTACAGAAGATAGTGAAGGGGAAAGATTGAGAACTTCCTTAGTACACCCTTACTCCAATATTTTCTATTAGCACTGCACATGTATTACTGCCTAGTGTCCATTGGCATAGAAGCCTAAGAACTGCTTATGTTGCCAGTCTTAGACAAGGATAAGCATTTTTAACAAATACAGGTAAAATCTCATTTGTTGCTGCAATCTTTTCACAATAAAGTTAAGCTGTGTCATTAAGAACCAACAGCGTGGCCGGGCGTGATGGCTCATGCCTGTAATCCCAGCACTTTGAGAGGTCAAGGTGGGCGGATCACTTGAGGCCAGGAGTTTGAGACCAGCTTGGTCAACATGGTAAAACCCCAACTCTACTGAAAATACAAAAATTAGCTGGTGTGCCCCTGTAGTCCCAGCTATGTGGGGGACTGAGGCAGGAGAACTGCTTGAACCTGGGAGGTGGAGGTTGCAGTGAGCCGAGATCGCACCACTGCACTCCAGCCTGGGGCAAGAGAGACTGTCCAAAAAAAAAGTGAGGAACCACTTTAACTTGCCACCTAACTTATCAAGATCAGGAAGATTGTCTTAGATCAGAATACCGTTTTCAACATTAAGTACCTGCAAGCCATCTTTCTCCTCAGCCAGTCGTCTTCCATACTCGGTGATTAGCTGCTGCTTGGCTCATCAGTTAAAGCATATACAGCAAAGAGACAAGATTATGGTCCCATACTACCACCCAGGTTAAACACTTTGGTGTAATACACTACAGAGCAATAAACACACAGCTCATAGTCACCCAATTAATTGCAGAACTGAAAGCAGTTACGTTACCACTATTCAAGCAGCCTCAATCAAAACTTTGTTTCTCCAGCAATCCTTGATTAGGTCTCAACAGGCACATTTGCTTTCCTTCAATGTAAAGAAAATGCCTGCAATCACTTGAGCCCAGGAATGATAGTGAGCTGTCATCGTGCCACTGTATACCAGTCTGGACTACAGAGCAAGACCATCTTTTAAAAAGCCTGCATATCCAACTTTTTGAGATGTTGTCTTGCTCTGTCGCCAGGCTGGGGTGCAGTGGCACGATCTCGGCTCACTGCAACCTCTGCCTCCCAGGTTCAAGTGATTCTCCTGCCTCAGCCTCCCGAATAGCTGGGACTACAGGCAGGCGACACGACGCCCAGCTAATTTTTTTCTTTTAGTAGAGACAAGGTTTCACCATGTTGGCCAGGGTGGTCTCCATATCTTGACCTCGTGATCCGCCTGCCTCGGCCTCCCAACAGACTTTAAATTCGAGCTTCAGAAAGTTTGCCATTTACCCAGGATCCTAACTTGTAATGACTTAAACAGCAAAGAAGGCTCTTGCCCCTCAGCCCACCCAAGTGTATACCAAAGTCAAGTGACTTAACTTTGAGCACATTACCAATCTCAAAATTAAATCCCTAAACATTTTCACCAGTTTTAAGCGTACCCACACATCACTAGAGAATTTCATGACAAAACACCAAGTATGCTACCATGCAACGAAACCTTTATTAACATTTTGAACAGGTTCAGCTATTACTGAAACTTGTAATTTCTAAACTTAAGTTGGGGCAAATGGCTATAGTGCAGAGTAATGCCATCACTGGGCACTGCGAATGCCATGACTGAAGAATTAACAGCCACCCCTCAGGCGCAGGACCAGGTGCAGGGTCGACTCTTTCTGGATGTTGTAGTCAGAAAGAGTGCGGCCATCTTCCAGCTGCTTGCCTGCAAAGATGAGCCTCTGCTGGTCGGGGGGGATGCCTTCTTTATCTTGGATCTTGGCCTTCACATTTTCGATGGTGTCACTGGGCTCCACCTCCAGAGTGATGGTCTTGCCGGTCAGGGTCTTCACGAAGATCTGCATACCACCTCTCAGACGCAGGACCAGGTGCAGGGTCGACTCCTTCTGGATGTTGTAGTCAGAAAGAGTGCGGCCATCTTCCAGCTGCTTGCCTGCAAAGATGAGCCTCTGCTGGTCGGGAGGGATGCCTTCTTTATCCTGGATCTTGGCCTTCACATTTTCGATGGTGTCACTGGGCTCCACTTCCAGGGTGATGGTCTTGCCGGTCAGGGTCTTCACGAAGATCTGCATACCACCTCTCAGACGCAGGACCAGGTGCAGGGTCGACTCCTTCTGGATGTTGTAGTCAGAAAGAGTACGGCCATCTTCCAGCTGCTTGCCTGCAAAGATGAGCCTCTGCTGGTCGGGGGGAATGCCTTCCTTATCCTGGATCTTGGCCTTCACATTTTCGATGGTGTCACTGGGCTCCACCTCAAGGGTGATGGTCTTGCCGGTAAGGGTTTTCACGAAGATCTGCATTTTGACCTAGTTTAAAAGTAAAACATAAGCGTGTCACCTCAGGATCATTGTATTTCTTGCTTTTACACCTAATATTCTTCAAAATTAGCAACTATTCCTTCAAAATGCCTTAAATACGTTAATATTCCGCAAGCCTCCCCTCAATTTTACAAGGCTAAGTCACTTAATACGAAATTCGTCATTCAAGGTTTCAACGTCAACAGCGGAAAATCCAGAGCGCTCTCTTACCAAGCGTCCACAGCTTTCCCCACTAACTGTTCCGGATATTCAAACTCCCCCGACCGAACTCCAATCTGCCTCAAACCTAAGCACGGTGTTAGGCAAACTGAAAACAAAACCAAACCCACAAGACTCGCGAAATAAAAATCCCATTGAAACACAAGAAGGGGCACCTTTCTCACACTGGGATTCCAAAGTAAAGGCTTCCAGAAACCACACAAACTACCTCTTTTCCGCCTTCCCCGCGAAGTAAACTCGACAGAATCGCCGATCGGTTAGGCGTCCGTTAGTTTCCGTCAACGCGCGCGCGCGCCAACCGCCCTCGCCCCCCTCAGGTCAACAAGGCCCACTGTCCCGGAAAGGCCCAGCGCCGCGTCACCTCGCCCTCCCCTCCCCCACGCCCTCCCCTCAGCGGCCCACCCAACCCCAAGAAGCCTCCACCTTGACCTCACCCATTCCCCCCTCTCACACCCCCCCAAGGTCGTTACGGCTGCGGGCCAGTACCTGTTAGCGGATACCAGGATCCTGCCAATCACCAACCACGTCCACCCACAGGGACACAAACAAGCTCACCCAACAAAGCCAACCGCCCCTAAATGCTCCGGGCTGGCGGAGCGCAAATTTATGCAACGAGTGTTGCGTCACTTATCACCCCTCACGTAGACGCCGTCTCCGTGCGCCGCTGAAAGTAGTTCGCCGCGCCCAACCTCCCGAGAGGCAGTTTAGGCTTTTCAACTGAGCCCCAAATTCCTCATAGCCGTAAGAAAGGCTCCTAAAAAATTATTTCCCTTCTCCTCTATGCGCTTCTCTTCCTTCTTTAGGAAAATATAAGAAAATTATCAGGCGGATGAATTTGAGTTGAAGAAACCTTCCTCGAAAGCTCTGGAAACTTCCTTGCAGCGCCGGCACTGATTGGTTAGGCCTGCGAAGGCGAGGTCGGCGCTGATTGGTGGGGGACGCGGTGGCTCTGTTGTTGCTGGGCTCCACCTGGGGTGGCTTAGCGCCGAGGTTGCTAAGTAACTGAGCGCGCGTGCGCCGCACAGGCGCGCCGTCCTGAAAGAGGGTATTTCCGGCGGGAGAAGGAGGGGGGGTCTTTCCTTTTTTTTCTTGAGACGGAGTTTCGCTCTTGTTTCCCAGGCTGGAGTGCAATGGCGCGATCTCGGCTCATCGCAACCTCCGCCTCCCGGGTTCAAGCGATTCTCCTGCCTCAGCCTCCCAAGTAGCTGGGATTACAGGCATGCGCCACCACGTCCGGCTAATTTTTTGTATTTTTAGTAGAGACGGGGGTTTCACCATGTTTGTCAGGCTGGTCTCGAACTCCTGACCTCAGGTAATCCACCCGCCTCGGCCTGCCAAAGTGGGCCGCCGCGCCTCAGAAGCGGGACGGCGTGGCACCCGATATCGAGACACCTGATGGTGATTGTGAAGCACAATTCCCTCTCCCATGTTTTAAAAACGCGCGCCCCTGGCCGGGCGCGGAGGCTCACGCCTGTAATCCCAGCACTTTGGGAGGCCGAGGCGGGTGGATCATGAGGTCAGGGGTTCAAGACCAGCCTGGCCAAGGTGGTGAAACCCCGTCTCTACTAAAAATACAAAAAAATTAGCCGGGCGTGGTGGCGGGCGCCTGTAATCCCAGCTACTTGGGAGGCTGAGGCAGATAATTGCTTGAACCTAGGAGGCAGAGATTGCAGTGGGCCGAGAATGTGCCACTGCATTCCAGTCTGGCGACAGAGTGAGACTCTGTCTCAACAAACAGACAAACAAAAAACACGAGCCCCTCATACACTGGCCAGTTGTTTTTGCTTTTTTGTGACAAAGTCTGGCTGTGTCCCCAGGCTGGTGTGCAGTGGTGTGATCACCGTTCACTGCAGCCTTGACCTCCAGGGCTCAAGTTATCCTGCCACCTCAGCCTCCCAAGTGGCTGGGACCGTGGACCACGCCTGGCTTTTTAATTTTGTATTTATTTTTTGAGACGGAGTCTCACTCTGTCACCCAGGCTGAAGGCCAGTGGCGTGATGTGGCTCACTGCAACCTCCACCTCCCTGGTTCAAGCGATTCTCCTGCCTCAGCTTCCTGAGTAGCTGGGATTACAGGTGCGTGTCACCATGCCTGGCTAATTTTTGTATTTTTTAGTACAGATGGGGTTTCACCACGTTGGTCAGGCTGGTCTCGAACTCCTGACCTCAGGTGATCTGCCTGCCTCGGCCTCCCAAAGTGCTGGGATTACAGATGTGAGCCACTGTTCCTGGTCTAATTTTTTTTTGTTGTTAGATCAGAGTCTTGCTATGTTACCCAGGCTGTTACTGAACTCTTGGGCTCAGGAGATCCGCCTGCCTCGGGCTCCCAAAGTGCTAGGATTACAGGCATGAACCACCGTGCCTGGCGGACTAGCCGCTTTTTATTTTTCTTCGTGGTTATTGCAGGGTTGTGGAGCTTTAAATCATGCTTCTGTAGTCAGAGTGCTCTTAGTTGCATTGTCTTAATCCTCATCACGGCCCGAGAACAGTCTGTAAATCGGGAGTTCAGAGTGGGACCCTCTGCGGGGACCGGAAACCTGTTGCTGAAGCCGCTCACCACCAGGCCCAGAGAGGCGAGGCTGGAGCCCATGGTGACAGTGGCCGGGCTTCGCTCTGGCTCCAGCAATACCTGCAAATCCAGTTCTTCCCAGCTGTTTCTCCAAACTGGTAGGAAAAAAAAAAGTGCAGATTAGGGAGCCGAAACCCCACTTCAAAAACGGGAATTCACCTACAAGAAAGTAGCTGATCCTGCTCCCATTGACGTGCTTGTTGTGCAAGGGTGAGGTTAACCAGCTAGGACCAAGCAACGGGTTTCCCTACACCCTGGGTGTGGCCACTCGTCCTGCAAGGAGATAACCCAAGGAAGGTGAGTAAGGCAGATGTGTTTGGATCCTGGTGCCTGGCACAGTCACGGGGGTGGGGTGGAAGTAAACATGAAATTGGCTGTTTTTCACGTGATACCAACCTTCATAATGTAAGAAGTAGTCTAGAAATGTGTGTATTAATACAATTAAGTAAACATCTCTTAGAAAGGTCGCTAATTACTAAATTTCAACATACCTGAGCATAACGTTGAGAAGCTATGTCGACAAATGAGCTGGTATATGAGTTAACACCTAGACAGCTTTCAGTTAAATTAACTAAAACCGGGATCTACTGTCTACTGATGTGAATAAGCAGGAGATAGAAATAAACAGTTTAAGATAATTTTGGAAGTGATTTTGAACGACTTGGGAGGTAGTTTATAAAACGTTTATTTTATTATATAAAGTATGGATTTTCGTTTTTGTTAGCCTAACAGTGATTCTGAATTTGTTTCACCAACCAGCAGCTCCTCCTGAATCATACATGTTGATCGCAGATTGAGCTAGAAGGCAGATCTCATGACTGGTATAATGACTTCACTGGGAAGTTCTAGCAGTTGCCAGAACTGTAAGTTAGTTATACAGGCTCCTGGTTCAATGTTTTCCCGAAGTAGGTCATTTGGTAACCTAAGATTAGGAATTTGGTAATCTGGCACAATACTTGGCACTGTGCTCAATAAATGTTTGTTCAGTGACTAAAATGCAATCTTCTCTTTTGTTCAACTGGAGAAAAGAAACTTTGTGACAGCCTTAAAACACAAAGCAAAAACACAGTAGAGTACTGTATTTCATCTCCATAGGCAAATGCTATTTGCCTTGGCAGTTCCTTCAAAAGAAACAAAGGGGGATTGATTCTGAGATTCTAAGTGATTTTACTTGGCTAGATGCCTTTTAATAAAAATCTGTGAGAAAACTATAGTTCCAATTAAAAGTTCACAGTTGTTTTCTTGACATTATTTGGTGATATTTAAAGTGTGGAATTAGTCTCTGATTTGTCAATTCCTTTATATTTCACATTTGGCTATTTATTTCAATACAATTACATAATGAACTCCTAATTTATTACAAGCAAGTTAGAAACTTTGATATTGAATGCCCAAAGGAACACAGAGCAAAATCTGTACTGTTTTCATGTTAGGCCTCAAAAGTACAGAAATCTATCCATTAAAAAATAGCTAATTTGGGCAGATTGCAGTGGCTCACGCCTGTAATCCCAGCACTTTGGGAGGGTGAGGCAGATGGATCTCTTGAGCCCAGGAGTTCAAGACCAGCCTGGCCAACATGGCAAAACCTCATCTCTACTAAAAATACAAAAATTAGCCGGGTGTGGTGACGCACACCTGTGTTCCCAACTATTTGGGAGGCTGAGGCATGAGAATCCCTTGAACCCAGGAGGTGGAGGTTGCAGTGAGCTGAGATCACGCCACTGCGCTCCAGCCTGGGCAACAGAGTGAGACTCCATCTCAAATACAAACATACAAAAAATAGCTACTTTAAATGTTTTTAACATTTTTATTTATTTATTTATTATCTATTTTAGAGTATCTATTGCCCAGGCTGGAGTGCAGTGGTGCAATCATAGCTTACTTCAGCCTCCAACTCCTGGGCTCAAGCGATCCTCCTGTGTCAGCCTTCCAAGTAGGTGGGATTACACACACAAGTTGCTCTGCCTGGCTACAATATTTTTATCATGAAATATTACATAAATACATGAAAGATGGAGGTAATATAGCAAATACCATATAATCCCTGATTTGCTTAAGCACTTAAAAACCTTTATTTTTGGCCGGGCACAGTGGCTCAGCCTGTAATCTCAGCACTTTGGGAGGCCAGATCACCTGAGGACAGGAGGTGGATCACCTGAGGTCAGGGGTTCGAAACCAGCCTGGCCAACATGGCGAAACCCTGTCTCTACTAAAATACAAAATTAGCCAGGCATGGTGGTGCATGCCTGTAATCCCAGCTACTTGGGAAGCTGTGATAGGAGAATCGCTTGAACCCGGGAGGCGGAGGTTGCAGTGAGCCAAGATCGTGTCATTGCACTCCAGCCTGGGCAACAAGAGTGAGACTCCGTCTCAAAAACAAAAAACAAAAAACAAAAAACTTTATTTATTTATTTATTTATTTATTTTTTTGAGACAGAGTCTCGCTCTTTCACTCAGGTTGGAGTGCAGTGGCGCGATCTCGGCTCACTGCAAGCTCCGCCTCCTGGGTTCACACCATTCTCCTGCCTCAGCCTCCGGAGTAGCTGGGACTACAGGCGCCTGCCACCAGGCCCGGCTAATTTTTTTGTGTTTTTTTAGTAGAGACGGGGTTTCACTGTGTTAGCCAGGATGGTCTCGATCTCCTGACCTCGTGATCCACCTGCCTCGGCCTCCCAAAGTGCTGGGATTACAGGCGTGAACCACCGCGCCCAGCCATGTGCAACAGATCTCTGGCACTTTTTCATCTTGTAAAACTGAAGCTCTGTCCATACTGAACAATAACTCCCTTTTCCCCCTCCTCCCAACCCTGGCATCCACCATTCTACTTTTTGTCTCTCTGAGTTTCACCACTTTAATGCCTCATGTAAGTGGAATTGTACAATATTTGTCTTTTTGTTACTGGCTTATTTATTTAATTATTTATTTTTGAGACAGGGCCTTGCTTTGTTACCTAGGCTGGAGTGCGGTGGTGCGAACGAGGCTGTAGTGACAGCCTCGACCTCCCAGGCTCAAGTGATCCTCCTGCCTCAGCCCCACAGGTAGCTGGGGCTATAGGCACACATCACCATACCAGGCTAATTTTTTTGTATTTTTTGTAGAGATGAGGTTTCACCATGTTGCCCAGGCTGGTCTCAAACTCCTGAGTTCAAGCGATTTCCAACCTCGGCCTCCCAAAGTGCTGGGATTGCAGATATGAGCCACCATGCCTGGACTGGCTTATTTCATTTAGCATAATGTCCTCAAGGTTCATCCGTGTTTTAGCATGTGACAGAATTTCCTTCTTTTTTTTTTTTTTTTTGAGACGGAGTCTCGCTCTGTCGCCCAGGCTGGACTGAAGTGGTGTGATCTCAGCTCACTGAAACCTCTGCCTACGGGATTCAAGCGATTCTCCTGCCTCAGCCTCCTGAGTAGCTCGACTGCAGGCACCCGCCACCATGCCTGGCTAATTTTTTTTTTTTTTTTGTATTTTTAGTGGAGACGGGGTTTCACCATATTGGTCAGGCTAATCTCAAACTCCTGACCTTGTGATTTGCCCGCCCTGGCCTCCCAAAATTCTAGGATTACAGGCGTGAGCCACCGTGCCCAGCCTGATTTACTCATTTTTAACCTTTGGTTTCCTTATCTGTAAAGAAAAAAATGTGGACTAGATGTCATCCTACCTTGTCAAATTAAGGTGAGTCTTAAATCTTTGCCTTTTTGCCTAGTTTCCATTGCTCTTTTCAGAGCTGCCCTTTGGGATACTGAGATTTTATTTTTTCCTATACTTTTCTAGGGAATTCTCAAGCCTAGTCAACAAACCAAGAAACTGAGGCTTGCTGTAGCAATTTCCCAAGCTGTCAGAAAGTTATGTTACGGCTGGGCATGGTGGCTCACACTTGTAATCCCAGCATTTTGGGAGGCTGAGGCAGGTGAATTCCTTGAGCTCAGGAGTTTGAGACTAGTCTGGGCAACATGGCGAAACCCCATCTCTACAAAAATACAAAACAGTTAGCTGGGTGTGGTGGCATGCACCTGTAGTCCTAGCTACCTGGGATGCTGAGGTGGGAGGACTGCTTGAGCCCAGGAGGTGGAGGTTGCAGTCAGCCAAAATAGGACATTTAAACATAGATTAGATCAGGCATGGTGGTTCACACCTGTAATCCCAGCACTTTGGGAGGCCAAGGTGGGCAGATCACTTGATGCCAGGAGTTGAGACCAACCTGGCCAGCATGGTGAAACCTAGTCTTTACTAAAAGTACAAAAAATTAGCCGGGTGTGGTGGCGGGTGCCTGTAATCCCAGCTACTTGTGAGGCTGAGGCAGGAGAATCTCTTGAACCCGGAAGGTGGAGGTTTCAGTGAGCCAAGATTATGCCACTGCGCTCCGACCTGGGTGACAGAGCGAGACGCATTAGATTTATGGCCAGCTGTGTTGCATTTAAACATAGATTACACTTATGGGACCATATATATATACACGTGTATATATATACGTGTATATACACGTGTATATATATATACGTGTATATACACGTGTATATATATATACATGCATATATATATAAAACAATCTCTGATACATAGAGAAATTTGTTTATCTCACATTTGAAATGCAGTGATTATACATATTAAATCAGCCTTTATGTTATGTTCTCATTGATGTGTATATACTACAACGCTTTTACAACCATTATCGTAAATTCCTCCAGCCAGCTATTCCTGGGCACTGTATGCTCTTGAAGTTTGAATCCTGAGCCAAGAGAAAGATATTAGGTCATTCATCCAGTCAGCAGACATTTGTTGAGCAAGTTCTGGGTGTGAGAGGCATTTGGATTGCTGACTGAGACAGGATATGGACTCCGCCCAAGAGAACCATGGTCTTAGTGCCCATAAGGGGGTCACTGTGAGGACTAAGAGTATCCACCTTAAGGAGGTGTTGGAGAATTCAATGAGTTAATTCATGTCGAGAGTTTATTTATTTATTTATTTATTTATTTTTATTTTTGAGATACAGTCTCATTCTGACTTGCCCAGGCTGGAGGGCAGTGGCACAATCTCAGCTCACTGCAGCCTCCGCCTCACGGGTTCAAGTGATTCTCCTGTCTCAGCCTCCTGAGTGGCTGGGATTACAGGCATGCACCACCACACCTGGCTGATTTTTGTATTTTTAGTAGAGACAGGGTTTCACCATATTGGCCAGGCTGGTCTCAAACTCCTGACCTCGGGTGATCTGCCTGCCTCAACCTCCCAAAGTGCTAGGATTACAGGTGTGAGCCACTTGGCCAAGTTTTTGAGGATTAAATGGACCTGCCTCATATGGTTGCATTAATACGGCTAAAGTACTTAGAACAGATACTGGACATTGAAAGCACTCAATAAATATTAGCTGTGTAAAAAGCTAACTGATTGCTGACTGAGACAGACCAATCAGAGGCACATACAGACTTCTGTGGAGGCACAGAGGAGGAAGAAGCCATTTAGCTGTCTGGAGTAGGGCCGGAGGGGAACCAGAACATTTCAGAGAAGGCGTTATTTAGAAACCCAGTCACAAGGCAGGAGGGAATAGGTGAAAGATGAGAAAGCATAGAGTATTGAGGAAATAATGGGGAGCAATTTACAGCTGGAATTTAGGGCGGCTGCTTGTGGGCCTGTGGTTTTCCACGGAAGAAGCAGCCAGGGCTCAACTCTCCAGCAGCCTCGTCATCTCCAGCCATCCTGGCCATCTGTAGTTCTTAGGAAACACCAGGTTTTTTCCCACTTGTGGACCTTTGCAACCGATGTTTCCTTTGCCTAGAACTCTTCTCATGGCCATTTCTGTTTCATGTTTTAGGCAGAATAAATGTTACCACCTCAGAAAGACCTTCTGTGACATCCGCCTCTGCTCCTGACTCAGTCACAACACCTGGGTTATTTCTTTCTCAACAATTTCGTATTGGGCTGGGTGCCAGTGGCTCGTGCCTGTAATCCCAGCACTTTGGGAGGCCGAGGCGGCCAACCCGGCCAACATGGTGAAACCCTATGTCTATTAAAAATACAAAAATTAGCTAGGTGTGGTGGTGGACCCCGTCTCTACTAAAAATGTAAAAATTAGCTGAGCGTGGTAGTGGGCACCTGTAATTTCAGCTACTTGGGAGGCTGAGGCAGGATAATCATTTGAACCCGGGAGGCAGAAGTTGCAGTGAGCCAAGATAACACCACTGCCCTCCAGCCTGAGTGACAGAGCAAGACTCTGTCTCAAAAAAAAGAACAGGCTGGGCGCGGTGGCTCACGCCTGTAATCCCAGCACTTTGGGAGGCCGAGGCGGGCGGATCACGAGGTCAGGAGATCGAGACCATCCTGACTAACATGGTGAAACCCCGTCTCTACTAAAAATACAGAAAAATACTAAAAATACAGGGAGTGGTGGCAGGCGCCTGTAGTCCCAGCTACTCGGGAGGGTGAGGCAGGAGAACAGGGTGAACCCGGGAGGCGGAACTTGCAGTGAGCTGAGATCGCGCCACTGCCCTCCAGCCTGGGTGACAGAGCGAGACTCCATCACAAAAAAAAAAAAAACAATTTTGTATTTGTCCAATCCGTAACTTTACTGCTTGATTGGTTGCGTATCTCTTTGTTTTCCCCCAAGTAGAATGTAAACTCCACGAGGGTACAGGCCTTGTCTATCTAGTTTATCACCATATCTCCACACATAGCCAGCTGGCATAGTGCCTTCTACATAATCAGCACTTAGTAAATATTTATTTTTAATTAATCTTTTTTTTTTTTTGAGACAAGGTCTCACTCTTTCACCCAGGCTGGAGTGCAGTGGCACAATCACTGCAGCTTCAACCTCTCAGGCTCAAGGGATCCACCCTCAGCCTCCCAAGTAGCTGGGACTACAGACACACACCACCATGCTCAGCTAATTTTTCATATATATATATATATATTTGTAGAGATAGAGTTTTGTCAAATTGCCCAGGCGGGTCTTGAACTGCTGGACTCAAGTGATCCACCCGCCTTGGCTTCCCAAAGTGTTAGGATTATAGACATGAGCCACCGTGCCCAGCCAGTAAATATTTATTGAACGAATGAACGACAAATGAAGGGCCCGCCTTGCTATATTAAGAACTTAAGACTTCTTCCTGTGTACTGCATGGGAATGACATGATCAGATTTCTATTTTAGAATGATAACTTGGTGACATCATAGCAGATGATTAGAAGGAAGATTAGATTACAGCATGTCAGAGATTGTGGCATTTGTCCAAGCAGGATATGATGAGCATCTGTAAGTAGGCTAAGTGTACAAAAGCCAGTATCCCTAAAGAAAGCAGGAGGAAGGAACTGATAAAGTCAAATAAAAACAGAGCATTGTTTACTTGTGTTTATTTATTATTTGTTTATTTATATTTTTTTTTGAGACAGAGTCTCACTCTATAGCTCAGGCTGGAGTGCAGTGGGGAGATCTCGGCTCACTACAACCTCTGCCTCCCGGGTTCAAGTGATTCTCCTGCCTCAGCCTCCCGAGTAGCTGGGATTACAGGCACGTACCACCACACCCGGCTAATTTTTTTTATTTTTAGTAGAGATGGGGTTTCACCATGTTGGCCAGGCTGGTCTTGAACTCCTGACCTCAAGTGATCCACCCGCCTTGGCCTCCCAAAGTGTTGGGATTACAGACATGAGCCACCGCGCCTGGCCTTGTTTACTTGTATTTAGTTCTTGTTCTAGAAGAGATCCAAGATAACTTAATTAAATATATATATATAACAAAATAAAATAAAGATAAGTGGACGAGGAACATATACAAAGGGAGAGGAAAAGAGAAAATGCAGTTAGGAATGAGATTAGTATACAAAATGCTGGTTTTGAAGTTTTTCCTTTGCTAGAGGTAGGCCATAGATTTAGGAGGGTTTTGGGGGAGGTTTTTGGTTTTTTCCCCCAGCCAGTGCAAAGAGAGGGGCACATAATAAGTTCATGTGATTAAAAAATGAATTGTAGGCTGGGTGTGGTGGCTCACACCTGTAATCCTAGCACTTTGGGAGGCCGAGGCAGCCAGATTGCTTGAAGTCAGGAGTTTGAGATCAGCCTGGCCAACATGGTGAAGCCCTGTCTCTACTAAAAATACAAAAATTAGCCCAGCATGATGGTGCTCACCTGTAGTCCCAGCTACTCGGGAGGCTGAGGCAAGAGAATCGCTTGAACCTGGGAGGTGGAAATTGCAGTGAGCTGAGATCTCACCACTGCACTTCAGCCTGGGTGACAGAGCAAGACTCTATCTTAAATAATAATAATAATAATAATTATAGACGGGTGCAGTGGCTCACGCCTCTAATCCCAGCACTTTGGGAGGCCAAGGCGGGCAGATCACGAGGTCAGGAGATCGAGACCATCCTGTCCAACATGGTGAAATACCGTCTCTACTGAAAATACAAAAATTAGCTGGGCGTGGTGGCATGCACCTGTAGTTCCAGCTACTCGAGAGGCTGAGGCAGGAGAATCGCTTGAACCCGGGAGGCAGAGGTTGCAGTGAGCTGAGATCATGCCATTGTACTCCAGCCTGGTGACAGAGCGAGACTCTGTCTCAAAAAAATAATAATAAAAAAATAAAATAAAATAAAAAAAGAATTGTAGTATATACAATGGAATACTACTCAGTAGTAAAAAGAAATGAACCATTGATACACATAACATAGATGAATCTCAAAATAATTATGCTGAGTGAAAGAACCCAGACCAAAAAAGGGTATAAGCTATATGATTTCATTCCATATCAAATTCTAGAAAATGCAAACTCATGAAAGAGAAAGCAGATCAGTGATCACTTGAGGATGGAGGCAAGAAGGAGTAATGAGATGGGATGGGTTATAAAAGGCAGGAAAAACTTTTAGTGGTGAGGAAAATGTTTTATCATCTTGATTATGGTGATAGTTTCACAGGTATAAGCATATATAGAAATGTATCTGTTTATATGCTGTAAATACCTGCAACTTAACTGTATACCAGTTATCCCCAATAAAGCTAGAAAAAATTTAGACAAACCTCTGGCAAAGCAGTCTTAGACATAGCTCAGGTAAATCCTCAATGAGCATGAAGGTATCTCAGTAAGTAAAAGTAAAAGACTTTCTTTTATTATTATTATTTTTTCTTTTTTTAAATTTTTTCAGACCTGGTCAACAGGAAGTAATTTTTTTTTTTTTATGGTGTCTCACTCTGCTGCCCAGGCTGGAGTACAGTGGCGCCATCTCAGCTCACTGCAACCTCCGCCTCTGGGGTTCAAGCGATTCTTCTGCCTCAGCCTCCTGAGTAGCTGGGACTACAGGTGCATGCCAACACGCCTGGCTAATTTTTGTATTTTTAGTAGAGATGGGTGTGTTAATCAGGGTTCTCCTAGAGGGACAGAACTAATAGGATATATATGTAGACACACACATAATGGGGTTATATATGTGTGTGTGTATATATATACATATACACACATAATGGAGAGTTTATTAACTATTAACTTACATGATCACGAGGTCCCACAATAGGCTGTCTGCAAGCTGAGGAGCAAGGAGAGCCAGTCCCAGTCCCAAAACTGAGGAACTTGGAGTCTGATGTTCAAGGGCAGGAAACATCTAGCACAGGAGAAAGTTGTAGGCTGGGGCCAGGGTTGATGATCACACCTGTAATCCTAACACTTTGGGAGGCTGAGGTGGGCAGATCACCTGAGATCAGAAGTTCAAGACCAGCCTGGCCAAAATGGGGAAATCCCACCTCTACTAAAAATATAAAAAATAGCCAGGTGTCATGGGGGGCACCTGTAATCCCAGCTACTCAGGAGGCTGAGGCAGGAGAATTGCTTGAACCTGAGAGGCAGAGGTTGCAGTGAGCTGACATTGAGCCACTGCACTCCAGCCCAGGCGACAGAGTGAGACTGTCTCAAAAATAAAAAAGAAAGATGTAGCCTGGGAGGCCAGGCCCATCTCTCCTTTTCATGTTTTCCTGCCTGCTTTATATTCACTGGCAGCTGATTAGATCATGCCCACCAGATTAAGGGTGGATCTGCCTTCTCCAGCCCACTGACTCAAATGTTAATCTCTTTTGGCAATACCCTCACAGACAAACCCAGGATCAATACTTTGTATCCTTCAATCCAATCAAGTTGACACTCAGTATTAACCATCACAATGGGGTTTCACCATGTTGGCCAGGCTGGTCTTGAACTCCTGACCTCAGATGATCCACCCACCTCGGCCTCCCAAAGTGGGGGGATTTCAGGTGTGAGCCACCTCGCCCAGCCTAGGAAATAATTTTTTGTTGTTGTTGTTGAGATGAAGTTTTGCTCTTGTTGCCCAGGCTGGAGTGCTGTGGCGCAATCTCAGCTCACCACAACCTCCGCCTCTTGGGTTCAAGTGATTCTCCTGCCTCAGCCCCTGAGTAGCTGGGATTACAGGCATGCACCACCACGCCCAGCTAATTTTGTATTTTCAGTAGAGACGAGGTTTTTCCATGTTGGCTAGGCTGGTCTCGAACTCCCAACTTCAGGTGATCCACCTGCCTTGGCCTCCCAAAGTGCTGGGATTACAGGCGTGAGCCACCACATCTGGCCGACTTTTTTTTTTTTTTTTTTTTTTTTTAAGACAAGATCTCACTGAGTCACCTAGGCTGGAGTGCAGTGGTACATTCATAGTTCACTGCAACCTTGAACTTCAGGGTTCAAGCATTTCCCACCTCACCCTCCCAAGTAGCTAGGACGCAAGGATAAGCCATCTTGCCTGACTAATTTTTTTTTTTTTTTTAAGTAGAGATGAGGTATCTTCCTATGTTGTTCAGACTAGTCTCAAACTCCTGGTGTCAAGTGATCCTTTTGCCTTGGCCTACTAAGGTGTTGGGATTATAGCCATAAGCCACTGTGTCCGGCCTGTTTTAAAAATAGAAATTGACAAGCTGTTCCTAAAATTTATATGTAAATGGAAAGGACCTGGAATAGCCAAACTATTATTTTAAAAAGGTAAGGCTGGGCACGGTGGCTCACGCCTATAATCCCAGTACTTTGGGAGGCAGAGGAGGGTGGGTCACCTGAGGTCAGGAGTTCAAGACCAGCCTGGCCAACATGTGAAACCCTCTCTACTAAAAACAAAAAAATCAGCCTGGTGTGGTGGCACATGCCTGTAATCCCAGCTACTCAGGAGGCTGAGGCAGGAGAATCTCTTGAACCTAGGATCCGGAGGTTGCAGTGAGATGAGATGGCGCCACTGCACTCCAGCCTGGGTGACAGAGTGAGACTCTCCCTCAAAATATATAAATAAATAAATTAAATTAAATAAACCCATGACAAGATGCCATTTCACAACCTCCATATGGGAAAAAAAAAAAATTAAAGCCAGGTGTGGTGGCTCACACCAGTAATTCCAACATTTTAAGAGGCTTAGGTGGAAGAATCACTTGAGGCTGAGAGTTTAACAGCCTGGGCAACATAGTGAGGTCCCCATTTCCAGAAAAAAAAAACCCAATAAAATTAAAAATTCAGACAATGTCAAGTGTTGGGTAGGATGTAGAGCAATAGGAACTCTCTCCCACTGCTGGCAAGACTGTAAACTGGTATAACCCCTTTAGAAACAAAATTGAATGTGCACATATCCTAGATGCAGCAATCCAACTGCAGTTATTATAAAAGAAAAATTGTCCTAAACCTGGCTTGGGGTGGAATATTTTTGGGTAATGTAATTCATAACCTCCTCAAGGAAGACAGTAGTATTCCTAATAAAATATTTGGGCCAGGAATGTTGTCTGATGCCTGTAATCCCAGCGCTCTGGAAAGCCAAGTTGGGAGGATCACTTGAGGCTAGGAGTTTGAGACCAGTCTGGACAACATAGCAAGACCCTCCATCTCCACAAAACTTAAAAAAAATTACTTCATGTGGTGGCATGCACCTGTAGTCTTAACTATTTGGTGGCTGAGGCAGGCGGATCCTTGAGCCCAGGAGTCAAGGCTACAGTGAGCTATGATCATACCACTGCTCTCCAACCTGGGTGACAGAAGGAGATTCTGTCTCCCACCCTGCCCCACAACAAAAAATTTAAGCAATTTTTTTTTTTTTTTTGAGATGGAGTCTCACTCTGTTGCCTAGGCTGGAGTGCAGTGGTGCCATCTCAGCTTACTGCAACCTCTGCCTCCCGGGTTTAAGCGATTATCCTAGCTGGGACTACAGGTGCGCACCACCACGCACAGCTAATTTTTGTATTTTTAGCAGAGACAGGGTTTCACCGTGTTGGTCAGGCTGGTATCAAACTCCTGACCTCGTGATCCGCCCGCCTTGGCCTCCCAAAGTGCTAGGATTACAGGTGTGAACAACTGCGCCTGGCCTGAAGCAATTTTTTGATAGTTTCTAATCGAATTAAGACCTCTCCTGAGAAGCTAGATACCCACTCATGAAGATGATTATCAGCTGTCAGTCAAGAGTCTAAAGATCTTTAATTAGGCATTTCTTTTGTATACAGTCTAAACAGTGATTATGTAGTCATTTTCCCCCATTGTTTCTACCAAGAGAGAAATCTTTGACTTAGTCTGTCAGAGGCCTTTGTTCTTGTAGCAAGACTATAGTGAAACTTTGTCACATGTTCATAATCAAATTGCCTGAAAGTATTTTTATTTTTAAATGTTTTCTACTATTTATTTTTTGAAGCAGGGTCTTGCTCTGTCGCCCAGGCTGGAGTGCACTGGCATGATCATAGCTCACTGCAGCCTTGCCTTCCCAGGCTCAAGTGATCCTCCCTCCTCTGCTTCCCAAATAGCTGGGACCAACAGGCATGCACCACCACACCCAGCTAATTTATTATTTTTTTTTTGTTGCAACAGAAGTCTCACTATGTTGCCTAGGCTGGTGTTGAATTCCTGGACTTAAGTGATCCTCCTGTCTCGGCCTCCCAAAGTGTTGAGATTACAGGCGCGAACCACTGTGCCTGGCTGAAAAGATTTTTAAACACCTCATACCCTAGAGAATCTCTTGCGCATGTGTGCCAGGAGAGATGAACAAGAATGTTTATATCGGCATTATTCAGAATAGCAATAACTGTAAACATATATTCTATCAACAGAAAAATGGACAATTGTAGAAGGTTCATCCTGTGCAACAATGAATACATATCAACTCTAGGATACACATCAATATGCATGAATCACAAAAGAAAAGTCTCAGAAGAATGCATGCATTATTTGTTAGCTTATTATAATGAGTTCAAAAACAGATGAGACGGCAGGGCGTGGTGGTTCACACCTGTAATCCCAGCACTTTGGGAGGCCGAGGCAGACCAGTCACCTGAGGTCAGGAGATTGGTCAGTTCAAGACCAGCCTGGCCAACCTGGTGAAACCCTATCCCTACCAAAAATAAAAAAATTAGCTGGGCGTGGTGGCATGAGCCTGTAGTCCCAGCTAGTCAGGAGGTTGTGGCAGGAGAATTGCTTGAACACGGGAGGCGGAGGTTGCAGTGGGCAGAGATCACACCACTGTACTCCAGCTTGGGAGACAGAGTGAGACTCCGTCTCAATAAATAAATAAATAAATAAATAAATAAATAAATAAATTAAATTAAATAAAAGTAGCCAGGCATGGTGGCACATGCCTGTAATCCCAGGCTCTCGGGAGGCTGAGGCAGGAGAATCACTTGAATCCAGGAGGCGGAGGTTGCAGTGAGGCAAGATCGCACCACTGCACTCCAGCCTGGGTGACAGAGTGAAACCCTGTCTCAAAAAACCCCCCAAGAAACCAGATGAGACTAAATGTTATTTAGATATATGTACTTATATGTGATAAAGATGAGCACAAAAGTCAGAAGGGTGGTTACCTCTTGAGGAGCGGTGAGGGGATGATGGGGCACATCAGAGAAATTGATAAAGCTCCATTTCTTGTCATAGTTGGACATTCTTCTTATTATTTGAATTCTACATGTACGTGATATACATGAGTATAGCAATAAAGAGTTAAAATCACTCTTGCTGCCCTGAGGATGTAGTTTGGGAGGTGGTGGGGGGAGACTCTGGTGAGTTCAGTGGATGTGGGAAGAAGTTCAGGACATCTGAGGTCATTATCCATCCTTTTGTTTTGAGCTCTACCACTTGCTAGCTGTGTGACCCTGAGTGAGTTACTTACACTCACCCTCAATTTTCTCAGCAGAAAAATGTGGACAATAAAAGTGCTTGCCTTTTTGTGAAGGCTGTTAGACAAAGTTTGCAAAGTTCATCTCAGCACAGTGCCTGGTGCTTAGTAAACACTCAGGACTACCACATAGGGCTGCACAGGAAGAAGGGATTTTTGTTTTCTAATTCACTCAGAGGCATTGACAAAGATTCTTTGCTTGGACAAACTTCAGTCAGGCTTCTGAACCTTCTCCAGAGGCCCATCTGTGCACTTCCTTATAAATCCAGTTTTAGCAAAAGAACTCTTCTAAGTGATTTTAGCCAGAACCCTGTATCTTGATATCTGATCATCTTCAATATCTGATTAGGTTTCTCATCCCCCATCATCCTCCAGCTGATGTTGGGTCACCTTGGCCTGTCTTCAGCAAGAGTCCTGTTAGGTGGGTTTGGCCAGAATCCCCCTTACTCCTCTTAGTAATTTTCCATCCACTGACCTCCACCCTGCTTCTTGGCTGTAAATTCCCCCTTGCCCATGCTGTATTTAGAGTTGAGTCCAATCTCTCTCCCCTATAGCAAAATCCCATTACAGTGGTTCCTATACCCATCTTGATGGTCCCAGATAAAGTCTTGCTTACTGTCCTTTAACAAGTATTATTGAATAACTTTTAACAGCATCAGGCAGCTTTCCAAGTTCTGGGCCTAATAGGTTGTGTCTGTCCAGGAGAGGCTTCGTTTTCTTCTTGGCACAAAGGTTAGTGGTGCCCCTGAAAATGCTGAGAAAAATAACATTTACCACAAGCATGCTGATAAGAGGGATATAAATATTGAGATAAATAGTACCATCAGGGAAAGAAATGAGGCCTGCCACATAAGCTGAGAAATTTGAGTGCTCCTGCTATGGTTGAGAGCCTGCCAGTCCACCCTAAACTCCGTCAAAGTCTTTCCCCACTTGTATGAGGCTGGAGTAGCTTGGCGGCCTCTCAAGCCTGAGGGTACAAAATAGTGCCCCTTAGTTAATTGCATTAACTCTTTCTCACTGCCCGGTATATATGACACATGCCTCCTGCCCCCTAGTGGCTGTTGTGGATTCTGCACACTCCCAGGAGCTAAACAAGAATTCTGTTTCTGGAGGGAGCCTTACCGGGTATAGCTCAAAACAAGCACAGACAGATCCAATCTGAAAAGCACATTTGCATATGAAGGTACCATTATTTACTCTCTTATGCTTCTGTATTTCTAGCAGCTCTGCCCGCCCCCCCCATAGGAACTTACAGAGCAGTGCTTTAGAGAAAAGCAAATCAAACACGCCATACCATTTTCAGATTCCCTTAAAATCCTATACAGATTTACCAGGATTTTTTTCCCCTTTGGAGTTGAGTGTTGCATCTGTTCTCCTTCTGTGAACACATCACATACTAGATCTGTTTCTCCTTATCCTGAGTCACCAGAGACTTCATCATGTTGGTTTTAGGGGCCTAAGATGGAGCCAAAAATGCCCACTTGAACATTTTTTTCAGGCTGGGTGTGGTGGCTCACACCTGTAATCCCAGCACTTTGGGAGGCCGAGGCAGGAGGATCACCTGAGGTCGGGAGTTCCAGACCAACCTGACCAACATGGAGAAACCCTGTCTTTACTAAAAATACAAAATTAGCTGAGTGTGGTGGTGTATGCCTGTAATCCCAGCTACTCGGGGGGCTGAGGCAGGAGAATCGCTTGAACCCAGGAGGAACAGGTTGCAGTGAGCTGAGATCGCACCATTGCACTCCAGCCTGGGCAACAGAGCGAGACTCCGACTCAAAAACAAAAATTCAGCTGGGTGCAGTGGCTTATGTCTGTAATCCTAGCGCTTTGGGAGGCCAAGGTGGGTGGATCAATTGAGCCCAGGAGCTCGAGACCAGCCTGGGCAACATGGCAAAATTCCATATTTACAAAAAAAATTAATGAGTCGTGGTAGCCTGCATCTGTGGTCCCAGCTACTTGGGGGGCTGGGGTGGGAGGATCCCCTGAGCTGGGGAGGTCGAGGCTGCAGTGAGCTGAAATCTTGCCACTGCACTCCAGCCTGGGCACCAGTGAGGCCCTGTCTCAAAAAAAATTTTTTATTTTTTAAATTGTGAAAAACACATACATACACAAAAGTTTGGGCACGGTGTCTCACACCTGTAATCCCAAAACTTTGGGAGGCTGAGGTGGGCAGATCACCTGAGGTCAGGAGTTCGAGACCAGCCTGGCCACCATACAGTGAAACCCCATCTCTACTAAAAAATACAAAAATTAGCTGGGTGTGGTGGTGCACTCCTATAGTCTCAGCTACTTGGGAATCTGAGGCAGGAGAACTGCTTGAACCTGGGAGGTGGAGGTTGCAGCGAGCCGAGATCATGCCATTGCACCCCAGCCTGTGTGACAGAACAAGACTCCATCTCTCAAAAAAAACAAAAACAAAAAACAAAAAACAAAAAAAACCCACGAAAGTTACCGTTTTAACTCTTTTTAAGTGTACAGTTCAGTGGCATTAGGTATGTTCACACTGTTGTGCTCCCATCACCACCATCCCTCTCCAGAATTTTTTTCTTCTTCCCTAACTCTATACCCATTAAAGAACTTCTGGCTGGGCGCAGTGGCTCACATCTGTAATCTCAGCACTTTGGAAGGTCAAGGCGGGTGGATCACCTGAGGTCAGGAAGTCAAGATGAGCCTGGCCAACATGGTGAAACCCCGTCTCTCCTAAAAACACAAAAAAATTAGCTGGGCATGGTGGCAGGAACCTGAAATGCCAGCTACTCAGGAGGCTGAGGCATGAGAATTGCTTGAACCTGGGAGGCAGAGGTTGCAGTGAGCCGAGACTGGGCCACTGCACTCCAGCCTGGCCTAGAGAGCAAGACTCGGTCTCAAAAAAACCAAACCAAAACAAAAAACTCCCTAATCCCCCTACGCCCAGCCCGTAGTAACCACCATCCTACTTTTTGTCTACTGATTTGACTACTCTAGGTACAAAAACGACCACTTTTGATTTTCATGAGTGGGCGTCGATATTGGGACTCTGCTGCCGTATTGTCCATCCACAATGTGCAAATGATGAGGCATTCTTTCTTTATTCATTCTGCTTGTGCTTTAAAGTCCAGGAAGAATTCTTTTTTTGTGTGGTAAAATATATGCTGTATAACATAAAATTTTAACTATATAAGTGCACAATTCAGTGGCAGTAAATATATTCACAATGTGCAGCCATCACCACTCTTTCCAGAACTTTTTCATCACCCCAAACAGAAACACATTAACAATAACTCGGGCCAGGTGCAGTGGCTCACGCCTGTAATCCCAACACTTTGGGAGGCCAAGGTGGGCGGATCACCTGAGGTCGGGAGTTCCACACCAGCCTGACAAACATGGAGAAACCCTGTCTCTATTAAAAATACAAAATTAGCCTGGTGTGGTGGCTCACGCCTGTAATCCCAGCTACTTGGGAAGCTGAGGCAGGAGAATCGCTTGAACCCAGGAGGCAAAGGTTGCAGTGAGCTGAGATCGTATCATTGCACTCCAGCCTGGGCGACAAGAGTGAAACTTCGTCTCAAAAAACAAAACAAAACAAAACAAAAAACAGTAACTCCCCACTCCCTCCTCCCTCAGCCCCTGGCAATCTCTATTCTACTTTCTGTCTTTATGAATTTGAATTCAGGAAGAATTTATTTATTTTTTTGAGATGAAGTTCCACTGTTTTTGCCCAGGCTGGAGTGCAGTGGTGCGATCTTGTCTCACTGCAGTGTCCACCTCCCGGGTTCAAACAGTTCTCCTGCCTCAGCCTCTCGAGTAGCTGGGATTACAGGCGCCCGCCACCATGCCTGGCTAATTAAATTCAGGAAGAATTTAATGTCATATATGGTAGGGAAATTTGCTCAGTTAGAATGGCTACAGAATGGGTTTTTCATTGTCTACATATGACATTTTAGTTCAGAAAACAGCATATATTGAATAAAAGTTATAAATCAGGAGTGGTGGCTTCTGGCACTTTGGAAGACTGAGGTGGGAGGATGCCTTGAGCCCAGGAGTTCAAGGCTGCAGTGAGCTGTGATCATGCCACTGCACTCTAGCCTGGGTGACAGAGTTAGACCCTGTTTCAGAAAAAAAAAAAAAATAGATGTTATGATTTAGCAAGTCTTATCAAAACCTACCCAAACTCAATGTATGTTACTAAGAGGGTATAATACAGATGATGAAAATATTTTCCAAAGGACCCAAGAAAGCATATAAGATCCTGTGATAAGTGTTTTGAGTTTATTCTGTTTCTCTAGTTATATATTTTTTCATTTATAACATATAAATGTAATTTTGTTTTATCTTTCTTCTTTATCAGGCCACCTAGACAGGAGTAATAAAAATATATATACCTATACACACATCCTGGCAAAAGTCCTAAATTCCACGGGAAAAGAGAGAGGTGCACAAGTTTTCACATTGAAGGAAGAGGCTGTTGTATAAAAGGAAAACAAAACTAGCATTAGAATTCTCCTTCCAGCCAGGCATGGTGGCTCACACCTGTAATCCCAGCACTTTGGGAGGCCAAGGTGGGAGGATCACAAGGTCAGGAGTTCGAAACCAGCCTGGCCAACATAGTGAAACCCCATCTCTACTAAAAATACAAAAATTAGCCGGGTGTGGTGGCGCATGCCTGTAGTCCCAGCTACTGGGGAGACTGAGAAAGGAGAATCGCTTGAACCCAAGAGGCGGAAGTTGTGGCGAGCCAAGATCGCGCCACTGTACTCCAGCCTGGGCAACAGAGCGAAAGTCAGTCCCAAAAATAAAAATAAAAACAAACAAACAAACAAACAAACAACTCATTTCCAGCCAGCACAGTGACTCATGCCTGTAATCCCAGCACTTTGGGAGGCTGAGGTGGGCAGACTGCTTGAGCCCAGGAGTTCGAGACCAGCCTGGCCAACATGGTGAAACCCTGTCTCTAGAAAAAATATAAAAATTAGCCGGGCATGGTGGTGCATGCCTGTGGTCCCAGCTACTTGAGAGGCTGAGGCATGAGAATCACTTGAACCAAGCTGGCGGAGGCTGTAGTGAGCTGAGATCGCACCACTGCAAAAACGAGACTCTGGAGAAAAAAAAAAAAAGGCTCAAACCTATAATCCCAGTGCTTTGGGAGGCTGAGGCAGGAGAATCACTCTAGCCCAAGAGTTCGAGACCAGCCCGAGCAAAATAATAAGATCCCTGTCTCTACAGAAATAAACAAATAAAATGAAAAAATAGCTGAGCGTGGTGGTCCCAGCTACAGGGGCTGCTGAGGTGGGAGGATCCCTTGAGCCAAAGAATTCAAGGCTGCAACGAGCCATGATCAAGCTGCTGAACAACAGCCTAGGTGACAAAGTGAGACCATGTCTCAAAAAAAATTCTGTCCCCAGACAAAATGTCATTCATCTTTTGGGGCAAAAGCAGATGATTCAAGCACTTATGTACCCAGTATCACCCATGCACCCTACCTGAGGAAAATACTTAAAAGTTCTCTAGGCTGGGCCCAGTGGCTCACACCTGTAATCCCAGCATTTTGGGAGGCCAAGGCGGGCAGATTACGAGGTGAGGAGTTCAAGACCAGCCTGGACAACACGGCAAAATCCCGTCTCTACTAAAAATACAAAAATTAGCTGGGCATGGTGGTGGGTGCTTGTAATTCCAGCTACTCGGGAGGCTGAGGCAGGAGAATCGCTTAAACCTAGGAGGTGGAGGTAGCAGTGAGCCGAGATTGTGCCACTGCACTCCAGCCTGGGCAACAAGAATGAAATTCAGTCTCAAAAAAAAAAAAATTATCTAATCAATCCCTAATCATATTTAAAAAGAGACCTCAGGCGGAGTGCGGTAGCTCACACCTGTAATCCCAGCACTTTGGAAGGCTGAGGCGGGTGGAACACTTGAGGTCAGGAGTTCGAGATGAGCCTGGCCAACATGGTGAATGCAACTACGTCTCTACTAAAAATACAAAAATTAGCTGGGTATAGTGGTGTACCCCGCTAGTCCCAGTGACTCGAGATGCTGAGGCAGGAGAATTGCTTGAACCTGGGAGGCGGAGTTTACAGTGAGCCAAGATCATGCCATTGCACTTCAGCCTGGGCGACAGAGCGAGACACCATCTCAAAAAAAATAAATAAAGTAAAATAAAATAAAAAGAGACCTCAGTATTGGGTAGATGGTGAGCACAATGCTTGTTGTGAACAATTGATCTTGTAATAAATATATCTAAATAGATAGTTCATTCAACAAATATTTTGAGTACTGGGCTCAGTTCTTGGCTCTGTGGACACAAAAGAACAACAAAAGTAATCAGCAATTCTTGGAGCTGGTCTTATGGTTATGATACCAAATAAGAAATAGAAAGTGTAAATGTTCATGAAGGAGTCTTCAAAAGAAAGTATACTTCAGAGAGGCTGGGCACTTTTCCACTTTCAGTGGGAAAGTGAGGAACTAAAAATCTCAATTTCCAAAATTTTCCTCTAGGTGAAGGTTGGGGAGTGAGTGAGTGGATAAAATATTTTGGGAAACATATTTGTTGATCAATTTGGCAACATTACTAGAGGAACACAGGTTTTATCATAACTACTAGATATGAGAAGGGAAACCACCACCATTATAGAGACAAATGATAGAATTTCCAAATCAACAGAAGGCAAAAAGGGAACACAGAAAACTTTTCCAAGTCAATATAAAGAAAAAGATAAGGGCCGGGCGTGGTGGCTCACATCTGTAATCCCAGCATTTTGAGAGGCTGAGGTGGGTGGATCATGAAGTCAGGAGCTCGAGACCAGCCTGAACAACATGGTGAAAGGCTGTCTCTACTAAAAATACAAAAATTAGCTGTGCGTGGTGGCATGCGCCTTTAATCCCAGCTACTCGGGAGGCTGAGGCAGGAGAATTGCTTGAACCCGGAAGGTGGAGGTTGCAGTGAGCCGAGATCATGCCATTGCACTCCAGCCTGGGCAACAAGAGCGAAACTCCATCTCAAAAAAAAAAAAAAAAAAAAAAAGTAGATTGAATTTTTAAAAAGTTCACCTATTAATTATTTTCATTTAAAAGTGTTGGCTGGGCATGGCGGCTCACATCTATAATCCCAGCACTTTGGGAGGCCAAGGCAGGCGGACCACTTGAGGCCAGGAGTTTGAGGCCAGGAGTTTGAGACCAGCCCGGGCAACATGGAGAAACCTCATCTCTAGTAAAAACAAAAATTAGCTGGGCATGGTGTCGGGTGCCTGTAATCCCAGCTACTCAGAGGCTGAGGCAGGAGAATAGCTTGAATCCAGGAGGCAAAGGTTGCAGTGAGCCGAGATTATGCCACTGCACTCCAGCCTGGGTGACTGAGTGAGACACCATCTCAAAAAACAAAAACAAATACAAAAACAAAAATCAAGTGATCGCTGGGCGCAGTGGCTCGTGCCTGTAATCCCAGCACTTTGGGAGCCCGAGGCGGGCAGATCATCTGAGGTTGGGGGTTTGAGACCAGCCTGACCAACATGGAGAAATCCTGTCTCTACTAAAAATACAAAATTAGGTGGGCATGGTGGCGCATGCCTGTAATCCCAGCTACTCAGGAGGCTGAGGCAGGAGAATAGCTTAAATCCGGGAGGCAGAGGTTGTGGTGAGCTGAGATCACGCCATTGCACTCCAGCCTGGGCAACAAGAGCGAAACTCCATCTCAAAACAACAACAACAATAACAACAACAACAAAAATCAAGTGATCCATTACATGTGGATCCATGTCTCAACCCTCCATTCTGTTCCAGTGATCTGCTTACCTATCCTTAGACCAGTTCCACTTTGTTTAAACTACTTAGCTTATTTCCTTAGTTCTGAAATCAGATACATCAAGTCCTCCAAATTTGTTCTTCTTCAAGATTGTTTTGGCCCTTCTAAGTCATGTGCATATCCACATAAAGTATAGAATTGGCTGTTAATTTCTACAGAAAAGCCTGATGTAATATGCTATATCAATCATATTTCTAAGAAAATCCCTCACTTCCTCCAATTTGATAGCCTTAACCTCATTCCTTTAATTTTCAGTTTTTCACTTCTAGTCTTCTGAGAGTTAGCCTAATGAATAATTTTCATCTTATTCTAGTTACTCCTTGATTTTCCAATGCCATGATTAAATCAACTCAACTTCATTCCCAGAGTCAGACTGTTCCGAGCACATGCCTTTTTTGTTTGTTTGATCGTTCTGAGATCGAGTCTCCCTCTGTCGCCCAGACTGGAGTGCAGTGGCACAATCTTGGCTCACTGCAACCTCCGCCTCCCATGTTCAAGCGATTCTCCTGTCTCAGCCTCCTGAGTAGCTGGGACTATAGGCGCGCACCATCATGCCCGACTAATTTTTTGTATGTTTTAAGTAGAGATGGGGTTTCATCATGTTGGCCAGGGTGGTCTCGAACTCTTGACTTAAAGTAATCCACCCGTCTCGGCCTCCCAAAGTGCTGGGATTACAGGCGTGAGTCACCACGCCCGGCCTCTTTTTTTTTTTTTTTTGAGATGGAGTTTTGTTTCAGGCTGGAGTGCAATCTCACTGCAACCTCCACTTCCCAGGTTCAAGCGATTCTCCTCCCTCAGCCTCCCGAGTAGCTGGGATTACAGGCGCCCACAACCATGCCCAGCTATTTTTTGTAATTTTAGTAGAGACGGGGTTTCACCATGTTGGCCAAGGTGGTCTCGAACTCCTGACCTCAGTGATCTGCCCTCCTTGGCCTCCCAAAGTGCTGGGATTACAGGCATGAGCCACTGTGCCCAGCCAGCACATGCCTTTTTAATTGCGTTCTTGAGTTTTGGGTTTGCAATAACTATTCAATTATTTTCTTCACCTCAAACCTACTTAATGATATAATGTCTTTAAAATAATAGCCTAACTTATGTTGTTGTTCTTCTTCTTCTTTTTTTTTTTTTTTTTTTTTGATACAGAGTTTTGTTCTTGTTGCCCAGGCTGGAGTGCAATGGCCGATCTCAGCTCACTGCAACCTCCACCTCCCGGGTTCAAGTGATTCTCCTGCCTCAGCCTCCTGAATAGCTGGGATTACAGGCATGTGCTACCACGCCTGGCTAATTTTGTATTTTTATTAGAGATGAGGTTTCTCCACGTTGGTCAGGCTGGTCTCAAACTCTTGACCTCAGGTGATCCGGCACCTTGGCCTCCCAAAGTGCTGGGATTACAGGCGTGAGCCACCATGCCCAGCCATGTTCTTCATTTTTAAATTGAGCTAAGTCTTACACACACTGAAGTGTTTTTATGTGTTTTACACACCTCCATAACTACCACCCAGATCAAGATAATGTAGAGAACATATCCAGTATCTTTTTTTTTCTTTGAGACGGAGTCTTACTCTGTTGCCCAGGTTGGAGTGCAATGGTGCAACCTCCGGCTCACTACAACCGCCACCTCCTGAATTCAAGCGATTCTCCTGTCTCAGCCTCCCGAGTAGCTGGGATTACAGGTGCCTGCCAGCATGCCCAGCTAGTTTTTGTATTTCTAGTAGAGACAGGGTTTCCCCATGTTGGCCAGGCTGGTTTCAAACTCCTGCCCACCTCCGCCTCCCAAAGTGCTGGGATTACAGGCATGAGCCACTGTGCCTGGCCATATCCAGCATCTTAGAAGAGTCCTTTGTTCTCTTTCCCAGTTAGTTCTCCTCAAGGATAACCACTCCCCACACCCAGCTTTTTTTTTTTTTTTTTTTTTTTGAGACAAGGTCTCACTCTGTCACCCAGAGTAGAATATGGTGGTGTAATCACAGCTCACCGCAGCTTCCACCTCCTGGTCTCAAACTCCTGGGCTCAAGCGATCTGAGCACCTCGGCCTCCCAATAGTGTTGGGATTAGGCATGAGCCACTGCGCCCGGCCTACGTGCCGTTTTAAAATGATGTTCAAGAATAAGCAAAACCAACCTATGGTGGTAAAAGAACAGTGATCGCCTCTGTTTTCTTTTGCCTGAGGGAAACTCTGGTGTGCTGAAAATGTTCTGTATCTGAAGTGGTGGTGGTCACATAAGCTGTACATCTAAGATATTTGCACGTTGCTGTGTGTAAACCATAATTCCAACAACAACAACGACAAAATGGCAAGGTGGGGCTCGGTGGCTCACGCCTGTAATCCCAACACTTGGGGAGAACTAGGCGGGAGGATCGCTTGAGGCCAGGAGTTAGAGACCAGCCTGGGCAACATAGGGAAACCCGGTATCTACAAAACAACAATAGCAACAATTCGCTGGGGCGGGGGGGGGGGGGGGGGGGCGCCGCCTGTTGTTCCAGCTACTCAGCTACTCCAGAGGCCCAGGCGGCAGGATCGCTTGAGGCCAGGAGTTCTTGGCTACACTGAGCCGAGATCCCGCTACTGCACTCCAGTCTGTCAGATCCTGTATGGAAAAAAAAAAAAAAAGACAAAATAGTTAAACTATGCCTTTAATTCAATAAACTATTAAACTAACAATACCATGAAGAAAATCAGAATAAAGAAGAAAGATAGGCTGACGCAGGAGAATCGCTGGAACGGTGAGGCGGAGGTTGCGTGAACCGAGATCGCGCCACTGCACTCCAGCCTGGCGACAGAGTGAGACTCCAAAAAAGAAAAAAAAAAAAAAAAAAAAAAGAAAGATAGGCTGGGCCCGGTGGCTCAGGCCTGTAATCCCAGCGCTTTGGGAGGCCGAGGCGGATGGATCACCTGAGGTCGGGAGTATTCGGCACCAGCCTGACCAACATGGTGAAACCCCGTCTCTACTAAAAATACAAAATTAGCCGGGTGTGGTGGCGAATGCCTGTAATCCCAGCTACTCAGGAGGCTGAGGCAGGAGAATCGCTTGAACCTGGGAGGCGGAGGTTGCGGTGAGGCGAGATCGCGTCACTGCACTCCAGCCTGGGCAACAAGAGCGAAACTCGGTCTGAAAAAAGAAGAAGAAGGAGAAGGAGAAGAAGACTATCTGGGTTCCATCAACGATTCTCGTGCCTTTTGTCTTTAAACTTTGGTGCTGCCTTCATCAAAATCATACTAATGAAATTCGACGCGCGGGTCATTCATTTAATTAAAATGAAACCCCAAATCTGTTGACTATTGGTATCCTCATGACACTGTTCTATAATGTGACAGAAAAGACGAAGGTGAAGAACTATGGTTTCGGCCGCTGTTACACAGGAGGTAGCAGGTGGCAGGCCGTTTACACAAATTAGCTCGTTTTTGGAGACGAAGTTACCCCAGGCTGCCCGCTCGGATGAGCCTGCGAATTCAGGCCCAACCCAGGCCCCTCCAGGTCGGGAAGGTACGAAGAGCCCGCTGGATTCACACAGGGCAGGGGCGCCTTCGCAGGTGCGAGTGGATTCTGGGTATCGCGAGCGTAGGCCCAGGCGCAGCCCCTCTGCCTGCGGGACTGAACAGGCAGGTGCGTCCCAGCGGCCGGGCGGGCCGGGTCTCCCTCCTGCGGGCAGGCGCCGCGCTGCGGGGCGCGGCTGGCGGAGCGGGGCAGCCGGGCGCAGCGCCCCCTGGGCCTGAAGACTGGCGGGCGGCGGGGGCGCGCGCAGGCCGGCGGGGGCGCGCCGCGCTGCGAGGCCTGCGCGCCAGGCTGCGGGAGCCATGCGGCGATCGAGGAGCTCTGCGGCCGCCAAGCTGCGCGGGCAGAAGCGGTCCGGGGCCTCCGCGGCCCCCGCGGCCTCCGCGGCCGCTGCCTTGGCACCCAGCGCCACCCGCACACGGCGCTCCGCTAGCCAGGCCGGGAGCAAGAGCCAGGCGGTGGAGAAGCCGCCGTCGGAGAAGCCGCGGCTGAGGCGCTCGTCGCCGCGGGCCCAGGAGGAGGGCCCGGGGGAGCCGCCGCCGCCTGAGCTGGCGTTGCTCCCGCCACCGCCGCCGCCGCCGCCGACTCCCGCGACCCCGACGTCCTCGGCGTCCAACCTGGACCTGGGCGAGCAGCGGGAGCGCTGGGAGACGTTCCAGAAGCGGCAGAAGCTTACCTCCGAGGGTGCCGCCAAGCTCCTGCTAGACACCTTGTGAGTGCGGCGGGCCGGGGGGCGCGGGAGCCGTTGCCACGCGGACCCCCTCGGCAGGAGTCGGGCTCGCAGCCCGCGTGCAGGCCTTGGGCGCCTTTCAGCTCTGAGCCTTCCACGTTACGGAGCCGACGCGGCTCCCCCGTTAGCACTGGGGTTATTCCTTAATTCTAAGGGCGGCGGGGCGGGGCGGTGCTTCTAGGGCTGTGTGGCCTGGGAATGGAAAGGGGGCTTCGTCCGGAGCTTGAGGGCGCGCGCAGCCGTCTTGGGACACAAAGAGTCTTTCCCGGCCATAAGCATCGTGCTCGGGGACGTTGTCTCTTGCTGGCGCGCAAAGGGTGTGGGGGCCTTTCTTAGTGAAAAGAACATAAATCCCACGGCTTTCTCTTACCCGAATCCCCTTTTTTTTTGTGTTTGCACACGTGTTTTTGAGGGTGGGTGGAAGGGAAAGGTAGAAGCGTTGAAGGAAGCATGAATAGTTTTGAACTCACTGGGAAGCAAAATCCCGTCATTGTTCCAGGCACTGCCAGGGAGGGAGCAGGGGGCGGAGGTTATTGATCCGGGAGAGAAGCGCGCGCGAAGAGATGCTCCGGCCTCGCGCGGCGGCGGGGATACCTACGTAGGGAGGCTTTTATGTGCTCAGCCAGCTAATGCTCCCTGCCGCTCGCCCTCCTGGCTGCTCCGCAGTCTTTTAGATGGCCCGAGGAGCATCTCGAGTGTCCGCGATTTGGGAAAGAGCTTTTAACTGGGCTGTTAAAGGGCTGCCTTCTTTTCTCCAAATGCGATCTGGATTCCTGCCTCGGGGAACAGTTGTGCTACAGAGAGATATTTTAACGCCCTGATATTATATTTCAGTGTCAATTTTACGAATTAAAAAGAACAATCAAAACACTAGGGGGAAAAAACCGACAAGAATAACCTAGCAATTGCATAACCTGAGAATTACTTCTTTTCTTGAACATGTTCCTTTGAGCTTCTTGCGGAAGAAATTCTCTTAGGATGAGTCGTCCCCGACAGAAGATACATATTTGGTTTTCTGTGTGCTTCACTTTTTGGTTTTTCATCTTGGACTGCACACTGAATTTTTAAAAAACGTTCATCCATCAAACATTTGAGCACCTATAGGGTGACGGCTGCCTCTGGGCAGAAGGAATACGAAGATCCTTAGGAATGTAAAACTCATGGTGTCTTCAAGGCATACAGAAAAAAAGAAGAATGTAAAACTCAAATTTGAGATAAATTTTTATTTTAAGACAAACTGATAAATGGTCAAGAAAAAGTTTTAAAATATTGACATAAAAAAGCTGTTTTTCTCCCACTAGATTGCCATGACTTTGTACTTATAAAGTCTACTAAATTATATTCAAAAAGTGTGTATAACTGTACCATTTTCGTTAAAATATTGTGTAGAAAAAAGTTTGGGGGAATATATAACAAATAATTAACTGTAGATCCCTCTGGGTGTAAAGATTACAGGAGGCTTTCACTTTGAGCACTCTCAAATAGTGTGAAGTTTGGAGTTTTTACAATAAGCATTATGTGTGCAGAAAAAATTAAAATACATAAACGTAAAGAAACATGAAAAAATGATCAGTCTTAATCATGCAAATTAAAACTGCAGTGAGCTATTTTTCCTATAATTATTGCCTGAGACTGTACAGTGAAATGTTTTCTCATTTATTTATCGGGTAAGGGTGTTCAATCCTTTTGGAAAGCGATTTTAAGACATTTATCAGATCTTAATGTTCATTTCTGAGTTTGGCTTATATATAAGCTTTAAAGGGTTAAAATTGTATGTAGGCTGGGTGAGGTGGCTCATGCCTGTAATCCCAGCACTTTGGGAGGCCGAGGCGGGTGGATCACCTGAGGTGGGGAGTTTGAGACTGCCTGACCAACATGGAGAAACCCCGTCTCTACTAAAAATACAAAATTAGCTGGGTGTGGTGGTGGGCGCCTGTAATCCCAGCTACTCGGGAGGCTGAGGCAGGAGAATCATTTGAACCCTGGAGGTGGAGGTTGCGGTGGGCTGAAATCGCGTCACTGCACTCCAGCCTGGGCAACAAGAATGAAACTCCCTCTCAAAAAAAAAAAATTCTATGTAATGTGTATTACAACTATGTAAAACGCATGTGTATGAAGAATACTGGAAAGAAATAGAGCAAAAATATAAGAGCCTTTATTAAGTTTCTCAAAAGGCTCTTCTGGACCTCTGGACTTGATTGAGTACACAGTCTTATTTTTCATAGCAGCCTGTACCTCCTTTATCACAATCATAATTAATTATTATTTGAGTAAATTGTTAAGGTCGGTAAGGGTAGCAATCGTGTCTGCTGTATCTTGTTTAGTGTTCTCTCCTTCGTGCCTAGCTCATAAAAATATTTAGTATTTGAGGCCCGGAGCAGTGGCTCACGCCTGTAATCCCAGCACTTTGGGAGTCCCCGTGGGTGGATCACAAGGTCAGGAGTTCAAGACCAGCTTGGCCAAGATGGTGAAGCCCTATCTCTACTAAAAATACAAAATTAGCAGGGCGCGGTGGCAGGCGCCTGTAATCCCAGCTACTTGGGAGGCTAAGGCTGGAGAATTGCTTCAACCCAGGTGGCAGAGGTTGCAGTGAGCCAAGATCGTGCCACCGTACTCCAGCCTGGGCAATAGACTGAGACTCCATCTCAAAAAAAAAAAAAAAAATTTAGTATTTGACATATAAATAAAAATGTCTGGTGGTGGGTTAGGATCCCTCACATTTTCGAAATGTTTGGAATGTTTTATTTTGCAACTTAATATAATTTAAGAAATTGGTGAAAAGAGAGCTCATGGACAAAGAAGGTGCTGAAACCATTCTTCACTTAGGAAATTGACAGTGCCTCCTTAAAAGCAGAAATGCATCTGGTTGTCATGTAGAAAAGACTTTTGTCTAATCTTCTGTCTTTCTTTCAGCAACAAAAAGAGAGCAGGAGGCAGCTATTCAGAAATTATTATCTTTCTGATTTTTGTTTCATTTAGTGAATACCAGGGCCTGGTGAAGCACACAGGAGGCTGCCACTGTGGAGCAGTTCGTTTTGAAGTTTGGGCCTCAGCAGACTTGCATATATTTGACTGCAAGTGAGTATTTTTTTTTCCCTAAATTGGCTTAAAAGAATTTCAGAGTTAAAATGCAATATTTCAAAATAATCTGGGGAGTTGGGGTACAGAGGAAACATTGGCCTTGGGCTGGTAACTGTTGAAGTCAGGTGATGGGGACAGAAAGGTTCATTGTTCTATTTTTGTTCCTTTTATATGGCTCATCACAGAGCTTCAACAGCATGGCCCAGGTGACACAGAGCAGGGTCCTCAGGGCTTGTGGCTTGTGGCAGCATCACCCTCAGACTGACACTGCTGAGGAGCCGGGGGCGGTTAGCTGCAGGTGTGCCTGGCTGGGTACTGAGTGGAAAGCCTTGGGCAGAATCTTCATAGAAGTCTAGAGTTGGGGAGAGTTGGAGGGTATGTTAGTAAAGGGTGTATACACCTGGAGGCTCCCCAGGCCCTCCACTCTCGCTCTGCTCTTCGGTTGAGGCAGATGGCACTGCTGGCTGTGGAGGGCCTGATTTGTACCACCTTCCCCGGCGTTATGATGGAGCAGGGACGACAGGCTCTGGCTTTGGGACCCAAAGTTGGCATGCAGCTAATTATTTAACAGCATCCAGTCCTTTTTGCCCCTAGGTACCGGAATTATATATGAATAATAAGCACATACGATGGAATTACTCAAATGGAGAACTGACCAGGCTACTAACAATAGAGTCCAGATTGGAAAAGAAGCACTGTGGAATAACTTGTGAGAGGATTCTGTGCTAAATTAGAACTTTTTCAAAGGTGGCCTGAAAAGAGGGGACTTCAGTTTAATTCCAGAGATGGTAATTCTGGGGACGTGTTTTACTTGGAGCTGGACTTCTTGTGACGTGGTGATGAAGAAAGAGGGAAACCTAAACTTCCTTGTCCATTTTTGGTGTGGATGTCTCAGAGACATCAGGTTGTAGCAGTGTCTGAAATTTGTTTCCTAAGTGTCTCTGAAGTCCAGCGCTTCTCTTCACTGTAAAGAACTGAGGGGTGGGCAGTACAGACCTGTCTGTTGGTCCTGTGTTCTGAGCATTGCAGAACCTCGACTGCTGACTTGGGACCCCCCTGGGCTCTGCTGTACCTGCAAACCAGAGGCACTGCTATCCAGGCCTTTGCCCCAGCTCCTCGGCCCTGGATGGTGCTGAAAGGGGCATCATCTGTGGGGTCGGCTGGCTCTCATGGCTGGGCCGCTCAGGCATAGAGGATGCAGGTGGCTGCTCACAATCTGGAATTTGCTCTGTCTTTCTGTAGTTGCAGCATTTGCAAGAAGAAGCAGAATAGACACTTCATTGTTCCAGCTTCTCGCTTCAAGCTCCTGAAGGTCAGTGCTTAAGAGCAGGGTCAAGGAGTGCAGAACCCATTGGTGAGATTTACAGGACCCCCCACCCAACTGTTAGCATGCCGTCTGTAGCATGGGAGGGGCCTGGAGCATAGCAGGGCCTCTCACGGGCTTTGGTTTCAGGTTGACATTTAAAAGGTGGGCCCGGCACAGTGGCTCACGCCTGTAATCCCAGCACTTTGGGAGGCCAAGATGGATGGATCACCTGAAGTCAGGAGTTGAGGACCAGCCTGGCCAACATGGTGAAACCCTATCTCTACTAAAAATACAAAAATTAGCTGGGCGTTGTAGTGCATGCCTGTAATCCCAGCTACTTGGGAGGCCAAGGCAGGAGAATCACTTGAACCTGGGAGGTGGAGGTTGCAGTGAGCCGAGATCACACCATTGCACTCCAGCCTGGGTGACGAGTGAAACTCCATCTCAAAAAAAATGAAAATAAAAAATAAAAGGTTGTGTTATTTTTTACCTTTATTTTTTGGAGGCCTATTTGGTATTGTGGAAACATTTTCAAATTCAGAGAATCAAAAAACAATAAAATCACCCAAATCCTGTCAACTAAAGGTAACCACTGTTAATATTTTGGTGTCTGTCTTTGTGTATTATTTTCTACTCTGAGAAATACATCTAAACCTATTGTCTTATGTTTATTAAGTAGAATTTTACCATTCTTTTTGTTGATAAACTGCTTATCTCATTTCCCAATGAAAAGCTTATATACTTATTTGTAACTTTAATTTTATTATTTTGGGGAATTTTTTGTACTTGGTACAAAATTTGAAAGGTAGAAGAAAATGTGTATATACACAGTGAAAAATCTTTCCCTACTGTCCCCATGCCCCAGTCTCCCTCTTCCCCACAGCCGATTTCCTGGTCTACTTACCCCATCACTGTCTCTGCATCATTGCAGTTGAGTCCCGTTTTTTTCTGATTATCAACAACACTGGTGAACCTCCTTGGTATACATTTTTGACAATTTAGAAATTTCTTCTTTAGGATCAATTCTCTTAGAAATAAGTTCTCTGGCTATTCTGGGCACACTTCCTACACCCTGCTCTACAAGGAGCAGTTAAAAAAAAAGAGAGAAAGAAAATCTCCAGGTTAAAGAATACAGATTTTTTAAAAAAGACTTTTAGCACATTATGGGTAATGTGGGGTTGGGCGGGGCTTTAATTCCATCCAGATAATGCTGGATGGCTTGGGACCACTTGGCAGTCCTTCGCTGCTTTTCTGTGCTGCAGTGGCTATGGAGTGAGCAAGGCTCCTCAGGGAGCTATTTCTATAGGAAGCACAATTCTGGACGGTATGGCTGGGGAAGCGTAAAGAGGGTTAACAAGGATAAGAAACCTCCACCCCTTCCCCTTCAGCTGTCTGATTTCTCTCCCTAAAGGTAAGCCACTGTTTCTTGGATCCCTCTTCAAAGATACATATGCATATAAAAGCACATACAGGCCAGGCACAGTAGCTCATGCCTGTAGTCCCAGCACTTTGGAAGGCCAAGGCAGGCAGATCACTTGAGCCCAGGAGTTCAACACCAGCCTGGACAACATAGCGAGACCCCCATGTCTACAAAAAATAAAAAATCGGCTAGGTGTGGTGTTGCATGCCTATAGTCCCAGGTACTCGGGAGGCTGAGGTGGGAGAATCACTTGATCCTGGGAGGTCAAGGCTGCAGTAAGCTGTCGTCATACCACTGCACTCCAGCCTGGATAACAGAGTGAGATCTTGTCTCAAAAAAACAAAACAAAACAAAACAAAAACACCACACATACCAGTATATAGCCTTAAAAAAAAAAAAAGAAATGGTAGCATACCACGTACGTTGTTTTATACCTTGCTTAACTTTTTTTTTGAGACAGTCTCACTCTGTTGCCCAGGCTGGAGTGCAGTGGTGTGATCTCGGCTCACTGTAACCTCCGCCTCCCAGGCTCAAGTGATTCTCCTGCTTCAGCCTCCTGAGTAGCTGGGACTACAGGTGCCCGCCACCACATCTGGCTAATTTTTACATTTTTAGTACAGACAGGGTTTCACCATGTTGGCCAGGCTGGTCTTGAACTCCTGACCTCAAGTGATCTGCCCACCTTGGCCTCCCAAAGTGCTGGGATTACAGGCGTGAGCCACTGCGCCTGGCCTATACCTTGCTTTACTTTGTAACTTTGGCAATTGTTCCATGTTAGTTTTGTAGAGCTGTCTCATTCTTCTCAAAAGTTGGAGAATATTTCATTTTATGAGTGTCCATAATGCCTAACCGGTCCTCTATTGAGGGACATTTTCAATTTTTCCAATCTTTAGCCTTCATAAACAGTGCTATAGTATCTATATACCTATGTCATTGAGACATTTGGAATATATCTGTATAATAAATTTCAAGAAATGGAATTGTGTGCTAAAGCATATGTACACTTTAAAATTTTGGTAGATGTTGCTAAATTGTACCAATTCCTGTTCCTGTGACTGATATATGTGAGCACATATTTCTCTACATACTTGTCAATACCATGTTAACGGCTTTGATTTTGCCCACCTGACAGTGAAATACATCTCATTGAAGTTCCTTTGGTGAGCATTTCATAGGCTAAAGAGTGATTTATTTTTCTTTCTATCTGAACTGTCCGTTCATGTCCTTTGTCCAGTCTCCCGTTTGTATTATCCATTAAGGAAATTAGCCTGTCTATGACGTCTGGCAAATATTTTTTTCCTGGTTTGTCCTTTGTGGATAAATTAAGCACAGCCATCAGTTTTCTTAAGACCTTGAGCCGTTCTGTTTGGGGACATGGAGAGCCAGTCCCTTGGGTGAACTGTCTCTCCACATAGGCCCTGGGAAGCAAGCACTTTCCCTCCCTGATGTGATGTATCAGGGAAGGCTCAAGGCTGAATTCTGTATGCCGTTGACCTAAGGGAAGCTGTGAGCTGTCACGCTCCAGACTGACATGTCTCTGGATAGTGTAGATGGGTCTCTGTCCTCAAGAAGGTCCCAGTCTCTTCTGGAGATAGGAAATGGCCTCTTAGTACAAAGAGCCCTACAGAAGAGCTCCTGCCATTAAGTTATTTCAAGATTTTTTTTTTTAATGGTGCGATCTCAGCCCACTGCAGCCTCTACTTCCCCAGGCTCAACTGATGCTCCTACCTCAGCCTCCCAGGTAGCTGGGACTACAGATGTGTGCCACTGCACCTGGCTAATTTTTATATTTTTTTGTAGAAACAGGGTTTTGCCATGTTGCCCAGGTTGGTCTTGAACTCCTGGGCTCAAGCAATCCGCCTGCCTCGGCCTCAAAGTGTTGGGATTACAGGCATGAGCCACCATGCCTGGCCAAAGGTGTTTTTTTTTTTTTTTTTTTTGAGACGGAGTCTCGCTCTGTTGCCCAGGCTGGAGTGCCGTGGCATGATCTCGGCTCACTGCAAGCTCGGCCTTCCAGGTTCATGCCATTCTCCTGCCTCAGCCTCCCGAGTAGCTGGGACTACAGGCGCCTGCCACCACACCCGGCTACAAAGGTGTATTTTTTAAGTGACATAAAAATAAATGTCTTTGGGGCCAGGCGCAGTGGCTCACACCTGTAATCCCAGCACTTTGGGAGGCCAAGGTGGGTGAATCATGAGGTCAGGAGTTCGAGACCAACCTGGCCAACATGGTGAAACCCTGTCTGTACTAAAAATACAAAAAATTAGCTGGGCATGGGGGCACGCGCCTATAATCCCAGCTACTTGGGAGGCTGAGGCAGGAAAATCTCTTGAACCCATGCAGGTGGAGGTTGCAGTGAGCCAAGATTGCGCCACTGCACTCCAGCCTGAGAGACAGTGGGAGACTCTGTCTCAATAAATAAATAAATAAATAAATTAAATAAATAAATCTCTTTGTAAAAAAGAATACCGTTTGTCTGTTTTCACCTAGGGAGCTGAGCACATAACGACTTACACGTTCAATACTCACAAAGCCCAGCATACCTTCTGTAAGAGATGTGGCGTTCAGAGCTTCTATACTCCACGATCAAACCCCGGAGGCTTCGGTGAGTAAAGGGGATGGACTGCAAGCTCAGGGGGACACAGAGAGGCCCATGGTGCTCTCATTTAAAGTCTTATTTGGACAGGTGGGATGCTGACTAGACCCTGTCACATGCGTATCTTAGAGGAACAGGGCTCCTCAGCAGAGCGCTTTCCACATGATAGAATGTGAGTCGGGCTCCGGTGAAACTTTTCTGAATCCCATATCTGAATGTGGTGAAGTTGGACTTGGAGCCCATCCAGGTTGTGATTCTTATTCACTGGTGCTGGTAGAGCTGGTGTTGCTGGGGATGGTGTTGAAGGGTAGGGAGGAGAGGGGTGAGGAGATGGGCTTGTGGGGCCAGGGGAGGCAGCTTTAATAATGACAGGGGTTAAGGGAGTGAAGGAGGCAAGATTGGGGAGCATTGATAATGGCATTTGAAAGCTTTTTGGTTGTTCAAAAATTAGGCAGGACTGGCTGGCTGCGGTGGCTCACACCTGTATCCCAGCACTTTGGGAGGCCAAGGTGGGAGGATTTCTTGAGCTCAGGAGTTTGAGACCAGCCTGGGAAACATAGCAAAACCGTATCTCTGTTCTTTTTAAAAAATAATAAACAAGCAGGGAACCCTCCAAGCCCCGCTTCAGGGCCTGCTTGGGTCTGGGGAGTAATAAAACTAACCCTCTGACAGTTGTTGAGAATCATACCAACTATAGTGTGAATTGAAGGGGAAAGCAGAGGTGGAAGATGTTCTGAGGACTCTTGTTGTGTCAGTGCAGCCTCCAGAGCTGCGAGAGCAGCTATGACTGTCAGTGTCTTTTGCCTTATGGTGGTGGGGAGCGGACAGGGGAGGTGGGGGAGGCAGGGCAGGGCAGGATGTCATCCTTACCGCTCCCCCATTGCTTCAGGGCCTCCTGTTCCTCATCTGTCACATGGAGACTCCTTCCTGTCTACCTTGCAGAACAGGAAAGAGTTGAAAAGTATGAAATCCTGTGCAAATGGGAAGACATTTAATTCTTAGAAAGTTATCTATCTGAGGCCAGGCATGGTGGCTCACCTGAGGTCGGGAGTTCGAGACCAGCCTAACCAACATGGAGAAACCCCATCTTTACTAAAAATGCAAAATTAGCCAGGCTTGGTGGCGCACGCCTGTATTCCCAGCTACTTGGGAGGCTGAGGCAGGAGAATCACTTGAACCCGTAAGGCAGAGGTTGCAGTGAGTCAAGATCACGCCATTGTACTCCAGCCTGGGCAACAAGAGCTAAACTCCATCTGAAAAAAAAGGAAAGAAAGTTATCTATCTAAACACAGGAAAGGCCTGTGAATTCTTCAGGCTGCCAGTCAGAGATTGCTCTGGGCTGTGCCTTTCTGCATGTTGTACTCTCAACTTGGTATTGAATGTTGTCTAGCCTTGGCCAAACCTGGCTCAGGGAGTGTGATTCCCATCTGGCAGTTGAGGAAAGTGAGTCAGAGGGCTGAAGCGGTAGGCTGGAGCCAGTGCTTTCCGAGCCAGCTGGCAGCCTGTGGGTCTCATCACTGAAGCCATAAGCTGTGGCATATCCTTTGGAAGCCCTAATGTGTAGCGTGATGATGCCTGCAGGTGGGGGCTTATCCAGGAGCCGGTACACCATCTGGTCTCACCCATACTGAGGATCCCCCTTTGTCTGTGCCACTTTCTCGTAGGAATTGCCCCCCACTGCCTGGATGAGGGCACTGTGCGGAGTATGGTCACTGAGGAATTCAATGGCAGCGATTGGGAGAAGGCCATGAAAGAGCACAAGACCATCAAGAACATGTCTAAAGAGTGAGCTTCTGCCTCTCCTGCCCTGAAAAGGAGGAATGATTGGGGCCAGCAACTTTGCTCTCCCTGCCGTGCCTCGGTGGTGCTCCTGAATGTGGCTGACCTGGGCTGCTGGTTCCGTTGACTAGGGTCATCTTGATCTCTGCAGTTTGCTCCAGCTACCAGTTTCTTTAGGCAGCTCTTTGTCCTCCCTCTGCCCAGATTTTGATGTAGTCTAATTGACATCCTTCTCTTCCCAACTTTTGTGTGATCTTTTAGGAAAAAAAATAAATATTTTTAACATTAAAGCAGTCACTTTGGTTTATCATTTCTTTTGTACTGTGATTTGCTTCTGAGGCCAGTCGATTAATAGCAGATATATACTCAGCACTATCAAGATGTTTGCCACCAGGCATTGTGGCTTAAGCCTGTAGTTCCAGCTACTCCGGAGGGTTGATCGAGCCCAGGAGGTTGTGGCTGCAGTGAGCTGTGTTCGTGCTACTGCACTCCAGCCTGGGTGGCAGAATGAGACTGTCTCAAAAAAAAAATAAGAAAAAAGAAAAAAATGTGTAGCTAAATTGGAAAGAAGACATAAGATAAACAATTATTAAAAATGGAAGATTGTGGCAGGGCATGGTGGCTCACACCTGTAATCCCAGCACTTTGGGAGGCTGAGGCGGGTGGATTACTTGAGGTCAGGAGTTCAAGACCAGCCTGGCCAATGTGTTGAGACCCCGTCTCTACTAAAATTACAAAAATTAGCTGGGCATGGTGGCATGTGCCTGTAGTCCCAGCTACTTGTGAAGCTGAGGCAGGAGAATCACTTGAACCCAGGAGGCAGAGGTTGCAGTGAGTGGAGATTGCACCACTGCACTCCAGCCTGGGTGATGGAGCGAGACTCCATCTACAAAAAAAAAAAAAAAGGCTGGGCACTGTGGCTCACGCCTGTAATTCCAGCACTTTGGGAGGCCAAGGCAGGTGGATCACCTGAGATCAGGTGTTTGAGACCAGCCTGGCCAACATGGTGAAACCCTGTTTCTACTAAAAATGCAAAAATTAGCCAGGCGTGGTGGCGGGCGCCTGTAATCCCAGCTACTCAGGAGGCTGAGGCAGGATAATTGCTTGAATCCAGGAGGCAGAGGTTGCAGTGAGCCAAGATTGCGCCACTGCACTCCAGCCTGGCTGACAGAAAAAGACTCTGTCTCAAAAAAAAAAAAAAAAAAAAAAATTGTGAATGGTTACAATCCATGTGAGCTGTAAAGATAATAAGAGCTCTAAGAGTTCAAAGGAGAGAACTCAGGGAAGCCTTGAGGAGAGTACGATTTGAGTCTATCTTTAAAAAGTTAAATCAGCTTCTAATTTCTTTTTCAGTTGTAAAATACACATAAAATTTACCATAAACTGTTAATTTATTTAGAGACAGAATCTCTCTCTTTAGTTATTTTGAGACTGTCTTGCTCGGTCACCTAGGCTGCAGTGCAATACATGAACATGGCTCACTGTAACCTTGACTTAGACTTGAGATCTCCCCCCTCTTAGCTTCTGGAGTAGCTGGGACTACAGGTGTGTGCCACCACATCCGGCTAATATTTTTTGTAAAGACAAGGTCACTCCATGTTGCCCCGGCTGGTCTCAAACTCCTGGGCTCAAGCAGTCCTCCTGCCTCGGCCTCTCAAAGTGTTGTGATTACAGGCATGAGCCACTGCACTTGGCCTTAACCATTTTTAAGTGTACAATTCAGCAGTGTTAAGTACATTCACATTGTTGTGTAGCCATCATTGCCATCCATCTCCAGAACTCTTCACCTTGCAAAACTGAAACTCTGTACCCATGAAACAACAACTTTGATCCTATTTTTAAAGGAAGCAAGATTTCAGCTGGGCATGGTGTCTCACGCCTGTAATCCCAGCACTTTGGGAGGCCGAGGCTGGTGGATGGCCTGAGATCTGGAGTTCAAGACCAGCCTGGCCAATGTGGTGAAACCCTGTCTCTACTAAAAATACAAAAATTAGTTGGGCATGGTGGCGGGCGCCTGTAATCCCAGCTACTCGGGAGGCTGAGGCAGAATTGCTTGAACCCGGGAGGCAGAGGTTGCAGTGAGCCGAGTTCGTGCCATTGCACTCCAGCCTGGGCAACAAGAGCAAAACTCCGTCTCAATCAATCATTCAATCAATCAATCAATAAAGGAAGCAAGGTTTAAGGAGACAGGAGAAGTAACTGAACAGGTACGCACACATGCAAAAGCCAGGCTGAAGCTGCATGTGGTGGTGCACACCTGTAGTTGCAGCTACTTAGGAAGCTGAGGGCCACATGAGCCCAGGAGTTTTGAGACTGCAGTGAGCTATGATGGTGTCATGCATTCCACCCTGGGAGACACAGCAAGACCCCATCTCAAAAAAAAAAAAAAAAAAAAAAAATTGGCTGAATTGGAGGCTTTTAATGGGAAGAAGTAATGAAGATATCAGAAAGGTATGTTGAGGATAGACTGGATGGTCTTGGATATTAGGCTCAGGAATTTGGCCTTTATTTTGCAGGCATTGGGAAGCTGTGACCACCTCTGAACAGGATGAATAAAGCCTGGCCTCATATAGTCTTCTGATTGGTTGCCATCTCCCTCTCTTCTTAACTTCACATTGCTCCATATTACTAACATATTAGCTTTCCTCAAACATTCCTGCCATTACCAAATACTGAGTACAAATAATGGCAAATGCTTAATAAATATTTGCTCTTTGCTTTAGGGAAATTACTCATGAAATGATTTGTGAGGTAGACTAGACAAGGAAAAAGAACAGGGAGAGGGAATAAAGATCTCAGAACAAAGGTCTCTGAGGAAAAAAAAAAAAAATTAAAAAAAAATGCCGAGTGTGGTGGCTCACACCTGTAATCCCAGCACTCTGGGAGGCCAAGACCGGTGGATCACCTGAGGTCAGGAGTTCAAGACCAGCCTGGCCAACATGGTGAAACCTCGTCTCTACTAAAAATACAAAAATTAGCTGGGCGTGGTGTTGGGCATCTGTAATCCCAGCTACTCAGGAGGCTGAGGCAGGAGAATGGCTTGAGCCCAGGAGGCAGAGGTTGCAGTAAGCTGAGATGATGCCACTGCACTCCAGCCTGGAAGACAGAGTGAGACTCTGTCTCAAAAACAAAAAACAAACAAACAAAAAAAATACAGATGGCCAGGCCAGGCATGGTGGCTCACACCTGTAATACAGCACTATGGAAGGCTGAGGCAGGAGGATTGCTTAAGCCCTAGAGTTCAAGACCAGACTGGGCAATGTAGTGAGACCCCCCCATCTCTACAGGAAACAATAAAATACAATAAAAATGGCAGTTTCTCAGTTTGCTGTGCTGGGTTCTATGTGGTCACTGTCTCTTCAGAATCACTGATGGCCAGGTTCACTCTTCAAGACTGGAAGCAGCACGCACAAGGATGGGATTTTCGAGGCCAGAACTCCAGGTATTTTTAATTTTTTTTAATTTTAAAATTATACAGGGGCCAAGCACGGTGGCTCACACCTGTAATTCCGGTACTTTGGGAGAACATGGCAAAACCCTGTCTCTACTAAAAATACAAAAAATCAGGCTGGGCGCGGTAGCTCATGCCTGTAATCCCAGCACTTTGGGAGGCCAAGGCAGGTGGATCACCTGAGATCAGGAGTCTGAGCCCAGCCTGGCCAACGTGGCGAAACCCCATCTCTACTAAAAATACAAAAATTAGCCGGGCATGGTTGTGTACACCTTTAATCCCAGCTACTAAGGAGGCTGAGGCAAGAGAATTGCTTGAACCTGGGAAGCGGTGGTTGCAGTAAGTCAAGATTGTGTGCCATTGCAATCCAGCCTGGGTGACAGCAAGACTCCGTCTCAAAAAATAAATAAATAAATAAATAAATAAGTAAATAAAAAGTAAAAAAAATTAGCTGGGTGTGTTGGTGCTCACCTGTAGTCCCAGTTACTCAGGAGGCTGAGGTGGGAGGATCACCTGAGCCCGGGAAGTTGAGGCTGCAGTGAGCTGTGATCGCACCATTGCACTACAGCCTGGGTGACAGAGCAAGACTCCGTCTTAAAAAAAAAATTATTTTTTTTAGGGATATGTGATCACAGCTCACTGTAACCTTGAACTCCTTACTTCAAGCAGTCCTACCACAGCCTACAGGTGTGTGCCACCCCCTGGCTAATTTTTTAAAATTTTTTGTAGAGATGGGGTCATGCTATGTTGCCCAGGCTGCTCTCAAACTCCTGGCCTCAAGTGAGCCTCCTGCCTTGGCCTCCCTAAGTGCTGGGATTATAGGTGGGAGCCACTGCATTCGGTTGCATTTCTTTATTTAATTACATCTTGATCTTTTCATATCAATATACATATCCTCATTATTAACTGTTGCATAGAACAGCATAGTGTGGGTGTAGTTTATTTAGCTATTCTTTTTTTCACGGAAATTATGATTGTTTACAGTTTTTTGCTATTACCAAGAGTGTTGACAGTGAACATTCTTGTACACACCTCTTTATACATACATATGTGTATTATTTGAGAATAGAGAAGTGGGATTGCTGAGCTGAAAGATATGCATTTGTTTTTTTGGGTTTTTTTTTTTTTTTTTGAGATGGAGTTTCGCTCTTGTTGCCCAGGCTGGAGTAAAATGGCGTGACTTGGCTCACTGAAACCTCTGCCTCCCTAGTTCAAGCAATTCTCCTGCCTCAGCCTCCCAAGTAGCTGGGATTACAAGCACCCACCACCACGCCCAGCTAATTTTTTTGTATTTTTGGTAGAGACGGGGTTTTACTACGTTGGCCAGGCTGGTCTCCAACTCCTGAACTCATGATCCACCCACCTCGGCCTCTCAAAGTGCTGGGACTACAGGCATGAGCCACCACACCTGGCTGAGTTTTAATTTTTGATGGAGTCAAATTCATTAGTCTTTTTTTTTTTTTTTCTTTTGTCTTAGTGGCTCTCTGACTTGGGTTTTCTGGGTTTTTTGTGATTTATTTATTTCTTTTTTCTTCTTCTTCTTCTTCTTTTTTTTTTTTTTTTTTTTTTTGAGATGGAGTCGGTCTCTGTTGCCCAGGCTGGAGGGCAATGGCATGATCTCGGCTCATTGCAACCTCTGCCTCCCGGGTTCAAACGATTCTCCTGCCTCAGCCTCCTGAGTAGCTGTGATTACAGGCGTGCGCCACCACGCCCAGCTAATTTTTGTATTTTTAGTAGAAACAGGGTTTCACCATGTTGGTCAGGCTGGTCTTGAATTCCTGACCTTGCGATCCGCCCGCCTTGGCCTCCCAAAGTGCTGGGATTACAGGCGTGAGCCACCGCAGCCGGCTGTGATTTATTTCTTTTTTGAGAATATCTTTCTGGGACTAGGCGTGGTGGCTCACACCTGTAATCCCAGCACTTTAGGAGGCCAAATGAGGAAGACCACTTGAGGCCAGGAGTTTGAGACCAAACTGGGCAACACAGGGAGACCTCATATTTGCAAAAAAATTTTAAAAATTAGCTTAGCAGGGCCGGGCGTGGTGGCTCACGCCTGTAATCCCAGCACTTTGGGAGGCCGAGGAGGGCGGATCATGAAGTCAGGAGATTGAGACCATCCTGGCTAACATGGCGAAACCCTGTCTCTACTAAAAATACAAAAAAATTAGCCGGGAGTGGTGGCGGTCTCCTGTAGTCCCATCCACTAGGGAAGCTGAGGCAGGAGAATGGCGTGAACCCAGGAAGTGGAGCTTGCAGTGAGCCGAGATCCTGCCACTGCACTCCAGCCTGGGCAACAGAGTGAGACTCCGTCTCAAAAAAAAAAAAAAAAAATTAGCTTAGCAGCGCAATGGCTCACGCCTGTAATCCCAGCACTTTGGGAAGCTGAGGCGGGTGGATCACTTGAGGTCGGGAGTTCGAGACCAGCCTGACCAACACGGAGAAACCCCATCTCTACTAAAAATACAAAATTAGCCTAGCATGGTGGTGCATACCTGTAATCACAGCTACTTGGGAGGCTGAGGCAGGAGAATCGCTTGAACCCAGGAGGCAGAGGGTGCGGCGAGCCAAGATTGCACCATTGCACTGCAGCCTGGGCAACAAGAGTGAAACTCTGTCCCAAAAAAAAAAAAATTAATTAATTTTAAAAATAAATAAAAAATTAGCTTAGCATGGCACATGCCTGAGTCCTAGCTATGCAGGAGGCTGAGGTGGGATGATAGCTTGAGCCAAGGAATTCAAGGCTGCAGTGAGCTGTGATCAAGCCACTGGACTCCAGCCTAGGAGACAGAACAAGACTCTGTCTCAAAAAAAAAAAAAAAAAAAATTCTTCCTTACCCAAGCTTATAAACATATTTACTTGTATTTTCTTCTACTACTTTTACTGACTTTTGTTTGTTTATTGGTTTTGTTTGTTTGTTTAAGATGGAGTCTCGCTCTATCACCCAGTCTAGAGTGCAGTGGTGCGATCTCAGCTCACTGTAACCTCCACCTGCTGGATTCAAGCAATTCTCCTGCCTCAGCCTCCTGAGTAGGTGGGACTACAGGCACATGCCACCATGCCCGGCTAATTTTTTGTATTTTTAGTAGAGACGGGGTTTCACCACGCTGGCCAGGCTGGTCTCAAACTCCTGACCTTGTGATCCACCCACCTCAGCCTCCCAAAGTGCTGGGATTACAGGTGTGAGCCACCACGCCCGGCTATTTGTTTTTTAAACATATAGTTCTTTGATCTACCTGGATTTGTGTGTGGGTTTTTTTTTTCTTCCTCTAAATTTTGTGAATGGTATCCTCAAATTGGATAACTGGTGGCTCAACACTTTATTGATGAATCCATCCATTCTTCATTTATTTAAAATGTTACATATACTAATCAGGGTTTTTAAGGACTCTTATTTGTTCTTTTCATCTATTTTTTTGTAGTTCCACAAATAACAAATTATTTTAAATCCCCAAGCTTTATAATGTGCCTTAAACAATCTAATAGGGTAAATCCTGCCATATTACACTTTTTTTGTGGGGTGGGGGGTGGGGAAGGAGTCTCACTCTGCCGCCCAGGCTGGAGTGCAGTGGTGCGACCTTGGCTCACTGCAACCTCCGCCTCCCAGGTTCAAGCGATTCTCCTGCCTCGGCCTCCTGAGTAGCTGGGATTACAGGTGTGTCCACCATGCGCAGCTAATTTTTATATTTTAGTAGAGACGGGTTTTCACCATGTTGGCCAGGCTGGTCTTGAATTCCCAACCTCAGGTGATCCGTCAGCCTCAGGCCTCCCAAAGTGCTGGGATTACAGGCGTGAGCCACGGTGCCTGGCCATATTATTCTGTTTTTGTGCACTGTGTCCTGCAGATGAATTTTAGAATTAGTGAGTCAAGTATCATGCAATCAAAGCATGTTTGGATTTTGGTTGCAATTATATTGCATTTATAAATTAATTCAGGGAGAACAGACTTCTGTACAGTACTGCTTTATCATCCAGGAAGGTAATATGGCTCACCAATGGGTTTGTTCTTTCCCACTCTTCAAGTTTTATGCTGTTCTCTTTATGGAAACAGTATGAACAGCACGCTGTAGGGTTCGGTTTATCCTTAGCTGTCTTATGCTATTTGTCGTCCTTTTGCATGGGATCGTTGCTGTTTTTTTTTTTTTGAGACAGAGTCTTGCTCTGTTGCCCAGGCTGGAGTACAGTGGTGCAAACTAGGCTCACTGCAACTTCTGCCTCCCGGGTTCAAGCGAGTCTCCTGCCTCAGCCTCCCGAGTAGCTGGGATTACAGGCACGCGCCACCATGCCTGGCTAATTTTTGTATTCTTAGTAGAGACGTGGTTTCATCATGTTGGCCAGGCTGTCTCGAACTCTTGACCTCGTGAGCCGCCTGCCTCAGCCTCCCAAAGTGCTAGGATTACAGGCGTGAGCCACCACACCTGGCCTAAGTTTTAATATATAGAAAGGCAGGCCTCACGTCACTATCCTTTTTGATGTTTATATTTTGGCGATACTTGGACATTTTCTTTTCTAATATATTTTTAAAATAATTTAATTCAAATCCCAAAGATAATCCATTGATATTCTGACTAGAATTACATTAAATTTATATATTAACATTGTAAGAATGTGAATAAATATACATATATAAATACATATGTAAATATTTAAATTTCTATATTGGAATTTATAGATGCTATAGGTAGTATTAAATTTATATATGAACTGTATGAGGATTTTTAAATCTCTATCAAGGAACATGGCACAACTCTCCATTTATTCAATTCTTGTTTTATGTTCTGCATTAATTCGTTTTATCTTTTAAAAACTGTTAAAAGAAAAACAGGAAGCACTAAAAGTTGTTCAAAATAACAACAAATGTTGTATTCTGTAGTATTTGTGTTTAATGGGCTAGTGTGTTAGGTGAGTATCACTAGGTGCAGAAAGCGATCATCAGATTTTTTTTTTTTTTTTTTTGAGACGGAGTCTCGCTCTGTCTCCCAGGCTGGAGTGCAGTGGCAATCTCGGCTCACTGCAAGCTCCGCCTCCCGGGTTCACGCCATTCTCCTGACTCAGCCTCCCGAGTAGCTGGGACTACAGGCGTCTGCAACCACCCCCGGCTAATTTTTTGTATTTTTAGTAGAGGCGGGGTTTCACCGTGTTAGCCAGGACGGTCTCGATCTCCTGACCTCGTAATACGCCTGCCTCAGCCTCCCAAAGTGCTGGGATTACAGGCGTGAGCCACCGCACCCGGCGTGATCATCAAATTTAGCTTGTGTATATCTTTTATAGTGAACTAGAATATTTTAATGCAATCTTATTTTCACGTGAATTTTTGAATTGAGATACAGTTTGAATAACATAAAATTCAACCCTTTAACGTGTACAATTCAGTGTTAGTATACTTTAGTATTCAGTGTTTTTGAGTTCATGACCAACATAGTGAAACCCAGTCTCTTAAAAAACAAAATTAGCCAGGTGTGATGGCACACCCCTGTAGTCCTGGCTACTTGGGAGGCTGAGACAGGAGGATCATTTGAGCCTAGGAGTTCTAGGTTACAGTGAACTATGATCACACCACCATACTCCAGCCTGGGTGACAAGGCAGGACCCTATGTTAAAATATTTTTAATATATAAAATTGTTTTTAAAAAAGAAAGAAACCCTGTACCATTAGCAGCCACTGCCCACTCCCCACTTCCTCTAGCCTCTGGCAACTACTAATCTGCTTTCCATCTCAAAATGTGCCTATTTTAAATGTTTCACGGAAGTGGAATCCTACATAGGTGACCTTTTGTGTCTGGCTTCTCTCACTTAGCATAATGCTGTTGAAGTTCATTTGCCTTGTAGCATGCATCAATACTTTGTTCCTTTTTTTTTTTTTTTTTTTTTTTTGTGACTGAGTCTCACTCTGTTGCCCAGGCTGGAGTACAATGGTGCAATCTCAGTTAACTGCAACCTCCGCCTCCCAGGTTCAAGCAATTCTCCTGCCTCAACCTCCCAAGTAGCTGGGATTACAGGCATGTGCCACCACGCCCAGCTAATTTTTTTCTATTTTTAGTAGAGAGGGGGTTTCACCATATTGGCCAGGCTGGTCTTGAACTCCTGATCTTGTGATCCGCCCGCGTTGGCCTCCCAAGGTGTTGGAATTACAGGCATGAGCCACTGTGCCCGGCCAGGACTTTGTTCCTTTTTATGGCTGAATAATAAAATGCCGCATTTTGTTTATTCACCAGTTGATAGACATTTGAGTTGTTTCTACTTTGAGGCTATTATGAATAATATTGCTATGAATACTCATTTACAAGGTTTTGTCTGAATGTTGTCCATTCTATGGGAAATGTACCTAGGAGTGGAGCTGCTGGGTCATGTGGTAAATCCTTGTTAAAATTACTAAGAAAACATCAAACTGTTTTCCATAGCAGCTGCATCATTTACATTCCCACCAACAATGTATGAGGGTTCCAATTTCTTTACATCCTCACCAACACTTATTTTTTATTATTTTTTTGAGACAGGGTCTGGTTCTGTCACCCAGGCTGGAGTGCAATGGCAAAATGCAACCTCTGCCTCCCAGGCTCAAGCCATCCTCTCACCTCAACCTCCCTGGGCAATTTTTGTATTTTTAGTTCACTATATTGCCTAGGCTGGTCTCGAACTCCTGACCTCAAGCCATATAATATTTTATAATTTTTTTCAGCCTTTTTCACTTTTGTGGTTATATATCCATCTGTTCCCAATAACTGCACTTTTGTTTTCTTTTTTCCTGAATTAGACTTGCAGTATATTGGCTTATTTCATTTTTCAAAGAAAACTTATTCTTTCCACTATTTTTTGGTTTCACTTATTTAATCTAATCTTATATCTCTATTAAGTCCCTCTTGCTATTGGTTTCTATTTTTGATTTTCTCAAATTGAATCATGTAGTTCACTTATTTTCAATCTTTTAAAAAATTAAGCATTTAAGACTACAAATTACCTAAATACAGATCCCACATCAAGTGTTAATTTGTATTACTTTCTAGATAATTCATAATACCAATTTTGATTTCCTCTTTGATCTAGGGGTTATTTAGGAAGGGGCTTCTTGATTTCTGAGTTGTGTTGTTTATCCCCCTCTTTAGTAATTTTATTATTTACTTGCATGTTATTTAATTATGATCCAAGAATGTGGCCTATTAAATCTCTACAGTAGGGAATTTATTAGGGATTTCTCTGCTGGGTGCAGTGGCTTATGCCTGCAGTCCCAACGTTTTGGGAGGCCAAAGTGGTCAACATAGCGACACCTCGTCTCATTAAAACAAACAAACAAACAAACAACAACAAAAAGAACGGCAGGATGTGGTGGCTTACGCCTGTAATCCCAGCACTTTCGGAGGCCGAGGCAGGCAGATCACCTGAGGACAGGAGTTTGAGACCAGCCTGGCCAACATGCTAAAATCCTGTCTCTACTGAAAATACAAAAATTAGCTGGGCGTGGTGGCGCACATCTGTAATCCCAGCTACTCGGGAGGCTGAGGCAGGAGAATCGCTTGAACCCGGAAGGCGGACAGTGAGTCAAGATCATACCACTGCACTCCAGCCTGTGCAACAGAGTGAGACTCCATTTCAAACAAACAAACAAACAAAACCCACAAAAAACCGGGGGTGGTGGCACATGCCTGTAGTCCCAGCTACTTGGGAGGCTGAAGCAGAGGGTTCCTTGAGCCCAGGAATTTGAGGCTGCGGTGAGCTGTTATCACACCACTGCATTCCAAGCCTGGGTGACAGAACAAGACCTGGTCTCAAATAAATAAATAAATAAATGGATTTATCAGTGGCCAATAAACAGTCAACTTTTGTAAACATTCTATCACATAAGTGAATGTTTGCTTTATTCCAATATTTGATGTTATTTTTTGCCAACTCAATTTTTCAAAATTCTGGAAGAATACTGAGGCCTCCTACTATTATCGTGGTGTCTTGTTTGTTTTTGTCTTTTAATAAAGGTCTTGTATGTCTGGGAGGTTTTGTTTTATGTATCTGGCTACTGTGATGTTGGGTGCCTGTCATCTCATGGAGTGAACCTGTTAACATACCCATCTTTGTCCAATTTAATGCTTCTTGGTGTCATATTGGGTTTGGCCTGGATTTCTGGTGTTGCTCTTCCTTCTTTTTGTTCTCCTGCTACATGGTATATGGTTCATCCTTTTATTTTTAGCCTTTGTTACTTTTAGATGTAGCTAGATTTTGTTTTCTAACACATTGATTTCACAGTCTGTTTTGGTCTGGAAATTCAGCCTGTTCATATTTTTTGAAGTAGCTCTGATTTTATTCTTTTTGTATTACTTCTATTATATTTATTACATTTTATACTATTTTCCTTTTTTCTTACTTTTGCAGTCTTTTAAGTTTTTCTTCATTTCCTGCTTTCCTCTTTGTTAATTGAGATCCCATGCTTTTTAGTTTCAGCTCTGGAACTGTATACCTTTCAGTTCCTCACAATCCAGACTGCAGCCCATCAGTTGTCTATTTGTCACCCTGCACCATGCAGCTTTACCCCCAGCCCAGCTTCCCCTTGGCCGCAAAGGACACCTTTTTTTTTTTTTTTTTTGATGAAGTCTCGCTCTGTTGCCAGGCTGGAGTGCAGTGGCACAATCTCGGCTCACTGCAACCTCTGTCTCCTGGGTTCAAGCGATTCTCATGCCTCAGCCTCCCGAGTAGCTGGGAGTACAGGCGCGCACCACCATGCCCAGCTAATTTTTGTATTTTTAGTAGAGACGGGGTTTCACCATGTTGGCCAGGATGGTCTTGATCTCTTCACTTCATGATCCACCCGCCTCGGCCTCCCAAAGTGCTGGGATTACAGGCATGAGCCACCACGCCCGGCCTGGTTTTTTTTTTTTTTTTTGAAACAGAGTCTCACTCTGTAGCCCAGACTGGAGTGCAATGACACAATCTTGGCTCACTGCAACTTCTGCCTCCTGGGTTCAAGTGATTCTGCTGCCTCAGCCTCACAAGTAGCTGGGATTACAGGCATGCGCCACCACGCCTGGCTAATTTTTGTATTTTTAGTAGAGACAGGGTTTCGCCACGTTGGCCAGGCTGGTCTCGAACTCCTGACCTCAAGTGATCCGCCAGTCTCAGCCTCCCAAAGTGCTGGGATTACAGGTGTGAGCCACGGTGGCTGGCCCCAAGAGGAGACTTTTTGAATACTTTAATCTCCCCCTTCTCACTGGGAATTTAGGAATTTCGCAGCATATTTGTGCATCTGTTTTAAAAATCAAAGCTGCCTAGGATTTGGCGGGCTCTTTCAGTGTACTCAGTCTCCTTCAGATTACGGAAGTTCTCCTTTATTACCTTCCTGCTTTTGCTCCTTCTGGAACTTCCATTATTCACGTTGGCTCTCCTTAATGTGTTTTCAAATCTCTTTCCCACCCTTATTTCCATTTCTTGGCTTTTTAACCTCTTTGTTCTGCAATATATCTTCTACTTGATATTCCACATTACTAATTTGGTCACCACGGAGAAGTGTGCTTTTTTGTCTGGGTCAGTGCCCGGGCTTTCACTACTGTTTCTGATAAAGTCTCTTCCATTTAATTGCTACTTCAGTGAGATCTGCCCTATTCCCCTCCTTCTGAGCCTCCTCAGGTGAGGGTTCCCCTTTTGTATTGTGTCTGGTTGCTCTCGATTTTTGTGTTTTCTTAATGAGTCAGGGCTGCTGAGTAGTAGCCAAGCGGGGAGTGGTTGAAGTTGGCAGTTTCTGCTCTCTGGACCGAGGTGAGAACTGGCAAACCATCAGCCCTTGCCGAGGATGGGGTGGGTGGGGGATTGTTTGCAGGTCTCTCTGACAAGGGGTGACCCTCTCCTGACTTCAGCACACCCACCCCAGCCTGGTCACTCTCCAGGTCTCTGAGCAAGTGGGATTGCTGCCCCTCCCAGAGGATTCTTAATTCACTGAGATCCTTTCTATTTGGGCAGTTGGAGGAGAGGATTCTCTCTCTTCTTCTTTTTTTTTTTTTTTTGGTGTTCCTTCAAGGAACCATGAAATTCTGATTTTTGCTCCAGGCTTTGGGGCTACTGCTGCCTAGTTTTGCAGGTTGTTAACCAAACAAGAGCATCTGGCTAAGTGGATGCTTAAGTCTCTGCTCCTTCTACAAGGCTGTTTGTGGCTGTCCCTGGGGAGGGAGTGTGTTTGCAGGCAGGAAAGACTACTTGTTGATAATTTGCACGAGGACACTCTTTTCTTGCCAGGACAAGTGTCCCCAGGGCTGCATTGAATCTGGAGGGTACTTTTCTCATGAAGGCACTGCTAGTGGCTGCCCTAACTGGCCTCCAGGGGCTTCCTTCCCTCCTGTGCTGCAGTCCCTTGGCTCTCTGCTGGTACCAAGGAGAGCCTAGTTCTGGTCTGTCCTCTTTCCAGAACCCAGAGTAGAACCTGCAGTCTCAGATGCAGCAACCCTCTTTTTTTTATTTTTTAAATCTTATTTATTTTTATTTTATTTTATTTTTTTGAGATGGAGTCTCCCTCTATCGCCAAGGCTGGAGTGCAGTGGTGTGATCTCGACTCACTGCAACCTCCGCCTCCCGGGTTCAAGCAATTGTGCCTCAGCCTCCCAAGTAGCTGGGATTATAGGCGTGAGCCACCGCACTGGCCGACTTCTACTTAATTATTTCAAAAAAGTTGGAATGTACAGTAAAACAAAAGAGGCAGGAAATGTTTTAAGTCTCACCATCCAGAAACAAATATTGATAATTTTGTTCATCTTTCTAACCTCTAAGATTAATATATATATATATATATATATATATATATATATTTTTTTTTTTTTTTTTTTTTTTGAGGCAGTCTCATTCTGTGGCCTAGGCTGGAGTGCAGTGGTATGATCATGGCTCACTGCAGCCTCGACCTCCTGGGCACAAGTGATCTTCTCACTTCAGCCTCCTGAGTAGCTGGGACTATACATACACCCCACCAAGCCTGGGTAATTTTAAAATATTTTGAAAAGATGGGGTCTTACTATGTTGCTCAGGCTGGTTTCAAACTCCTGAGCTCAAGTAATCCTCCTGCATCAGCCTCCCGAAGTGCTGGGATTACAGGTGTGAGCCACTGCACCTGGCCTATACACACTTTTTTTTTTAGATGGAGTCTCGCTCTGTTGTCAGGCTGGAGTGCTGTGGCGCAATCTCGGCTCACTGCAATCTCCGCCTCCCAGGTTCAAGCAATTTGCCTACCTCAGCCGCCTGAGTAGCTGGGACTACAGGTGCCCGCCCCCATGCCCAGCTAATTTTTGTATTTTTAGTAGACACGAGGTTTCACCATGTTGGCCAGGATGGTCTCGATCTCTTGACTTGTGATCTGCCCGCCTCAGCCTCCCAAAGTGCTGGGATTACAGGCGTGAGCCACCGCGGCCGGGCCTATAAACACACTTTTTAAAAAACTTCACATGATATCAAAATTCTCACATCCAAATGATCCATAAACAACAACAACAAAGTCCTTTACAATTATAAATGTTCATTGTTGAAAGATTACCTTGCCAGCTAGTATTTATCTTTTGGATATATATCTTTTGATATATATGTATTTATTTATATACTTGTGTATATATTTATTCAACAAAAATGGGATTGTGCTATTCCTAACCCGCTTTTAAAAATTTAATAGTGTGAACGTTCTTCCTTGTTACAAAACACAACTGCATCACTGGATTTTTCCAGTTTTGCTATTATAAATAATACAATGATAATCTTTGTGTGTATAATTGTTGTTGTTTTTTTGGAGACAGGGCTCTGTCGCCCAGGCTGGAGTGCAGTGGCGCGATCTCAGCTCACTGCAGCCTCCGCCTTCTGGGTTCAAGCAATCCTTGTGCCTCAGCCTTCCGAGTAGCTGGGACCACAGGCCTGCGGCACCATGCCTGGCTAATTTTTGTATTTTTAGTAGACACGGGGTTTTGCCACATTGGCCAGGCTTGTCTCGAACTCCTGGCCTCAAGTGATCCACCCTCCTTGACCTCCCAAAGTGCTGGGATTACAGATGTGAACCACTGCGCCCAGCCAGTGTGTATATAATTTTGATTTTCTAAGTATTCCTTAGGTCATAGAATATGCATATTTTAAAAGCTCTTAGCAGAGTTGCTGTTCAGAAAGGCTGGGTGAGTGTCTGTCTTCCTAGTAACAGGGCAGGGGTCAGCCTGTCCTACCACACTCTCCTACTGCACTCTAGCCAGTGTTAGTAACGTGCTTCTGGTCACATTTTCACATGAAGGCTATTAGGAGCTATTGACAAAGTTTAAGTAGACAAATCACATAACCAGATTTGCATTTTTGATTCCGGCTTCAGAGCCTAATAGCTCTATTAGTCTTATGTGGCCCCTAGGAGGCATTCAAGATAATGGTGACACTAAGCAAAGGAGGGCAAGTTGAGGTGGAGTGTCTGAACAAGCAGGTCTCTAACCTGCAGCTATGGAGAAGCAATTCAGTGTTTCCTGTGGCGGGTGGAGGGCATACTTACCCAGCAGAGCATGTGAGACTCTTTGATATGCACCTTCATGTATTATCTTGTTCAGTTCTCTGAGGTTGGGATCATTATTATTTCCCATTTTGCAGATGAGAGAATTGAGGCAGAGAAAGGTTCAGCACCTTGCCTTTGGTTACACAGCTGGTCATTCTGGCTTCAATCGCAGGACTACCAGCCTGTGCTCTTCACCACTTAGCTTCCCTGACTCAGGCCACTTCCCTGGAGCGTTAGCTGGATTCTGAGAGTAGTTTCCAAGCCAGAGCTTTCAGAGAGCTTTTGTTCGTAGGACAATTTTAAGACATCAGGTTCTTGAATGTTTTGTGTTTTTTTAAGTCTCAGATTTATCTTCCTACTTCCTACTTCTCCAAAAAGACTGAGAGCTGACATATTTGATTGTAAGCTCTTTGAGGCAGAGTTCTTGTAATCGTCTCTGTATAAAACAGTGCCCACCCCAGTGACCTGTACTTGGATGCTTCAATCAGAGCTGTCCTGTTAAATAGAGCAAGTTTTTCCTAGACCCACATTCTGATACAAGAAAAATCAAAGGAATTATGATTGAACCAATTCAACACACACTGTTGCATTTTGTGTATGTGTTTTTGGTGAACCTGCTTTGGAAACAATGTAAAAGTCACATCTGTGGAGTGTTTTTAGAGCACTTTTATGTTCATTTATGATAATAGGGACCTGCCCAGGCACTGGGCTAGGTGTTCCACATCTACTGTGTCATTATGTAAATTGTTTTTCACAAGAACTTGAGAAGCTAGCAGTGTAGCTATTATTATCCTTGGGGTGGTTTGTTTTTGGTTCTTTGGGTTTTTTCCCAGGGGAAGAAGCTGGAGTTTGGACAGCCCCTGGCCTACATGGGCTCCCTTTTGCAGAGGCTGCTCCAGCGGGGATCTCCTTGAGCTCAGGTAAATAAGCCAGTGCCAGGCCAGGTCCTCTGCACTCCTTTGTCTATTTTCCCCTTTGTTCCTTGGATCTGAAAACCCTTCAAGGCTTCAGAGGAAGCTCAGTGAGTTGATTCTCATGTACCGGGAGAAGATAATGTAGAGGCGGCGGAACCAGAGGAGCTGGCTGCGGTGGCAGGACATGGCTTTCTAGAAGAATCAAAGAGAACCAGTTATGAAACAGTTGCACTGGAGTTGTTTCATTACTTTCAGATCTGGCCTCCGCACCTTAAATCCTTCCTCGAACTAATATGCTTCATGCTATAGCCTTATCTGTCTTCTTCCTGTAACCCACGAACCTCTCTGGATTGGCCTCCTGTCATGGCCCCTGCTTTCCCATCTCCTACTACCTGTGATTATAACACACAATGCTCACCGTAGCTACAGCACTCACCATGGGATACCAGAAAACTGGCAGAACAGTCCACATGCATCATCTCAATGTTAACAACCCTGTGAATCAAGTACTGTTATTACTGTTTTTTAAAAAATAAATAGATGAGGAAACTCGTCAGTCTCAAACAGCTAGTAGGTAGTAGAGCTGGCTGAGATTTTAACCCAGAGCCAACTGATTGATTCTAGAGTCCACATTCTTTTTTTTTTTTTTTTTTTTTTTTGAGCCTGTTGCCCAGGCTGGAGTGCAGTGGCGCGATCTTGGCTCACTGCAAGCTCTGCCTCCTGGGTTCACGCCATTCTCCTGCTTCAGCCTTCCGAGTAGCTGGGACTACAGGCACCTGCCACCATGCCTGGCTAATTTTTTGTATATTTAGTAGAGGCAGGGTTTCACTGTGTTAGCCAGGATAGTCTCGATCTCCTGACCTAGTGATCTGCCCACCTCGGCCTCCCAAAGTGCTGGGATTACAGGCGTGAGCCACCGCGCCTGGCCAGTTAGAGTCCACATTCTTAATCACGTTGCTACTACCTCAAATATACAACACAAACAGGGATGTTTCATGGGAAGAAAGCTAGTACACTATGCCCAAATTCCTCTGAGTTAGGTCGTTTGGGGAGGTCCAATCACTATCAGAAGAAGAAAAAAAGGAATGGCACACAGGTGTGAGTTGTCGTTCCTATCTTCTAGGGGAAATGTACATTATCTTGTTATTCAGACCTAGTATAGTTCAGTTTTTAAACAGAATAGATTACAGCAACTGACTTCACTAGATATACATAAAAGGATGTGCCTGTTTATCTCTAAGTACCATAATTAACTTGCCTCTCTAAGCTAATATCTTCACAAACTTTTATGTAAATAACCCCTTTTATATTCATTGTCAGACCCTACATGACTTGCCAGGTATGGAGGCTCACGCCTGTAATCCCAGCACTTTGGGAGGCTGAGGTGGGTGGATCACCTGAAGTCGGGAGTTCGAGACCAGCCTGACCAACATGGAGAAACTCTGTCTCTACTAAAAATACAAAATTAGCCGGCGTGGTGGCGCATACCTGTAATCCCAGCTACTCGGGAAGCTGAGGCAGGAGAATTGCTTGAACCCAGGAGGCGGAGATTGCAATTAGAGGAGATTGCAATTAGCGGAGATTGCAGTGAACCGAGATCGCCACTGCACTCCAGCCTGGTGACAGAGCGAGACTCCGTCTCAAAAAAATAAATAAATAAATATAAAATAGAAGATAAAGGGAAAACCATTACAAAAGAGAGACATTATAAGATAATAAGACGAATTGGCTAGGCGCAATGGCTCATGCCTGTAACCTCAGCACCTTGGGAGCCCGAGGCAGGTGGATCACTTGAGGTCAGGAGTTTGAGACCAGCCTGACCAACATGGTGAAACCCTATCTCTACTAAAAAAAAAAAAAATCCAAAATTAGCTGGGCATGGTGGTGCACGCCTGTAACCCCAGCTACTCAGGAGGCTGAGGCAGGGGACTCGCTTGAACCCAGGAGGCAGAGGTTGCAGTGAGCCAAGATCGCATCATCGCACTCCAGCCTGGGCAACAAGAGCAAAACTCTGTCTCAAAATAAATAAATAAATAAATAAGAGAAATAATCTGCTAACAAATATATCAGCTTTGGGCAGGGCACGGTGTCTCATGTTTGTAATCCTATCACTTTGGGAGGCTGAGTTGTGCAGATCACCAGGTCAGGAGTTCAAGACCAGCCTGGCCAACATAGTGAAACCCCATCTCTACTGAAAATACAAAACAATTAGCCAGGCTTGGTGGTGCCGGCCTGTCTGTAATCCCAGCTACGCAGGAGGCTGAGGCAGGAGAATCACTTGAACCCAGGAGGCAGAGGTTTCAGTGAGCTGAGATCTTACCACTACACTCCAGCCTGGGCAACAGAGCGAGACTCTGTCTCAAAAAAAAAAAAAAAAAAAAAGATCAGTGTTACGAAAACCATTCACTGACCACAAAGTAATTAAATTATAAATTAACAATAAAAAGGCCCCATACACGGCAGGGCACAGTGGCCCACACCCGTAATCTCACCACTTTGGGAGGTTGAGGTGGGAGGATCACCTGAGGTCAGGAGTTCGAGACCAGCCTGACCAACATGGTGAAACTTCGTCTCTACTAAAAAATACAAAATTAGCCAGGCGTGGTGGCACCTGCCTGTAATCCCAGCTACCTGGGAGGCTGAGGCAGGAGAATCGTTTGAACCTGGGAGGTGGAGGTTGCAGTGAGCCAAGATCGCACCATTGCACTCCAGCATGGGCACCAAGAGTGAAACTCTGTCTCAGAAAAAAAAAAAAAGACCACATATACACACACAGCCATGCCATTCTCATTTGTGGTAGTTCTACAAAGTCACTGAAAACACTGAATTAGTGAATACTGAACCATTGTTTCTAGTGGAAATACAGGGTTGGGTTCCTCCAAGCCTTTGGCCACAATATTTTCATCAATCAGTCAATATATAACCTTGTTTTGTGTATATTTCTGTTTAAAAACTCCATATGAAATACATGTTGTTGATTCATTAGCACTGAACTCATGGCCAATGGCACTGTAACTCATGCTTGTGATCAAACCCACATAAGGCACATTACAGCCTCTTGTGCTTAGGAATGCAAGACAGCACTCAGCATCATCCTTAGAGGCTATTTTAAACAGCAAAATCAACAAAAACCACAAAAATGAGAAAAATGGGGCATTAAATATACACAAAAAGGTATTTTTTTACAGTAGGAGAGCTGAAACAGCTGGGAACATGCATATGTGCATCCAGTGACTCATGTTTCACCCCTCTGCGAGTGTCCACGAATGACTACAAAAGCACTTCGAGCACTGACTTTGGAGTTACAAATGAATTTTAGTGAGTAGGTGCATTCATAAATATAGAACTACAAATAATGAAGATCGACACATGTTTGTAACTGTAAATTATACCCTCAAAGATTAAAGGGGAACTCACAATGGAGTCTATAAATTACTTATAATTAAATGACAATAGGAGAACTACATATCAAAACTTATCATGTGTAGCTAAAGAAACACTTCAAGGAAAATTAATAGTATTAAAGTATTTTTTTTTTAAAGATTGAAAATGAAAACAAAGCTAACCTTTCAAGTTAAAGAGATTTAAAGAAGAACAGGCTGGGTGCGGTGACTCCCGCCTGTAATCCCAGCACTTTGGGAGGCCAAGCCGGGTGGATCACTTGAGGCCAGAAGTTCGAGACTGGCCTGGCCAAACATGGCGAAACCCAGTCTCTACTAAAAATACAAAAATTAGCCGGGCGAAGTGGCGGGCCCCTATAGTCCCAGCTACTCAGGAGACTGAGACAGGAGAATTGCTTGAACCCAGGAGGTGGAGGTTGTGGTGAGCCGAGATCGCTCCACTGCACTCCAGCCTGGGTGACAGAGCAAGACTCTGTCTCAAAAAATAAAAATAAATAATAAATAAATAGGCTGGGTGCGATGGCTCACACCTGTAATCCCAGCACTTTGGGAGGCTGAGGTGGGCGATCACCTGAGGTCGGGAGTTCGAGACCAGCCTGACCAACATGGGGAAACCCTGTCTGTACTAAAAATACAAAATTAGCCAGGCGTGGTGGCGTGTGCCTGTGATCCCAGCTACTTGGGACGCTGAGGCAGGAGAATCGCTTAAACCCGGGAGGCGAAGGTTGAGGTGAGCCGAGATTGCACCATTGTACTCCAGCCTGGGCAATAAGAGCGAAACTCCGTCTCAAAAAAAAACCATAAAATAACAGTAAAAAGAAAGAAAGAAAGACAGACAGACAGACAGAAAGAGGGAGGGAGGGAGGAAGGAAGGAAGGAAGGAAAAGAATAAAACCATAAATGAAGTAGGACAGAAATAATAAAATACAAAAACGAATGCACTATTGAAGAAACAAGATAATTAATATGTGCTCAACACTGCACTCTCAGTACCTAGCAAAGTGCCTCTTATTAGGTACAAAGGTTTACTGTAGAAAATTTAGAAAATATGGGCCGGGCATGGTGGCTCACGCCTGTGATCCCAGCACTATGGAAGGCCAAGGCGGGTGGATCACCTGAGGTCAGGAATTCAAGATCAGCCTGACCAACATGGCGAAACCCCGTGTCTACTAAAAATACAAAATTAGCTGGGCATGGTGGCCCATGCCTGTAATCCCAGCTACTCGGGAGTGTGATGCAGAAAAATCACTTGAACCCAGGAGGTGGAGGGTGCAGTGATCTGAGATCGCACCGTTGCACTCCAGCCTGGGCAACAAGAGCGAAACTACATCTAAAAAAAAAAAAAAAAAAAAAGGCCCGGCGCAGTGGTTCATGCCTGTAATCCCAGCACTTTGGGAAGCAGAGGGGAGCGGATCATTTGAGGTCAGGAGTTCAAGACCAACCTGGCCAACATGGTGAAACCCTGCCTCTACTAAAAATACAAAAATTAGCTAGGCGTGGTGGCATGCGCCTGTAGTCCCAGTTACTTGAGAGGCTGAGGCAGGAGAATTGCTTGAACCTGGGAGGCAGAGGTTGTTGTGAGCTGAGATCGTGCCATTGCACCCCAGCCTGGGTGACAGAGCAAGACTCTGTCTCAAAAAAAAAAAAAAAAAAAATGGCCAGGCACAGTGGCTCATGCCTGTAATCCCAGCACTTTGGGAGGCCGAGGTGGGTAGATCACCTGCGGTCAGGAGTTCGAGACCAGCCTGACCAATATGGTGAAATCCCATCTCTATTAAAAATACAAAAATTAGCTGGGCCTGGTGGCGTGAACCTGTAGTCCCAGTTACTGGAGAGGCTGAGACAGAAGAATTGCTTGAACCTGGGAGGTGGAGGTTGCAATGAGCCGAGATTGTGCCACTGCACTCCAGCCTGGGTGACAGAGGAAGACTTCATCTCAAAGAAAATTTAGAAAATAAAGCTAAACAAAAAAACCCCAAAACCAAAATCATTATCCTGAGTTTCTATTCTCTTAGATTTTCCTTCCTTCCTTCCTTTCTTCCTTCCTTCCTTCCTTCTTCTTTTCTTTTCTTTCTCTCTCTCTCTCTCCCGCTTTCCCTCCCTCCCTCGTTTCCTCCCTTCCTTCCCTCCTTCCCTCCCTTCCTTCTTTCCTTCCCTCCCTCCCTTCCTTCCTCTCTCCTTTTCTCTCCCTCCCCTCTCTTTCTTTCTTCCTTCTTTCCTCTCTCTCTTCCTTCCTTCTTCCTTCCCTTCCCTTCCTTCCTTCGCTTCCCTTCCTTCCTTCCCTTCCCTTCCCCTTCCTCCCTCCCTCCCCTCCCCTCTCCTCCCCTTCCTCCCTCCTTTCCTTCCTTCCTTCCTTCCTTCCTTCCTTCCTTCCTTCCTTCCTTCCTTTTCTTTCTCTCACTCTCTCCTTCTCTCTGTCTCTTTCTCCCTTCCTTCCTCTCTCTCCCTTCCCTTTCCCCTTCCCCTTCCCTTTTTCCTAATAAAGCTGTGTTGCCCAGGGCAGACACAAACTCCTGGGCTCAAGCCATCCTCCCACCCCAACCTCCCAAGCAGCTGAGACTACAGGCACGAGCCACAATCCCCGACTTGGTTCTTTCACTTGTTATGCTACCCATCTCTCTGTGGGGGGCTTAAGTCTACAGGGGGATGCACCTGGAGACAAACTGAGGAATAATTCTCCTCAGCCCACCCTCTCCCTAACTCTGATGGCACTCAGTCACCTGTTCCATGGACAGCTAAGAGTTTTCCCTAGGATGACCTGAGCTGGCCTAGCTCTTCCTCACCCTGCATGTGGGCTTCTTGCAGTCTGCCCTGGGCTCTTTTTTTTTTTTTTTTGGAGACGGAGTCTCGCTCTGTCACCCAGGCTGGAGTGCAGTGGTGCGATCTTGGATCACTGCAACCTCCGCCTCCCGGGTTCAAGCAATTCTCCTGCCTCAGCCTCCCGAGTAGCTGGGACTACAGGTGCCCACCACCACGCCCGGCTACTTTTTTGTATTTTAGTAGAGACGGGGTTTCGCCGTGTTGCCCTGGCTGGTCTCAAACTCCTGAGCTCAGACAATCTGCCTGTCTCGGCCTCCCAAAGTGTTAGGATTACAGGCGTGAGCCACGGCGTCTGGCCTCCCCTAGGCTCTTTACAGAGGCTCCTGGCAGGTCTGAATTCTTCTTAAACTCAAGCTGGGAGCATCGCTCCATGTATAACAGTGATAAAGTGGCAAATCAAAATGTCTAACAGTAAGGGATTCGTGATATATCTTATGGTATATACATACAGTGGCGTAATTGGCAGCCATTGGTATTTGAATACTAAATGAAATAGGAGAAAATGTTCATAATAAATAGTTTTGATTTTTTTTTTTTTTTTTTTTTTGGCTAGGGTCTGGCTCTGTTGCCCAGGCTGGAGTGCAGTGGTATGATCAGGGTTCATTGCAACCTTGACCTCCTGGGCTCAAGTGATCCTCCTGCCTCAGCTACCCGAGTAGCTGGGACCACTGGCATGTGCCACCATGCCTGGCTAATTTTTCTGTAGAGATGGGATTTTGCTCTGTTGCCCAGCAAGCAGTCCACCCACCCCGGCCTCCCAAAGTACTGGGATTACAGGCATGAGCCACTGTGCCCAGCCCATAACGTATTGTTAAAGCAGGTTTTTTGTTGTTTTTTTTTTGAGACAGAATCCTCTCTGTCACCCAGGCTGGAGTACAGTGGCATGATCTCAGCTCACCACAACCTCCACCTCCCGGGTTCATGCGATTCTTCTGCCTCAGCCTCCCAAGTAGCTGGAACTACAGGTGCATGCCACCACGCCTGGCTAATTTTTGTAGCTTTAGTAGAGACGGGGTTTCAACATGTTGGCCAGGCTGGTCTTGAACCCCTGACCTCGTGATCTGCCCGCCTCAGCCTCCCAAAGTGCTATGATTACAGGCATGAGCCACCACACCTGGCCAAAGCTGGTTTTAAATAGGCACTGTGTGATCCCATTTGAAATGTGTATACACATACACATTATATATATATAAAGAGTAGGGCTGGGCACAGTGGATCATGTCTGTAATCCCTGCACTTTGGGAGGTCGAGGTGGGTGGATCACCCGAGGTCAGGAGGTCGAGACAAGCCTGGCCAACATGATGAAACCCCAGCTCTACTAAAAATACAAAAAATTAGCCGGGTGTGGTGGCGGTGCCTGTAATCCCAGCTACTCAGGAGGCTGAGGCAGGAGAATCACTTGAACCCAGGAGGCGGAGGTTGCAGTGAGCCGAGATTGCACCACTGCACTCCAGCTTGGGTGACAAGAGCAAAACTCCGTCTCAAAAAAAAAAAAAGAGTAGAAAGATGTAGCCCAACATGTTAACAAGGATTACCTGTGATTGGTGGGACTGCAGGTAATTGTTCTTATTTTTATTTTCTTTTTGATGCTTTTATGTTTTTCAAGATTTTCTGCAATGAGCATGTGTTATTTACTTTTAGAAAAAGCATATATTATTTTTATAATTAGAAAAAAAAGGCTAAAGTCATTGAAAAATCTATGCCTCCCAAGATCTAGCTGGCCTAGCCCTAATTCTCAGGGACAGGTGCTGAACCACTGTGAAAAACCTTCAGTTAGGGCTTCTGCAGAGGTGGGGCTTTGAGGAGACAGGGGTCTGGGGCAGGGATCTGAGTTGGGGTGTCCAGGAATTTACAATCCTCACCTTGGCCTGTGCCACTTCTTTGCTGTTGAGCACGAAGAGGACATCCTGCGTATGAAGCAGAGACAAGGGCAGATCCAGAAGGGAGATGTACTTGCGCAGCACATTCACAGACTGAAGCGTGAGCACAGAGCACCCTGGATGGAGAGGAGACAGGGTGAAGTGATAAGCCTTGAGGCCTCCAGCCAGATTTTCCCCTGAGCATCCTCCCTCTACCCTGTGGCTCAGGGCAGGGCAGGACAGTGGCCACAGCATTGCCACGTGTTTCTGTGGCACTAAAGCTGCCCTGTGCCCATGATTCTTGCAGCTAGAACGAGTAAAAGGGCCATAGAAGACCTGGCTGGCTACCCTCTACCCTGCGGTGTGCCCTACCAGAAAAAGGTTGGCTGCTAGAGGTTGAGATCTGGCTACCTCAAAGCCAAAGGAAGTAAAGGAGACAGGAATTACTGTATTGGGAGTTTAGAGACCTGGTTCCAGCTCTGTCAGTCAAGAATTGACAGACTTGGCAAAGTCCCTTAACCACTCTCAGTCTCAGTTTTCTAATCTGTAAATTGGTGTTGATAGTGTGAGACCTGCCTGTCTCACAGGATTGATATAAGAATCAAACAAACTATAGTCATGTTCCAAAGTCATCATGGCTTGGTAAGCTCCTTTCAGTCATCCCACATAGAAAGGGCACAAACTACTTACGTTTTCATTCATTGAATCTTCGTATTGCGCCGGTGAGGTATGACAGACCAGAAACTGGTCCAGAGAGGCTAAGCATGGGGGTCATGCAGTAAATGGTCAGGTAGGGTCAAATACTTTATGTGGGTTAGGAAGAGTTCCTAACTCAGGCAGATTGGTTCATCAAGCACCCAGCAGTCATTTACAACCTGCCTAATTGGTTGGGGGATGGGATTGAGTTCAGACTGGAAGAATACCAGAGGTGTAAAACATCCACCCTGTGAAAAAGCTAGACAGGTTGAGGGGCAAACCTGGCCTCCCCACTCATCCAGAGGTGGCCCTGCAGGCAGGCACTTGCTGGTAGATACAACCTGCCAGGTACCTTGAGGTGAGTCAGGAAGAGTGTGGCGGCCTCCCCAACCACTGCCTCTGCTCGGCTGAGGGCAGCTCTCTGTGGATTTGCAAATTTCCCCCTCATAAGTTTCTCAGAGGGACAGTATCTTGTGGCCCTTTGCAAAAGGAACAAGCCTTACCTTTAGGTAACTTCCCTTCTGAGTGCAGGGCCCTGGAGGAGGGATAGGACAAGAGTGAGAGGAGTAAGGATCATTTCCTTTGTAGGTAACAGGAGGGGCCTTCAGAGGAAAGGCTGCCATGCCCATGGTCCCCTCCATGTGAGTCTCCAGGTGGTTTCTTTTGCATAAATCACTGTATAGATTTCCAGGATCCCATACCTCTGGCAACAGCTGAAGGGACCAGGATGGGCACCTGAGCTAGGGACAGCCAATCCAGAGGCTGGTCTGTGGTTTGTGAAGTACTCTGGTCCAAGCTTTGCCCATTAGAGAATGAAGGTAACTGTGCTGGACTCTTCATAGTTTTTCTCTTGGAAGTGTAATGTGAGTATGATGGGGGAATATTTTACAATGCTAACTGATAGCTCTTCCCTGATATTTCCTTTCTCCTTTCTGAGCTTCCCTACGCCTACCTTCTGACAGTGCAGGTCATTCTGTGCTCGCCACCTTAAGAGGAGGGGAGTGTCAACTGCAATGAGCTCCAAGTCTCTTCCCCACTTTGTTGTTTAGAAAGCTGGGGGCAGAGAAGGATTGGGAAGGTAGCCCCAGCAACACACAGACACACATATGAACAGAGACTCTTGGGAGCAGGGGTTAAACAAGAGAAGTTGAGAGACAATTGACAAATTCATGGAACTGACTGCCTGGCAGAGCCTGAGAGGTAGAAAAACCTGAAAAAGGAGCCGGGCGCGGTGGCTCACGCCTGTAAACCCAGCACTTTGGGAGGCCGAGGCAAGCGGATCACGAGGTCAGGAGTTCGGCACCAGCCTGGCCAATATGGTGAAACTCCGTCTCTAATAAAAATACAAAAATTAACCGGGCGTGGTGGCATGCACCAGTAGTTCCCAGCTACTCAGGAGGCTGAGGCAGGAGGCGGAGGCTGCAGTGAGCTGAGATCACGCCACTGCACACCAGCCTGGGTGACAGAGCGAGACTCTGTCTCAAAAAAAAAAAAAAAAAAAAAAAAAGAAAGAAAGAAAGAAAGAAAGAAAAGAAAAGACTGAAAAAACTTTCTGGGATCCTGAGAATGAAGTGGCTTGTCCTGTACTCTGGGCAAAGCCCTGTGGATATTCTGATGTCCAGGGAAAGCAGTGAGCTAGAGGCGCTGTCTGGAAGTAGAGCTTATAGCCCTTAAAGCCACAGGAGAAGCTGTGCTGAGGAGGACTGGGGAGTGAGCCCTGGGGACAGGGGGACCAAGGGGCCACTGGTGGGAGGGAAGCCGGGAAGAGAATGAGAAGTAGCCAGAAAGGCCAGAGTGAGGAGGGCAAGCTGGTGCCATATAAGTCAAAGCAGCATTGCAGTGAGGGACAGGCAGGGCCAGATGCCACAGAAGGTTCAAGGTGGCTGAGGACTAACGTGAGTCTAACGAATTTAGCAGGCAAGAGATGACTGTGGGGAAAAAGGTTGTGGCAGATTGGTGGCATGTCCATGAATTGTTTTATCTGAAGCACAGTGGCCCTCCTTCGTGCTGAGAGCCTGTGGCACTCCAGCCTCTTCTGAGGAAAATGGCCCCAGGCAGTTCTATCTACACAGAGTTGTCCCCTTGGGTTCTTTCTCTGCCCAGAATGACGCCTTCTCTATTTTCTCCACTTCAGTGGTGACTGGACCAGGAATGGGACCAGGTGACTCAATCTCAAGTGCCCCAGCCCCCTGCCTGTTGAGGTACTCTTTGTTTGCAATAGACCTGACCTGATCCTTTCTCTGGTGCAGTGTAAATTCTCGGAGAGAAATCACCAGGCTCAGTGTGCATCCAGAATGAGGTGGGACCATTTTTCCAGTTCTCCATGGGGCTTGCTGTCCATGCTAGTCTTGGAAGCTCAAGGCCTCAGAGTAACCATGTGGTTGGAAAGACCACTCTGGGGCTGCCTCATTTTTCCATATATCATCAAAAAAATTTGTATTTCAGACTGTAACCAGGGAATGTTTCTTTCCTGAATTTGAAGGGACCTAATGCGACTAGGAGCATGTCTCTTCTAAAGCTGTGGCTGCTGGCTGGACCAGGAACCGAATAGTCTTTACAGGGAGAACAGTCTAGCCTCCCCTCATTCCATAGTCAAGGAAACAGGGAAATCTGCCTAGAAAGAGTATGTGGGTAAAATTCTAGCATCTTCCACCAAGTGATGTAAAATTTAAGGACAAGGAGGGTCTTCAGTTTGGATTGGTCTTCACATACATCTGACAGAATAATGAATGGAGAACTAGGATTCCTGAATTCTGCCTCTGCCATAGTTTAACCTTGTGGTGCTGGGCAAACCACTTCCCAGTGATTGGACTTAATGGTTGGTGAGGTCATTTCCAACTTTACATATTGCATTGCTTCAGTCTGAGTGTTAAGCATGTTTAGAAGAAGGTTATTAAATAAGTCCTTCCCTTCAAGTTGCTTCTTTCCTTCCTCAGTAGCTGGGACAGGCCTGCCACACCACTGATCAGGGGCCCAGGAGAAGCACTTTGCTAGGGGACAGGAAACACATCTATGTTTGTATGACTCTATGTCACTCAATACCTTTGAGCTTGCATTTTCTTTTTATTGGTAAAATGCAAATAAATATCAGTAAAATCGGGTGACTGTGAAGAACAAACACATTTCATATTATGTATGTATATCCTCCTTCTCCAAGAAAGATTTGAGAGTTGTATAAAACACATGACGGAAGTGAGAGTAAGGGGAAGAAGATGGTGAAGGTGGAGGCACACTGATTGACAGCACTCATTCCTTAAAGTCTTGTCCAGTGCCACAGGGCTTGCAAATTTGGCCCTCAAGCTTCCTGTGGCCACAGAAAAGAGATGAATAAAGTCAATTACCCCATTCGCAGTATTCAGTGTATAAAAAAGAATTCAGCTGTTTAGGAGACGAGCATTCGTACTAGGACTTGAGAGAGATTTCTCAGCGAGAGGACATGGTGAGATGCAGTGAGCAACATGGCCAAAAAGGGCTAGAAGATAAGCCAGCAGTGAGTTTCATGGGCTCAGATAACAAGTGGGAAAGTGCTTTAGACTTTAAACCATGAGCCCTAATCAAATAAACAAACCCTCCCCCACATCCATCACCCGGAGAATCATACCTCACAGCTGCATACAGAGCAATGTGATTGCTGTGGCCACTTACTCCCCCTGCATCGAAAGTCACCACCTGTAGAGAAACACAGGGTTTTCACTGAATGCCTTCTCCACCACCTCAACTTCAATGGAGCTGTCTCCTTCCCTTGGGAAGGAGAGAACAGAACCCTGAAACTTTTCAAATGCAGCATCTATCTGAAGTGACTTCTGAGCAGATCAGTGGTGTGTAGCTAGTGCTGTGGTTGACCACATAGAGACTGTTTTCCAGGGTTTGATGTTTTACTCTTGTTCCTAGCCAGTGGAGCAGAGTGGAATTCAGCCATGATAGTAACTTGGGTTCAGAATATCTTTGTTGCTTATTGGTTTAGCCATTTATTAGCACATTTAGAATTCCTGGCTAGCTTCTAAGTGAACTCTGTTTATGCAGATACAGCCTGAATTACTGGTTCTCTTTTTCTCATGCCATACTGAGGGCAAAAAAAGCTTTGAAGGACAATGTCCACCGTGTCCTGGGGTTGAGTTCATGGAAAAAGTGTATTTATTCATAGATTGCCTCTGTTTCCATTTTCACAGCTATATCAATATCTGTTTATTAACTACAAGCTCAGTCTGTATTCCAACATTTCATTTCTACACAAATGAATTAAAGAAAAAACAAATAGCTCCCTCTCCCTCTCCCTCTCCCCCCCCCTTCCCCCTCCCCTCTTTCCAAGGTCTCCTTCTGATGCTGAGCCGAAGCTGGACTGTACTGCTGCCATCTCGGCTTACTGCAACCTCCCTGCCTGATTCTCCTACCTCAGCCTGCCGAGTGCCTGCGATTGCAGGCGCGCGCCGCCACGCCTGACTGGTTTTCGTATTTTTTTGGTGGAGACGGGGTTTCGCTGTGTTGGCCGGGCTGGTCTCCAGCTCCTAACCGCAAGTGATCTGCCAGCCTTGGCCTCCCAAGGTGCCGGGATTGCAGACGGAGTCTCGTTCACTCAGTGCTCAATGTTGCCCAGGCTGGAGTGCAGTGGCGTGATCTCGGCTAGCTACAACCTCCACCTCCCAGCCGCCTGCCTTGGCCTCCCAAAGTGCCGAGATTGCAGCCTCTGCCCGGCCGCCACCCCGTCTGGGAAGTGAGGAGCGTCTCTGCCTGGCCACCCATCGTCTGGGATGTGAGGAGCCCCTCTGCCCGGCCGCCCAGTCTGGGAAGTGAGGAGCGCCTCTTCCCGGCCGCCATCCCGTCTAGGAAGTGAGGAGCGCCTCCACCCGGCTGCCCATCGTCTGAGATGTGGGGAGCGCCTCTGCCCTGCCGCCCCATCTGGGATGTGAGGAGCGCCTCTGCCCGGCCGCGACCCCCGTCTGGGAGGTGAGGAGCGTCTCTGCCCGGCCTCCCCGTCTGAGAAGTGAGGAGCCCCTCCGCCCGGCAGCCGCCCCATCTGGGAAGTGAGGAGCGTCTCCGCCCAGCAGCCGCCCCGTCCGGGAGGGAGGTGGGGGGCTGCGGGCAGCCCCCGCCCGGCCAGCCGCCCCCTCCGGGAGGGAGGTGGGGGGGCAGCCCCCACCCGGCCAGCCACCCCGTCCGGGAGGTTGGGGGCGCCTCTGCCCGGCCACCCCGTCTGGGAAGTGAGGAGCCCCTCTGCCCGGCCACCACCCCGTCTGGGAGGTGTACCCAACAGCTCATTGAGAACGGGCCATGATGACGATGGCGGTTTTGTGGAATAGAAAAGGGGGAAAGGTGGGGAAAAGATAGAGAAATCAGATTGTTGCTGTGTCTGTGTAGAAGGAGGTAGACCTGGGAGACTTCATTTTGTTCTGTACTAAGAAAAATTCTTCTGCCTTGCGATGCTGTTGATCTCTGACCTTACCCCCAACCCTGTGCTCTCTGAAACATGTGCTGTGTCCACTCAGGGTTAAATGGATTAAGGGCGGTGCAAGATGTGCTTTGTTAAACAGATGCTTGAAGGCAGCATGCTCGTTAAGAGTCATCACCACTCCCTAATCTCAAGTACCCAGGGACACAAACACTGCGGAAGGCCGCAGGGTCCTCTGCCTAGGAAAACCAGAGACCTTTGTTCACTTGTTTATCTGCTGACCTTCCCTCCACTATTGTCCTATGACCCTGCCAAATCCCCCTCTTCGAGAAACACCCAAGAATGATCAAAAAAAAAAAAAAGAAAGAAAACCTCTGTGCTTTGGGCTTTACCACTTATTGGGTTTGTGGCTTTTTGCAAGTTATATAACATGTCTGTGGTGCAATTATCTCATATGTAATCATAATTGTACTTCACACAATTGTCATAGAGATTTTCTGAGATAAATGATAATAATAATTGCTAAAAAAAAGAAAAAACAAATAATAATTTGAATAATAATAATAATAAGGCTAACTCAAATAATAAAAGAAATATAAAAACGACAACAAGGACTGAAGAAAGGATAGAATGATTGATTAGGGGTGATGAAAAGAGGCAAGCTGTCCCCAAGGAAAGGTGACCATCCTGCATGGATGAAGGAACCTGGAACTGGGATTGGAATGGGCTGGGAAGGGATTCGCTCTTGGTCTTTCTATTTTAAACTGTAAAGCATAATGACTGCATGTACAGCAAGCCCTCTGTTATAATAAGAGTGGCTAACATTTATTGAGCAAAGACATAGTATTAACCCTATCTTACACCTGAGGAAGTTCAGGAAGCAGAGGCCGAAGCTGTGATCACCTTGCCACTGAGTGGTGGAGCTGTTCTTGGGGTTTAGATCTTTCTGACTCCACAGTCCACGCTCTTTACAAGCATCCTCTATGTGAGAAGGCGTGCTACGCTGCAGGAAGAAGCACTGTGTAAAAGACCTTTGGGAGACTGAGGCGGGCAGATCACTTGAGGTCAGGAGTTCAAGACCAGCCTGGCCAACATGGCGAAACCCTCTCTACTAAAAATACAAAAATGAGCTGGGCGTGGTGGTGGGCACCTGTAATCCCAGCTACTTGGGAGGTTGAGGCAGGAGAATCGCCTGAACCCAGGAGGCGGAGATTGCAGTGAGCCAATATCACGCCACTGGACTCCAGCCTGGGTGACAAGAGCGAAACTCTGTCTCAAAAAAAAAGAATCAGAAGACCTGCACTCTTATTCTGACAGCTACCAACCAAGTACATGAGTTTCGATCAGTTATTCTTTCTCCTGGGGTCTGGAGAGCTCATCTGTGAGGGAATATCGTATTTCAGGCAAGCAAACACTCTGGTTAGAAGGATCATCTTGAGAGTCATTACTGGATCCCTTATTTGAAAAGATAAGTACATAGTTAACTTCACTGTTCATGGCACTGAACACACACACACACACACACACACACACACACACACACTTTTTAATAATTCAGAAGACATTTTAGGATCCTGTAACTTTAAAGTTACCACCATGAGCCTCAATTTATTAACATGTTGACAAAGTCAACAGAAGTGGTGGGTAATGGAAGAATTTTAACAACAGAATGCCATAATTCAAGAAAGTCTTCTAATGATTAATGTTTATATTTCTTTTTTCTTTCTTTCTTTCTTTTTTTTTTTTTTTTTTGAGATGGAGTCTCACTCTGTTGCCCAAGCTAGAGTGCAGTGGTGCGATCTTGGCTCACTGCAACCTCTGTCTCCTGGGTTCAAGAGATTCTCTCACCTCTGCCTCCTGAGTAGCTGGGACTACAGGTACGTGCCACCATGCCTGGCTAATTTTTGTATTTTCAGTAGAGACAGGGTTTCACCATGTTGGCTGTGCTGGTCTCAAACTCCTGACTAAAGTTATCCGCTTGCCTTGGCCTCCCAAAGTGTTGGGATTACAGGCGTGAGCCACCGTGCCCGGCCTAATGTTTATATTTCTTTCTTTCTTTTTTTTTTTAAGATGGAGTCTTGCTCTGTTGACCAGGCTGGAGCGCAGTGGCGCAATTTCTCGGCTCACTGCAACTTCTACCTCCTGGGTTCAAGCAATTCTCCTGCCTCCGCCTTCCGAGTAGCTGGGATTACAGGTGCATGCCACCACACCTAGCTAATTTTTTATATTTTTGGTAGAGATGGGGTTTCGTTATGTGGCCAGGCTGGTCTTCAACTCCTGACCTGGTGATCCACCCGCCTTGGCCTCCCAAGGTGCTGTGATTACAGGTGTGAGCCACCGTGCCCGGCCTAATGTTTATATTTCTATCCTGAACCAGATTACTGTTTTGTGCTCATCAATGGAATCCAAGTAAGAACTAATTCAAAAACGATGCTTTTCATGCTTCTGTCACTTACTTTTCAAACTGCTTTTATGCTCGCTTTATCGCTTTGCTCTTTAGGTCCCTAGAAGAAGACTAATCTAGTTATCTATGAGATGGTTAAGCGTTCCTGCTCTGCCATGCAGGCTATAGTGCAGTGGCATGATCATAGCTCACCGTAGCCTTGACCTCCTGGGCTCAAGCAATCCTCCCACCTCATCCTCCTAAGTAGCTGGGAAGACACTACTTTTACAGCTATTAATACACTACTTATACACTATTATTACAGCTATTACCACAACCTCAAAAAATAAATGTTTGGCTGGGCACAGTGTCTTATGCCTGGAATCCCAGCATTTCAGGAGGCTGAAGTAGGAGGATCGCTTGACCCCAGGAGTTTGAGACCAGCCTGGGCAATATGGCGAGACCTTGTCTTTACAGAAAGAAATTTTTTTAATTAGCTGGGCCCGGTGGCACGTGCCTGTAGTCTCAGCTACTTGGGAGAGGAAGACAGGATTTCAAGGAGTCCAGGGGTCCAAGGTTACAGTGAGCCATGATCACACCATTCCAGCCTGGGCAACAGAGGGAGACCTTGTCTCGAAAAAAAAAAAAAAAAAAGCCTGGATGCAGTGGCTTTTTTAAATTAGTGTATAAGTAGTATGGTGCATGCCACCATACCTGGCTAATTTTTTAAATTTTTAGTAGAGACAAGGTCTCACTATGTTACTGAGGTTGGTCTTGGACTCCTGGGCTCAAGCAATCTGCCTGCTTTGGCCTCCCAAAATGCTGGGATTACAGGCATTTTGGGATTACAGTCTCAAATGCGCAATAGTGCCGCTGCACTGACACATCCTGCTCTATGGGAGCAGGGACTAAGTGCTTCTGGCTCACTGTTGTATTCCCAGTTCACCACCTATAGTGAATGTCCCATATTGGGTACTCAATAAATATTTATTGAATGAAAGTTGAGATAGAGGGTTTGAGGCCCAGGACCTAGCCTGCTTGACACCCAGAGAAGACACTACTATCCCCCTGGGCTGCTTTCCAAGGATGGCAGCTTTGTAATTTTCTTTTTTTTTGAGACGGAGTTTCACCCTGTCACCCAGACTGGAGTGCAGTGGCACAATCTCGGCTCACCGCAACCTCCTCCTCCCGGGTTCAAGCAGTTCCCTGCCTCAGCCTCCTGAGTAGCTGGGATTACAGGCATCTGCCACCACACCCGGCTAATTTTTGTATTTTTAGTAGAGATGGGGTTTCACCATCTTGGCCAGGCTGGGCTCAAACTCCTGACCTCGTGATGCACCTGCCTCAGCCTCCCAAAGTGCTGGGATTACAGGCATGAGCCACTGCACCCAGCCTTGTGCTTTTCTTTTTAAAATTTATTTTATTTTATTTTACTTTTTAAAAATAGTGAGCCACTGCATCCAGGCTTTTTTTTTTTTTTTTTGAGACAAGGTCTCCCTCTGTTGCCCAGGCTGGAATGGTGTGATCATGGCTCACTGTAACCTTGAACCCCTGGGCTCCTTGAAATCCTGTCTTCCTCTCCCAAGTAGCTGAGACTATAGGCACGTGCCACCGGGCCCAGCTACTTAAAAAAATTTCTTTCTGTAAAGACAAGGTCTTGTCATGTTGCCCAGGCTGGTCTCAAACTCCTGGGGTCAAGCGATCCTCCTACTTCAGCCTCCTGAAATGCTGGGATTCCAGGCATAAGACACTGTGCTCAGCCAAACTTTTTTTTTTGAGGTTGTGGTAATAGCTGTAATAACAGCTAATGACATTACTGAGCACTTACTCTGTACCAGGCACTGGGGTTAAAATCATTCTTACCTTTGATGACAGAACTATATGCAATGCCCAGAGGATACATAAGGGGACACATTTTTAAATGTGGTTTCCTTCATGATAGTAAAGAAAGAGTCTTGCCAACTGTGCTAGGTGTAGTTATTGCATTCAAGTTGCCCTCTCCCACCCAGCGTGCACAGCACAGGCTGGAAACATGCAGCTGTGGAAACAAAGCAGAAACTTTGAAGGAGTTAGCACCTAGGCCAAGGTGCCCTGGACTTTACTGCACTGGCACACCCTATGGCCTAGCAAGAGGACCAAATCTAAGAAGTGGAGACAGTGGAAACAACCACAAAACACAAGGTCCAGTCACCAAACATCCTCTCAGAGTGCCATGGCCATGAGGAGACCGGCTTCTGGCCATCATGAGATTCAGGAATCATTGGGAACCTCATGAAGAGTCAGCACCAGTTTAGGTGAATTCAGGGTAATGTCAACATGGTCTCCTGATAACAGAAAGAAGGGTTGTGCCATGGGAATGGCCTCCTTTGTTAAAACCGAGCAGCTCCCTGACAGAACCCTCTCGCTTTCATTTCCCTCTCCCTTTCCTTTTAAAGCTCTTACTGCCAAGTTTCCGTGGGATCAAGTGCTCTGCAGAGAAAGGCTTTCCCAGGGCTGGGCAGTCGCAGCCGAGCCTTACCATTAGTAGCAGGTGTTTCCATCTCCCCTACTCTCCTGACTGTCTCTGAACTGTCACTCTAAGAATCTCACCCCTTCGGTGTTGATATTGTTTAAAAGCCAGCCGGGTGCGGTGGCTCACGCCTGTAATCACAGCACTTTGGGAGGCAGAGGCAGGCAGATCACCTGAGGTTGGGGGTTCGAGACCAGCCTGATCAATATGGAGAAACCCCGTCTCTACTAAAAATACAAAATTAGCTGGGCCTGGTGGCGCATGCCTGTAATCCCAGCTACTTGGCAGGCTGAGGCAGGAGAATCACTTGAACCCAGGAGGCAGAGGTTGCAGTTGAGCTGAGATCGCGCCATTGCACTCCATCCTGGCCAACAAGAGGGAAACTCTATCTCAAGAAAAAAAAAAAAAAAAAAAAGATCGTATAACTCAAACACCTGGTTCTGATCCCACCCTTCCATGCAGAACAAGGTGGGTGGTGGGGTGGTGGTTGGGGGAGATCAAAGTCTACTTTTATCTCTAACTCTAGTTAATTACAGCACCTTGGGCAAGTCAGAAAACTTTACTACTGGAAGTTATTTCAACATGGAATGTCTTGGTTTCCTCATGTGTAAGATCAGGAAAAGTAATGCCAGCTCTACTTTCCTTGCTAGGTTTAAGTGAAGAAATAGTGTTTAAAAACTGTACAGCGAGGCTGGGCGCGGTGGCTCACGTCTGTAATCCCGACACTTTGGGAGGCCAAGGTGGGTGGATCTCGAGGTCAGGAGTTCAAGATCAGCCTGGCCAGGTTGGTGAAACCCCGTGTCTACTAAAAATACAAAAAAACTAGCTGGGCATGGTGGCGCGTGCCTGTAGTCCCAGCTACTCGGGAGGCTGAGGCAGGAGATTTGCTTGAACCCGGGAGGCGGAGGTTGAAGTCAGCCGAGATCGTGCCACTGTACTCCAGCCTGGTGACAGAGTGAGACTCTATCTCAAAAAACAACAACAAAATTAGCTGGGCTTGCTAGCGTGCACCTGTAGCCCCAGCTACTCAGGAGGTTGAGGCAGGAGGATCATTTGAGCCCAGGAGTTTGATGTAATAGTGGGCTATGATAGCACCACTGCATTCCAGCCTAGGCGACAAGAACAAGAACCCCATCTTGCTACAAAAAAGAAAACTGTACAGCAGAAAACCCTAGAGTATCTCAACTCCCAGGCTGTTGCCATCAGGTGGAGCTGGCTAGCACTCTGGCTGGATGGATATCAGAAGGGTGCTGGAGGGCAGGCAGTCCCTTGGTTAGTGGATTTGGGGTCACATGAAATTCAGCTCCATCACTTTTGAAATTCTCCAGTCTTTGTTTTTTCTCTCATCCTGTACCTTGTAGTTTCCCCCTTTCTGTTGCAAGTAGGGTTAAGCTAAATTGTATTCAGCTCTCTGAACTTTGCAGATTTGTACATGACAATGGCACCTGTCATTCTTTACAAAACTCCATCCACTTTTATTTTTTCCTAAAGTGCAAAAGTATTTGTTCAAATAAAATCTTACCCAGACCCCAATAAATAGGTAACTGTGGGGCTGCTCTGGTTTCTAAGACACTGGTTCTCACCTAGGATAGTTTTGCCCCAGGGTCATTTGGTAACTTCTGGAGGTTTTTTTTGTTTGTTTTTTTGAGACAGGCTCTCATTCTGTCACCTAGGCTGCAGTGCAGTGCAGTGACGTGACGTGATCATGCTCACTGCAGCCTCAACCTCCCAGGCTCAAGTGATTCTCCCACCTCAGCCTCAGCCTCCTGAGTAGCTGGGATTATAAGTGCATGCTACCACACCTAGCTAATTTTTAAATTTTTTTGTAGAGGCAGGGTCTCACTGTGTTGCCCAGGCTGGTCTCAAGCAATCCACCCCCTGCTTGAGCCTCCCAAAGTGTTGGAATTACAGGTGTGAGCCACTGCTTGCGGCCTAGAGACGTTTTGATTGTGACAACTGAGGAGGGGGATTGCTACTGACATCTAGTGGGTAGTGGCCAGGGATGCAGCTAAACATCCTTCAATGCACAAGGCCAACCCCCACAACAAATTATCCAGTCTCAAATGCGCAATAGTGCTGTACTGACACATCCTGCTCTATGGGAGCAGGGACTAAGTGCTTCTGGCTCACTGTTGTATTCCCAGTTCACCACCTAAAGCAAATGTCCCATATTGGGTACTTAATAAATACTTACTGAATGAAAGTTGAGGTAGAGGGGTTGAGGCCCAGGACCTAGCCTGCTTAACACCCAGAGAAGACACTACTACCCCCCTAGGCTGCTTTCCAAGGATGGTAGCTTTGTACTTTTCTTTTTAACATTTATTTTATTTTATTTTTTAAAAAATAGAGATGGAGTCTCGATATATTGCCCAGGCTGGTCATAAACTCCTGGCCTCAAGTGATCCTCCCACCTCAGCCTCCCAAAGTGCTAGGATTATAGGCATGAGCCATTGCACCCACCCAGCTTTGTACTTTTCAAAACTCTGTCCTGTCTGCCATTCCTTATGGTCTTTATGATGTTCCTGCAGTACTACAGAGCTGGGACCAGACAGAACCCAGTTTCCTGCATTGATGGCTGCAGAGCCAGCTTTGCTTTGGATGATGGTGGAGAGCTTATGCTCTCATCCTGGTGCAGCCCAGGTGAGAAAATCTCTCCCCATGGCTTAGACTGTGCTCCACACCTCTGTCTGTGCTTCTGTGTTGCTGCTTCATCATCTCTTGTGTGCAGTTGAAACTTCTGGGCTGAATGGAAACCCATGCTCAGCTCGAATGATGGCCAGTTATAGCTACACTAGCCACGGTGTTAGCATGATCCTATACTTCTACTATGGCACTAAGTGCAGGCCAGAGAAATTATTCCCAACTGTACTGTCAACTTGAGTTTCCTTATTAATAGCAAGTGTGTCACAAGAAATTTGTTAGTAGGCCGGGCGCAGTGGCTTACACCTGTAATCCCAGCACTTTGGGAGGCCGAGGCGGGCGGATCATGAGGTCAGGAGATCGAGACCATCCTGGCTAACACGGCGAAACCCCGTCTCTACTAAAAATACAAAAAATTAGCCAAGCATGGTGGCGGGCGCCTGTAGTCCCAGCTACTCAGGAGGCTGAGGCGGGAGAATGGCGTGAACCCGGGAGGCAGAGTTTGCAGTGAGCTGAGATCACGCCACTGCACTCCAGCCTGGGCGACAGAGCAAGACTCTGTCTCAAAAAAAGAAAAAAAAAAATACAAAAATGAGCTGGGCGTGGTGGCATGCACCTGTAGTCCCAGCTACTCAGGAGGCTGAGTCAGGAGAATCGCTTGAACCCGGGAGGCGGAGGTTGCAGTGAGCCGAGGTCATGCCACTGCACTCCAGCCTAGGCAACAGAGCGAGACTTCATTTCAGGAAAAAAAAAAAAGGAGAAATTTATTAGTAAGGAGCTGTTTTATACGATTTCCTTGTTTATAGCAATTAAATCAATTGAAGATTCTCTTGACAATAAAAGTCGACTCACTTGAGTAAGTGTGAGCAGCTCAGCACCACAGGAAAGACTTCCAGGCAGGGAGGTGGCAGTTAACAGCTGCAGCAGTTTGGTAAGGAGCACTGTCCAGGGGCCTGCTCTAGTTCTTGGAGATATAAAGATACCAGGCACAGCCTTGGCCTTCACAGGCCTTAGTCTAGTTTGCAAGACGTGGTCTGCACTTTTAAGAATAAACAGCAACATATGTTGCAGTACACACAGCAAATACTGCCGGAGCCTCAAAAAGGGCTCATCAAAGTTAGCTCTTCTTTGAGAAGAAGGTCTGGAGGGGTGCCTGGACCACAGATCACTTTTCTGGGACCCAAACATGGGAGACTCTTCTGAAAGCAAGAATGGCACACAGAGCTGCCTGTGCCCCAAAGCTCCTCCCTCAGATACTCAGGGTCAAGGTCAGCTGCAACATGGTCTGAAAAAGAAATCTGGCCCCTCGGCAAAGACCAACGTTGTTCACCAGTGTTCAGGACTTCAGTAAGGGTCAGATTATAGAGGATTTTGGATTCCAAGTTTAAAAAGATGAGAGTAGCCTGGGTGCGGTGGCTCACACCTGTAATCCCAGCATTTTGGAAGTCCGGGGAAGGCGGATCACGAGGTCAGGAGACCAAGACCATCCTGGCAACATGGTGAAACCCCATCTCTACCAGAAATACAAAAATTATCTGGGCGTGGTGGCGCGCACCTGTAGTCCCAGCTACTCAGAAGGCTGAGGCAGGAGAATCACTTGAACCAGGGAGTTGGATGCTGCAGTGAGCTGAGATCGCGCCACTGCATTCCAGCCTGGTGACAGAGCGAGACTCTGTCTCACAGAAAAAAAAGAAAAAGAAAAAAAGATAAGAGTACCCTACAGCAGGAGCAATTTGGAAGACCAGTAGTTCTCGTGCACTGAAGTAGGGGAGGACAGAGAGTATTTAGGGACTGGGAAGGCACTAGCATGGAAAATGAGGTGCCAGGGAGTACTTCAGGCTGGCCATGACAACCTCCAACCTCAGCTCTGTCTACATATCGAGGCTGTGGAGGCTCTGAGAACTTCAAACTGTGTGGGCTGAAGAGGAGGAGTAAGAGAACCAAGGCAAGCCCCAGTCAGCACAGCTAGGCATTATTCCTAAGCCCATGGATCTAACATTACCGCTTTCATGCTCAGATCCTCTGGGAAGGGTAGGCAGGGAGTGTGGGGCCTGCAAGCTGCTGGTGACCATTTTTCCAGCCAGGAAAAGGAATAAAACCAACATGCAGAGAAAGATGGAGATGAGTCGTGGTAGGGTCAGGGTACCTGAGGCCCATCTGCAGCTCAGCTTTTAGGTGACTCAGGGTGAGCAAATTAGGTGCCTGTTTTGGCCTGTGTGTACTAAATTTCAGTTGTATTTCTGTCATTAGAGAACAGAAACAGTCCAATGAATATATCAATGAAAATCTGCTCTCAGGGCCTGATGCAGTGGCTCACATCTGTAATCCCAGTGCTTTGGGAGGCCAATGAGGGAGGACAGCTTGAGCCCAGGAGATGGTGACCAGCCTGGCCAACACAGCAAGATCCTGTCTCTAAAAAAAAAAAATTAGGCTGGGCGTGGTGGCTCACGCCTGTAATCCCAGCACTTTGGGAGGCCGAGGTGGGTGGATCATGAGGTCAGGAGATGGAGACTCCTGGCTAACATAGGGGAACCCCATCTCTATTAAAAATACAAAAAATTAGCTGGGTGTGGTGGTGGGCGCCTGTAGTCCCAGCTACTTGGGAGGCTGAGGCAGGAGAATGGCGTGAACCCGGGAGGCGGAGCTTGCAGTGAGCGGCGATCACACCACTGCACTCCAGCCTGGGCAACAGAGCGAGACTCTGTCTCAAAAAAAAAAAAAAAAAAATTAAAAATTGGCTGGGTGTGGTAGCTCATGCCTGTAATCCCAGTACTTGGGAGGCCGAGGCAGGCAGATCACGAGGTCAGGAGTTTGAGACCAGCCTGATCAACATGGTGAAACTCCATCTCTACTAAAAATACAAAAATTAGCCTGGCGTGGTGGCACGTGTCTGTAGTCCCAGCTACTCAGGAGGCTGAGGCAGGAGAATCACTTGAACCCGGGAGGCGGAGGTTGCAGTGAGCCGAGATCCCGCCACTGCACTCCAGCCTGGGCGATGGAGGGAAACTCTGTCTCAGAAAAAAAAAAGAAAAAAGAAATTAGCCAGACATGATGGCATGTGCCTATAGTTCTAGCTACTTGGGAGGCTGAGGCAGCCACTGCACTCCAGCTTGGGCAACAGAGGGAGAACCTGTGTCTTAAAAAAAAAAAATTAAAAAAAAAAGCCTAATATGTTTCTCTGCCAGCAGGATTCATGTTTTCATGAGAACTTAATCAAAACTTAAGCCAAATGGTGAGGCTTTAAATGTGGAATTTTAGATATTACCTCATGAAGGATTATTATATATTTTTTGAGTGGTAGACAGTAAGCCTCCTTGGCAGCTTTAAAATTGACTATGGGCTAAGCAGTCCTGCTGATCCTAGAAGAGCTGAGACTGGTGTTGCTAGGCTTGTCCACCATTGCAGTAAATACAAATCTCTGCTATTGCTCTAATTGCATCAAAAATTTTCTTCCTTAGTGGGTATGAATGCATTCTCATGTTTTTTGGAATGAAGAAATCAATGCTTAAAAATCCTGGCTTCACCACCACTTGTTTACCTTGGACAAGCTGCTTGGCCTCTGCAAAACCTCAGTTTCTTCAATGTAAACTGATAATTTTACTTTTTTTTTTTTTTTCTGAGACAGAGTCTCACTCTGCCACCCAGGCTGGAGTGCAGTAACACAATCTTTGCGCATTGCAACCTCTGCCTCCCAAGTTCAAGCGATTCTCGAGCCTCAGCCTCCCAAGTAGCTGGGATACAGGCACATGCCACCACGCCCGGCTAATTTTTGTATTTTTAATAGAGATGGGGTTTCACCATGCTGGCCAGGCTGGTCTGGAACTCCTGACTTCAGGTGATCCGTCCAACTCGGCCTCCCGATGTGCTGGGATTACAGGCATGAGCCACCACACCCAGTCACAAATTTTACTTTTAAAGTTAAAATGATACTCTGTGAAAATGCTTGGTAAAAGGTGAGGTCAAGTTCTGTATAAATGAGAATCACTGGGCAGGCTCTGGGGGACCTGAATTTTTAGATGGCAGGACAAAGGCGGGGGCTTGAGGGTGTTAAGGAGGACACAGTTTAGAAAAAACTTCTGCCTCTATCTGAGCACTGATAATTTAGTTATTCAGTCTCACACAAGATCGTAAAGATATCAAAAGGTGTGTTTGTTCTTCAGTAGGTTTAATGGTGAGCATTGGAAGTTCTGGCCTCCTTAGAGAGTGGCCCTGGAGAAGGACTGGAAGTGGGAGGGTGGCCACAGAAAAAATTACAGAAACCACCTGGTGTGAATGGGACCAAGACCTCAGGTTTTCCATTCAGGGAGCTGCCCCCTTACCAGATTGATGCCATTCACTTCTATGTGCTGAAGGAGGACTCTGGCCACGTGCTCTGTGTCCCACTGCATGCCTGGGTCATCTGGGAAATCCCTACAAGAGAGAAGCACAACTTGAACACCTTTTCTAATCAGGCACAACCTTCTCCCTAAGCTCCAGTAGGTGCATGCCCAGTTTTATGATAGTTACATTGGGGGTAAGGGTCCCTGCCCTTAAGCTTCAGCAGATTTCAGTTAAGGTGAGATTTACAAACATGAAACAACTAGAAATTAATGCATAATTCCACACAACACACTTTTGGAGCTTTATGCTTGTTGCTGAGGGTAAGAAACAACATCAATGAGACAAGGCTCTGTCCACAAGTTGGGGAGACAAATGTGTTAAAAATGAACTTGAGCACAAGGCATGATGATATGCACTTTATGAGAATATTAGTAATAGTACTTTAATAAAAAGTACAAAGATATGTTACTTCATTAACCTCATGAACATCTTTTGACAGAGGTTTTTTTTGTTTTGTTTTGTTTTTTTCTTTTTGAGATGGAGTCTCCCTCTGTCACCCAGGCTGGAGTGCAATGGTGAGATCTCGGCTCACTACAACCTTTGCCTCCGGGGTTCCTGCCTCAGCCTCCTGAGTAGCTGGGATTACAGGCACCCACCACCACGCCCAGCTAATTTTTGTATTTTTAGTAGAGATGGGGTTTCGCCATGTTGGCCAGCCTGGTCTTGAACTCCTGACCTCAGGTGATTGGCCCAACCTTGGCCTCCCAAAGTGCTGGGATTACTGCTCTGTCGCCTAGGCTGGAGTACAGTGGCACAATCTCGGCTCACCGCAACCTCCACCTCCCGGGTTCAAGCAATTCTCCCACCTCAGTCTCCTGAGTAGCTGGGATTACAGGTACGTGCCACCACACCCAGCTAATTTTTGTATTTATTTATTTATGTATTTTTCCCGAGTCAGAGTCTCGCTCTGTCACCCAGGCTGGAATGTAATGGCATGATCTCAGCTCACTGTAACCTCCATCTCCTGGGTTCGAATGGTTCTCCTGCTCAGCCTCCCAAGTAGCTGGGATTACAGGCACCCGCCACCACACCCAGCTAATTTTTGTATTTTTAGTAGAGACAGGGTGTCACCAAGTTGGCCAGGCTGGTCTTGAACTCCTGACCTCAGGTGATCTGCCCACCTCAGCCTCCCAAAGTGCTGGGATTACAGGCGTGAGCCACTGCACCTGGCCTTTGACAGAGCCTTTACCGATGAAGTTAAGTAGCTTGTTTGCAAGGCTGTTATAGTTAGATTTTGAATGCAGGTTTTTGCCTGCAAAGCCAAAATGCTTTAGCACTAGGGAGCTGGCTACATCCTCCCTCCATCAGGACTGGGACTTGCTGCATGTCAGGTACAAAGGTCTTTACCAGAATAAACTTCAACTTATCTGTGTCTCCACCTGGCCACATCACAGGCCTATCTCCTTCTCCAACCTGCTGAAATCCTTCCTGTCTCTTTTCTGTGCTTTGATCTATGGTGTCACCTGATATGAGACTAAGGCCTCATCTTGGCCCCCTTTTTTGAAAATATTATTCATAATCTTATAAACTGATACCTATCTCTCTTTGGGTCAGGTCCTACAGCAACACCCATAATGCTACTGAGAGGACATGGGCTCTGCTCCCTACCAGGCAGGCTGTTATCACCTCCCTATGGACAAAGGTCATTAACTGGCCCCCTTTCGGACTTTGGGCAAAGGAGAGTCACTGGAGGTTTTTCAGCACAAAAACAACATGAGCCTCAGCAATAAATAATGTAATTGTTTCCTTTGCTTCAGCTGGTTCATCTGCCAACCCCTTATGGCAGTGGTCCCCAACCTTTCTGGCACCAGGGACCAGTTTCATGGAAGATAGTTTTTCCATGGACAGGGGTGGGGGGCATTAGATCCTCATAGGGGCGTGCAACCTAGATCCCTCGCACGCGGAGTTCAAAATAAGGTTTGCAGTCCTATGAGAATCTAATTCCACTGCTGATCTGACAGGAGGCAGAGCTCAGGCAGTAATGCTTGCTTGCCCGTCACTCACCTCCTGCTGTGCTGCCTGGTTCCTAACAGGCCACGGACCTGTACTGGTCTGCAGCCTGGGGGTTGGGAACCTCTGCTTTAGGGTGTTTTCTACAGAGGGCAGCTTTGTACTTTTCAAAGCCCTATCCTGTCGGCCACTCCACGTGGTTCTCATAGTGCTCCTGCAGTGAGCAGGACAGACAGCTCAGCAGGTGAGGGACAGGATCAGGAGAAAGGGATAAAGCGGGATCAGGACAAAGTTCAGTTTTGTTTCCTGGAAATGGAGCTGAATATAGTGTGTAAAACATAAGCCCCTGAGCTCACGCAGCTGAAGGAGAAATGGACAATGGGAACAGAGAAAATGTCTTGGAATGACAATAGCTACATACATACTCCTGGCTGAGAGGTTCACATAAATGTATTAAGGCATCATTTTGGAGAGGGAATACACCAGTAATATTGTATGGAACTTTAGCACACGAGAGAAAGGATAGGAGGATAGTAGGCTAAGCCTACTAATTCTCTGTTGTTCTGAGGTGCTAAGGTGCTGAAAGATAAACCTCAAAGAGGGGGAAGTTCATGGCTGCCTTCCATTTATCTTCAGAGAACTGGGATCTGCTCTTTTGAGGGGCGATGCAGGAAGAAGTGTTGCTCCATGCCTTTCTTTCGGTGGCTCCACCCAGTCATTGTGGGTGAGGCCAATCATTTAGGGAGGGACTTTGGACTGTAAATATCTGCTCTGTGATGTGACACATCTGATAAAGCATCATTACTTTTATGATCAAGTCCAAACTCCTCTTGGTCACACGTTCAAGTTTTCCCCAATCTATCTCCTATTTTGATTCACTTCCTTTCTCATTATTTGAAAGAGTCAATGAGATAACACAGGTCAGAAAGCATTTAAGAACTGTAAAAAGGGCCGGAACGGTGGCTCACGCCTGTAATCCCAGCACTTTGGGAGGCCGAGGCGGGCGGATCACGAGGTCAGGAGATTGAGACCATCCTGGCTAACACGGTGAAACCCCATCTCTACTAAAAATACAAAAAAAAAATTAGCCGGGCGTGGTGGCGGGCGCCTGTAGTCCCAGCTACTTGGGAGGCTGAGGCAGGAGAGTGGTGTGAACCTGGGAGGTGGAGCTTGCAGTCAGCCGAGACCGTGCCACTGCACTCCAGCCTGGGCAACAGAGCGAGACTTCAAGAACTGTAAAGAAATGTGTAAACATCAAAAGTGTGGCTGTTATTGCTGCATTAGCCTAATTTAAACCCTCCTTTAAAAAAAAAAGAAAGAACTCCCCAGTCTTTCTTTCTTTTTTCTTTTTTTTTTTTGAGATGGAGTCTCACTCTGTTGCCCAGGCTGGAGTGCAGTGGAGCAATCTCAGCTCACTGCAACCTCCGCCTCCCAGGTTCAAGGGATTCTCCTGCCTCAGCCTCCCCAGTAGCTGGGACTACAGACACCTGCCACCATGCTCAGCTAATTTTTGTATTTTTAGTAAAGACGGGGTTTCACCATATTGGCCAGGCTGGTCTCAAACTCCTGACCTTGTGATCCGCCCACCTCAGTCTCCCAAAGTGCTGGGATTACAGGTGTGAGCCACTGCACCTGGCCCCCAGTCCTTCTTTCTTGCAGTCCCTTGCAGAGCTCTTTGATGGCCACTTCTACAAGCGGTTTATGATTTCAAAGTGGGGTAGGCACCACAGGAGATGTGTAAGATGACTCATTGAGGTAAAGCAATGAATCACCAGGACTTCTATTTACCTGTTTTTCTGTTTACATTTATATTTTGTAGCTATTTTATAAGGCATCATATACCAACAGGGTTTAACATGTACACAGTTTGAATAAATAAGTACATAAATATGGAGGTGCAAGCTCAAATGTTGTTTCTTGCCATTAGGGGAGTGTGATAAAAATGTTTGGAGATCACTAGTCTAATCTACTCACTCTTCATTTTTCATTTTTTCTCCTGAATATTTTATTTTATTTATTTATTTTTGAGATGGTGTTTCGGTCTTGTTGCCTAGGCTGGAATGCAATGGCACCATCCTAGCTCACTGCAACCTCTGCCTCCCCGGTTCAAGTGATTCTCTTGCCTCAGCTTCCCGAGTAGCTGGGATTACAGGCATGTGCCACCATGCCCAGCTAATTTTGTATTTTTAGTAGAGACAGGGTTTCACCATATTGGCCAGGCTGGTCTCAAACTCCTGACCTCGTGATCCACCCACCTTGGCCTCCCAAAGTGCTGGGAGTACAGGCGTGAGCCACCACACCTGGCTGATAATTTATTTTTTTGAGACAGAGTCTTGCTCTGTCACCCAGGCTGGAATGCGGTGGTACAATCACAGCTCACTGGAGCCTTGACTTCCAGGCTCAAGTGATCCTCCCACCTCAGCCTCCCAAGTAGCTGAGATTACAGGTGTGAGCCACCAAGCCCAGCTAATAACTCAGTGATTTTTAGTACATGTATGGAATCTCTACATTTTATTTTACTAGTATTTTACATACATATATATATATACTTTTTTTTTTTTTTTTGAGACGGAGTCTTGCTCTGTCACCTAGGTTGGAGTGCAGTGGCATGATCTCAGCTCACTGCAACCTCCGCCACCTGGGTTCAAGCGATTCTCCTGCCTCAGCCTGTCAGTAATCGGGATTACAGGCGTGCGCCACCATGCCTGGCTAGTTTTTGTATTTTCAGTACAGACAGGGTTTCACCATGTTGGCCAGGCTGGTCTAGAACTCCTGACCTCAGATGATCCGCCCGCCTCAGCCTCCCAAAGTGCTGGGATTACAGGCTGCATATATTTAATTCTTGACTCTCCAACCTATCATAAGTCCCCCGATGGACGGATGTTACATGAGCCATTAATCAGTCAAGGTCTAACCAAGAAAATGGAGACCACCAGGTATTTCAGAAGGAATTTAATATAGAGACCTGTTTACCCACTGTATGGGAAGAGCTGAGAGGCCAAACAGGAAACAGTGAAACAACGCAGAGACTGGCCACAGCAGAAGGGCACCACCACCTCTAAGATAGGGGACAGCAGAGCCATGGAAGGGGAGCAGTGGTGGGAACTAGATGTCAGGAGAACTAGCTAGATGTCAGGGAAAACACCAACCTGCTGATGGACATGCCACTTAGGGTGGAGGATGGGGGAAATACCTGGTTCTTCCCTCTGCTACCTCCTAGTCATCCATCATTGCCATCTACTGGTCAAACCCCTCCAGAAGCCAATGGACATGGGAGCCTGGAAACTGTAGTTTCCATTGGAATAGAGCAAAGGCTTAAGATAGAGGCGATGTCTTACTCACAGCAGGTGTTCAATGGATACTTTCAATTGCTGCTCAGTCTTGGCCCTAAACCTTCAAAGGACAGCAGCAGTCTGGCCACCTGCCTCTCACTGTCTAAGAGTTTTCCAGCTTTATGGAAAAGCAATAACCTGCCAGGTGCTTGGTTATAGAGGGCAGCGGGGAGAACCGTACTGGGGGACATGGGGGCACCACAGGGCAAGCAGGATTCAAGGCTCAGGGAAGGGAGACATGGCAAGGGTTAATAGCCAGTTTCACCCCAGAAGCTCAGGGACAGAGTACCGTCCATGATTACAGTGGTCCAGTGTCACGAGCAGGCAATGTGATGTGGCAGAGAGAACATGGGGTAGGATGACACAGAACCCGAGTTCTAGCTCCCCTGCTTTCCATGTGACCTGGCAGGAGCTGCATCATCAGTAAAGATAAAATAATTCTGGGATGCACCTGATGACTGCCTGAGAGTCCTTCCAACTCTTAAGTCTAGGACTGTGTCATAAGCAAATGATTGATCTCACCCACTATCAGGGGGTGGAGCCACTAAAAGAAAGGCGTGGAGCAACACCTGTTCCTGTGAGCCTTTCTCCAAGTGAGCTTCCCTCACAGAGCAAAGACACTGCTATCAGGTATGACACAGATAACCTCCCAAAAGCCAATGAGAGACCAGATCTCTCATTGGACAAGGCCAAATTCTTTACTACACACCTTCCTTGTATTTAGAAACCTTCACTGAACTCCTCTACCAACTATAGCTTAGACTACCCCACTTCGTACCTGATTTGAATAGTATTCTATTATTTTCTGTTGTTTTGTGTGTCTCTTTAGCTAAACTTAAAATATAAGACTAGGCCTGTGCCTTATTCTTCTATTTCTTAGGTGGTACATGGTACAACTCAAGTCAATGAACAATTTTTTAAAATAAATAAACAATAAGTAATTGTGCTTCTACCCTATGCAAGGAAGTGTGTTAGGGGGTTTAACAAGCACTAGTTGCTTGACAGAAGTACTCTATATTTGGATGAACCAAAGGGAATTATACCAGCCACTGGGGGCTGATGCATGTAAGCAAGATGTTTGAAAGATTGCAATTTTTTTTTCTTTTTTGAGACGGAGTCTCCTTCTGTCACCCAGGCTGGAGTGCAGTGGTGCGATCTCGGCTCACTGCAACCTCCGCCTCCTGGCTTCACGCCATTCTCCTGCCTCAGCCACCCGAGTAGCTGGGACTACAGGCGCCCGCCACCACACCCGGCTAAGTTTGTTTTTGGATTTTTAGTAGAGACGGGGTTTCACCGTGTTAGCCAGGATGGACTGGATCTCCTGACCTCGTGATCCACCCACCTTGGCCTTCCAAAGTGCTGGGATTACAGGCGTGAGCCACTGCGCCAGGCCGAAAGATTGCAATTTTATAAAACAGATTATGGGTTAAAAAGTGTATACATTGGGCAAAAGGGCAAAATATCCTAATGGGGCCCCTTCCCCTCAATATAGGAAAATATAAAATTTGATGCTGGGAAATTTCAAACAGATAAATGTAGAAAAAACTCCTTTTAGACTAACTATCTGAGTTGTTCTTTGCCTAAAGTTCAACCCTAATCAGCTCAAGGCCTGGGTCCAAGCATAGTTTCTGTCTTCTCTAATATAGTAACAATTCTACCCTAGATAAACATGTAAGTCAGTTTTTGGATGCTTCCTTAAGAGACAGTTGGTGAATGATAGTTGCCCCAGTTTTCTTTGTCTAGTCCCTCTTGCTGATAACTAGAACAGGAGAAGCCCTCTTGGTCTGTGAAGTAATCTTAGGTATGAAGCCAGACAGAGTAGAGTAATGAAAAAGGAGGAAACCAAGCTGCAAGGACTCTGGGGAGTGAGCCATCACACGGTCCCAGATAGCATCCCTCCTCCTACCACAGTTATTGTGGGTCATCTGCTATTTGCAGCAAAGCCAAATTCTCATTTATAGATGCCATAATTTTTTAAAGCCTCCCTATCATCAATTATTTAGGTTGTTTCCAATTTTTTAGTATTGTAAAAAGGTTGTAATGAGCATCCTTATCCATAACTCTGTATGCCTCTCTCAATATTTCTTTGTGATAAAATCATAAATGTAACTTCTGAGTCAATGGTGAAATGAAAAGCACATGCGTGGATCTCTCTTGTAAGAACTCTGCTATGAAGAGTAGATGGAAAGTGTGTTAACTTGCAAGGCATACAGCATCAAAGGAGTGTTTTTTTTTTTTTAAAGAGAAAGATTTGTACATTTTATAGGCTGAAACGAAAAACTAATAAGTACAATTTATATTAAGAGCTCCATTCCAGCCGGGCACATTGGTGCTGGCACTTTAGGAGGCTGAGGCGGGTGGATCACCTGACATCAGGAAATCGAGACCAGCCTGGCCAACACGGTGAAGCACATCTCTACTAAAAATCAAAAAATTAGCTGGGTGTGGTGGTGCGTGCCTGTAATCCCAGCTACTCAGGAGGCTGAGGCAGGAAGATCGCTTGAACCTGGGAGATGGAGGTTGCAGTGAGCCGAGATCATGTCACTGTACTCCAGCCTGGGTGACAGAGCAAGGCTCCATCTCAAAAAAAAAAAAAAAAAAAAGAGCTCCATTACTTTGAAAAATCTAAGGTGTTTTAATATTATCTACTTTTTAATCCTTTTTTAATTTTATAGCCATGGGGTCTTGCTATGTTGCCCAGGCTAGTCTTAAACTCCTGGTATCAAGTGATCCTCCTGCCTCAGCCCTATTTTCTTTTTTCTTTTTTTTTTGAGATTGAGTCTCACTCTCTTGCCCAGGCTGGAGTACAGTGGCACAATCTCAGCTCACTGCAACCTCCGCCTCCCAGATTCAAGTGATTCTTCTGCTTCAGCCTCCCGAGTAGCTGGGATTACAGGCACCCGCCATCATGCCTGGCTAATTTTTGTACTTTCGTAGAGAAGGGGTTTCACCATGTTGGCCAGGCTGGTCTCGAACTCCTGACCTCAGGTGACCCGCCCTCCTCTGCCTCCCAAAGTGCTGGGATTACAGGTGTGAGCCACTGCGCCCAGCCAAGTCCTATTTTCTTATCCTTGTAAGCTCCCTGAAAAATCCATATAATTTCTTTCTTTCTTTTTTTTTTTTTTTTTTGAGCCAGAGTCTCGCTCTGTTGCCCAGGCTATAGTGCAGTGGCACAATCTCAGCTCACTGCAAACTTCATCTCCTGAGTTCAAGCGATTCTCCTACTTCAGCCTCCTGAGTAGCTGGGACTACAGGTGCCCGCCACCACGCTCGACTAATTTTTGTATTTTTAATGAAAATGGGGTTTCACCATGTTGGCCAGGCTGTTCTCAAACTCCCGACCTCAAGTGATCCGCCCGCCTCAGCCTCCAAAGTGCTGGGATTACAGGCGCGAGCCACCACGCCCAGCCCCATATAATTTACTTCTTTTCACAGTTGGAAAGAACTGGTTAAAAGAGATTTACTTAGTACACATGGACTTATACAAGCACTAATGGGGCTGAGAATATAAAAGAATGCACATATGGTAAAGACCACAATTTTATCTTGTTAACTGACTCTCCTTGGAAATTACTTGTATGTAATTCAAAATCAATTTGAAAGCAGAAGTCAAGCCTCAAATAGTAGTCAAGCTTTACACTTAAAGAATATCTGGGGGCCACGTGTGGTGGCTCACACCTGTAATCTCAGCACTCTGGGAGGCCAAAGTGGGAGGATCACTTGAGCACAGGAGTTCAAGACCAGCCTGGGCAACATAGTGAGACCCTGTCTCAACAAATTAAAAAAAAAATTAGCTGAGAGTGGTGGCATGTGTGTGGTCCCAGCTACTTGGGAGGCTGAGGCAGGAGGATTGCCAGAGCCCCAGAGGTTAAGGCTCCAGTGAGCTGTGATCGCACCACTGTACTGCAACCTGGGTGAGAAACAGCAACAACAACAACAACAAAAAAGTCTGGGCTGGGCGCAGTAGCTCATGCCTGTAATCCTAGGACTTTGGGAGGCCAAGGAGGGAGAATTGCTTGGGCCAGGGCTTCAAGACCATTCTGAGCTACATCTCTACAAAAAATAAATTTAAAAAATTAGCCAGGTCAGTGGCATGCACCTGTAGTCCTAACTACTTGGGAGGCTGAGGCATAAGGATCACTTGAGCCTGGGAGATCAAGACTGCAGTGAACCATAACCACACCACTGCACCTGCAGCCTGGGCAGCAGAATGAGACCCTGTCTCAAAAGAGAGAGAAGGGAAGAGGAGTGGAGGAAGGGGAGATGAGGGGAGGGGAGGGGACAGATCACTCTTGTAATCCCAGGAGGGTGGATCACTTGAGGTCAAGAGCTCGAGACCAGCCTGGCCAACATGTGGAAACCCCATTTCTAATAAAAATACAATAATTAGCCGGGTGTGGTGGCGCATGCCTGTAGTCCCAGCTACTCGGGAGGCTGAGGCAGGAGAATCCCTTGAACCCAGGAGGCGGAGGTTGCAGTGAGCAACTGCATTCCAGCCTGGGCAACAGAGCAAGTCTCCGTCTCAAAAAAAAAAAATTAAAAAAAAGAGAAAAAAAAGAAGGCCGGGTGCTGTAGCTCACACCTGTAATCCCAGCACTTTGGGAGGCCAAGGTGGGCGGATCACCTGAGGTTGAGAGTTTGAGACCAGCCTGACCAACATGGAGAAACCCCATCTCTACTAAAAACACAAAATTAGCCGGGCTTAGTGGTGGGCGCCTGTAATCCCAGCTACTTGGGAGGGTGAGGCAGGAGAATCGCTTTAACCCAGGAGGTGGAGGTTGCAGTGAGCCAAGATCGTGCCACTGCACTCCAGCCTGGACAACAAGAGCGAAACTCTGTCTTTAAAAAAAGAAAAGAAAAGTCTGGCATTGCCCTGCCTATGTGACATAGGCATGAACCAGGCAATGGATTTGCTCCAGCAAAAGACAGGTATTCTGGCGCAATTCCCTTGCTACTTATGACTTTTCAAATCCAGACCTTTGCAGCTCTACAGGGAATGGTCATAAAGTTACTGAGCTTAGAGTTCCTAGAAACTTCCTTTCATTTTAAGCAAGGTCCTTTGTGACTTTTACTGCAATTTTAATCAAAGAGTATGGAAATTTCTCGGATGCTGATGTGCGTGGGTAAGTTTGCAAAGATGTAAAGCTGAGTTAAGTCTGCCTAAAACAGATGGATATGGAGGACTGAAGCCAAGTTTCCAGCCAGGTTTTATCCAAGTAAAGGAGAGATGACAAATCTGAAGAATGGAGTTGGATGAGATAGCATCATATACTGCTGGTGCAGGACGAAGATAACTAGAGATTGCATCAGGCAGTTGCTGAATCCTCCTTTGTTGACATACTGCTCTCCTTTCAGAATTCTAGTCCATAGGGTTTATCTCACCTGGCCCTCTCAGCTCAGAAATGATAAAAGGCAAGCTGTGAAATATCTGGTAAGGTTGTACCTTGCACCTAAACCTTCGAATACAGAGACCTGTGGTCTTTGCACTCCATCACTTTACATCTCAAATCAGAATTCCAGTCCATACAGTTTATCTCACCTGACCTTCTCAGCTCAAAAATTATAAAAGACAAGCTCTGAAATATCCGGTAAGGTTGTACCTTGCACCTAGACCTTTGAATACAGAGACCTGTGGTCTTTGCACTCCATCACTTTACATCTCAAATCAGTCAGGTGGTGTTTCCTGATAAGAAGCCAGCAAAAGAGAACTGAGAATAAAAGGCAAAACTTTCAAGATGGTTCACAGGGGAAATCTAGGACTACTTAAAACATTAAAGAGACCTATTAAAGAATTTTTAGCTAGGTGTGGTGGCTCACGCCTGTAATCCCAGCACTTTGGGAGGCTGAGGTGGGCGGATCACCTGAGGTCAGGAGTTTGAGGCCAGCCTGACCAACATGGAGAAACCCTGTGTCTACTAAAACTACAAAATTAGCCGGGCACAGTGGTGCGTGCCTGTAATCCCAGCTACTCAGGAGGCTGAGGCAGGAGGATTGCTTGAACCTAGGAGGCAGAGGTTGCGGTGAGCCAAGATCGCGCCATTGCACTCCAGCCTGGGCAACAAGAGCGAAACTCCGGTTTCAAAAAAAAAGAAAAAGAAAAAAAAGAAAAGAAAAAAAGAATAATAGTAATAGGCTGGACGCAGTGGCTCACGCCTGTAATCCCAGCACTTTGGGAGGCCAAGGCGGGTGGATCACGAGGTCAGGAGTTCAAGACCAGTCTGGCCAACACGGAGAAACCCCATCTCTACTAAAAATACAAAAATTAGCTGGGCGTGGTGGCAGGCACCTGTAATCCCAGCTACTCGGGAGGCTGAGGCAGGAGAATAGCCTCAACCTGGGAGGTGGGGGCTGCAGTGAGCCGAGACTGAGCCACTGTACTCCAACCTGGGCAACAAGAGTGAGACTTCGTCTCGAAAGAAAGAAAGAGAAAGAAAGGAAGGAAGGAAGGAAGGAAAGAAAACAGGTAATTTAGAAAAGAAGAAATGCAAACGGCCAACATATATTCCTTCTGCTTCTCAGAAAGAATCAAATAAATGCAAAATTAAAGCAAGATGTCTGTGTTGGAGAAAGACACAGAGAAAGGGGCACTGTTATGTACTGCTGTTATGAGTTTAAATTGCTACATCTCAAGAAGAAGGTAACTTGCCTATATGTGAATATCTGTGCCCTTTGACCCTGTGTTTCTAGAAATCTAACCTAAGGAAATAATTAGAGAAGCCTAAAGGCCAACGTCAGCTCAGGCAGAGAGATATCACTTTCACCGCAATTGGAGTGGAAAGAGGTCGGCAGTTCTGTTGCTCTGCACCAGGGAGCAATTTCTCTAACTTCCTGAATTGTGGCTTATGAAATATGCTAAAGATAACACAAGAGTTTTTTTGGGCATGTTCAGAGTAAGAGCAAAGAAAGCACAGATACACCCACGGTAAGGAATGTCAACGTATAACAGGACAAAAAAACCCTAGTCACTAAACTTTAATTTTGCTTCTGACTTCTCAGTCAAAAAGAATGAGACTTAGACGAAAGAGGAACAGAAATATATTTAGAGGAATTGAATTTTGAAAACAAAAATAAGTCTGTGAGAGAACTTCTTAAAGGGCTCTGAATGTATTCGAGTCTCAGCTCCCCTAGGAAGAAGGCTTAGTGTGTACTTTATTGGGGACTGTGACCCCAGGAGCAGAAGCCACTGACAGATGGAGAAGGCAGGGAAGCAGGGATGCTCTACTGATGTGGCCCTACTTATGGGCACTGGCTGTGTGTTCCCACAGGACTGTCTGAAAGTTGTAAGAAAATCATCTTACAACTGTCCATCTTCCCAGGAAGATAAAGAAGGAAGTATTTATCTCCATAGGCTGTTAGCTCTCTAATCTTTCAGAGTTGAGCCCGCTTGGGGACCCCCGGGCAATCGCAAGCCCTGGGGCAGACAGCAGGAGGAGCAGTGTGGGCCTGAGGCGAGAGGCTGTGAGCTGGAACCAGCCTGCGGCTTCTCGGTGCCTGCGCAGCCATGGCTGGAGAAAGGCATCTGGAGGGGTCCCCAGGGACCCACACCACCAGAGCGGGGCTCCGAGAGAATGAAATCATTGTACATTTAAGTGATCTGGACTAAGCACACACTATGTGCCAAACAGAGGGCTGAGTTTTAGGGATATAAACATGAATACAAGTCATGGTCCCTTCCCTTAGGAAGCTTAGGGCCAATGAGGCAGAGGTTCGGACTGCTGCAGGATGAGCAGTTTGCTGCGGGAAGGAGAGATGGGCAGGGGAAGAGGTGAGGAATCCAGGCAGGTTCGGGGTACCATCAGTCAGTGGCTATTGAAGCACATGAGGCACCTCATTAACATGATGGCATTGCGCGTCTGGCTCTGAGGAGAGACTACTATTTTGGAAGCTAAGAACACAACAGAAGAAGCCAACTCTTGCCAGTCTTTTAAGTGTGACTCGTAGAAGCCCGACGACTCCTTCCCTGGGGTGTATTTAGCAAACACAGTGTTAATACCTCTGGAAAAGGCCCCAAACTCGAAGTCCCGCCCTAGACCTTAATGTTCAGGAAACAAGCCAGGCTAAAAGCGTTCATTAAAATAACGTTGTGGTTTTTTCCCCCACTGGCTGAATATCCTCAAACAGTGACCTTTCCTACACATTCTAATGAGTCACACTGGCCGGCACATTTTAGTCGGGAGAGTCATGGAAACCCTTTGTGAAAATCTGTGGGGTTGTGGGTCCGTTCAGTCACCAGGTGCTGGTGAGGGAAGCCCCCCTTCTTTCCTCTCCCCAGCTAAGCAAGCCCAGGGGCCCAGGTCTTTCTCCCCCAGACCCAGCCCTGCTCAGAGCAGGAGACTTCGCAGCCTCCGCTGCTGGAACTCAAGCAGGGTTGGGTAACAGCTTATCTCTGAAAACCGAGTCCCACTTTTGCACACTGCACTCTGAACTTTAATACAGACGGAGGCGGCTCACACGCCCTTATTTGGTCTTGTGGCTTGTACAGCGCAAGCCGGAAGGTTCAGCCACCCCTCCACCCACCTCTGGCCCATCTCTAAACTCGATCATTTCCTTTGTCATCCAAAGCGAGCAAAGGTCAGTAGAGTTCAGAGCTAACCTTAAGGCTAGCCAAGGACGTGGAAGCCTAACCTGGGACTGCCAATATCGCCCCCCAAGGGCCACTGTGGGAGGCAGCAACTGTCTCCTGGTCTGAGGGCCTGGCACTAGCGTCGCTGCTCCAAATACAGGAGTGTGAAGAAATGAAGTCTAAGCTGCAGGGAGGTTGCAGCAGGGTCCAACAACTTCTGGGGGGTGTCTCTGCACCGCCAAGGACTAACCTAAGCCATACGCAGAGAAAAGAAATAGGGGAAAAGATAAGTAAGAGAAGGAAAAGGCGATCTGAGAAAAAGAAAAAGGACTGAAAAAAGAGGTATATAAAGATCAGTGCACTTTTATTAAGTATCTGCTGTGATAAGGACCTCATTTCTAAGCAGCTTAGGAGCCCAGACAGACCAAATGCCCTAAGAGAGCCTTTTCCACATACGGCTTGAAGCCCCCAAATCTAACCATAAAATGGATTTTTTTTTTTTTGGAGACAGAGCCTCACTCTGTCGCCCAGGCTGGAGAGCAGTGGCGCAACCTCTGCCGCCCGGGTTCAGGTGATTCTCCTGCTTCAGCATCCCCAGTAGCTGGGATTACAGGCACCTGCCACCGCGCCTGGCTAATTTTTGTAGTTTTAGTAGAAATGGGGTTTCACCATCTTGGCCAGGCTGGTCTTGAACTCCTGACCTCGTGATCCACCTGCCTTGGCCTCCCAAAGTGCTGGGATTACAGGCTTGAGCCACCGCGCCCGGCCTGGATTTTTCCTTTCTCATAGGATATAAAAAGGATTAGCAAGGCATGAGTGCTAGGTATTACACTGAAATCAGTTACCTGTGTTCTCCTTCCCAGAAAGATGCATTTCATATTATTGCAACAAATAAAGTACATAAAGCTTGCAAAGTCCTTGTGAGAAATCTTTCTTCAAAAATTGCCAATTTGGCCAGGTGTGGTGTCTCACCCCTGTAATCTCAGCCTTTTGGGAGGCTGAGGTGGTGGGAGGGCTGCTTGAGGCCAGGAGTTTAAGACCAGCTGGGCAACATTAGTAAGATCCTGTCTCTACAGATATATTCTTTAATTGCCAATTTGCTATCTAATGTTGTAACCACCCAGTGGGTTCACCTTGCCTGCTGCCTAGACAGAGTCGATTTATCAATACACGGGAATTGCAATAGAGAAAGAGTAATTAATTCATGCAGAGCCGGCTGTAATTAATTCATGCAGAGCCAGCTGTAATGGAGACCGGAGTATTATTATTACTCAAATCAGTCTCCCGTAGCATTCTGGAATCAGAGTTTTTAAGGACAACTTGGTAGGTTGGGGGAAGCCAGTTAGTGAGGAGTGCTGATTGGTTAAGTAGGAGATGAAATCATAGGGAATTGAAGCTGTCCTCGTGTGCTAAGTCAGTTCCTGGGTGGGGGCCACAAGATCAGATGAGCCAGTTAATTGATCTGGGTGGTGTCAGCTGATCCATCAAGTGCAGGCCTGCAAAATATCTCAAGCACTGATCTTAGGAGCAGTTTAGGGAGGGTCAGAATCTTGTAGCCCCCAGCTGCATGACTCCTAAAATATAATGTTTAATTTTGTGCCTAATTCGTTAGTCCTACAAAGGCAGTCTAGTCCCCAGGCAAGAAGGAGATTTGTTTTGAGAAGGGGCTGCTATCATCTTTGTTTTAAACTATGAACTGGCTGGGTGCGGTGGCTCACATCTGTAATCCCAGCACTTTGGGAGGTGGAGGAGAATGGATTTCCCGGCCTTGAACCTGTTTATAAAAGCAACTTTCGGGCTAGGCGCAGTGGCTGATGCCTGTAATCCCAGCACTTTGGGAGGCCAAGGCGGGTAGATCACCTGAGGTCAGGAGTTCAAGACCAGCCTGGCCAACATGGTGAGACTACGTCTCTACTAAAAATGCAAAAAATTACCTGGGTGTGGTGGCGGGCGCCTGTAATCCCGGCTACTCAGGAGGCTGAGGCAGGAGAATCGCTTGAACCTGGGAAGCGGAGGTTGCAGTGAGCCGAGATCGCACCGTTGCACTCCAACCTGGGCAACAAGAGTGAAACTCCGTCTCAAAACAAAAAAAAAGAAAGAAAAGCAGCTTTCATGAGCAATATCCTGGTGGCCACCCAAGTTCATGATGAGGCAGATGCGGGATGTATTTCCCTCTCTATGAGGCAATGCTGACAGACCAGGAAGGGAACTATGAGATAAGGCTTTAAGCTTGATCGATGGATTCTGATTGAAGTTAAGTGGGTTCTTACTCATATTCAACAGCATTAATAGTAATTGCTAACTCCTTAATAATTCAATAAGAGCTTTTGTATAATCGGTGATTTAAAAAGTTTTACAAAATCTTCACACTATTCAATTGTTTAATATAGATTAACATCTCTCTCTTATTTTTTTTAAGAGACAGGGTCTCAGTCTGTTGCTTAGGCTGACCTTGAACTCCAGGTCTCAGATGATCCTCCCACCTCACCCTCCCAAAGTGCTCAGATTACAGGTGTGAGCCACGGCACCTGGCCAGATTAACACCTCTTCTAAGAGCAGTGAGTCTTGAATGAGCATGGCTCCTCAGAAATATCTTTTTTTTTTTGAAATAGGGTCTTGCTCTGTCATCCAGGCTGGAGTGCAGTGGTGCAAACACAGCTCACTGCAGCCTCAACCTCCTAGGATCAGGCAATCCTCCTTCCTCAGCCTCTTGAGTAGCTGGGACTACAGGCATGCACAACCACGGCCAGCTAATTAAAACAATTGTTTTGGCCAGGCACAGTGGCTCACGCCTGTAATCCCAGCACTTTGGGAGGCTGAGACTGGCAGATCACCTGAGGTCAGAAGTTAGACACCATCCTGGCCAACATGGTGAAATCCCACCTCTACTAAAAATACAAAAATTAGCTGGGCATGGTGATGTGTGACTGTAATCCCAGCTACTCGGGAGGCTGAGGCAGGAGAATCGCTTAAACCCAGGAGGCAGAAGTTGCAGTGAGCCAAGATCATGCCATTGCACTCCAACCTGGGCAACAGAGTGAGAATCTGTCTAAAAAAAAAAAAAAATTCTTTTTTGGTAGACATGGGGTCTCGCCATGTTGCCCAGGCTGGTCTTGTACTCCTGGGCTCAAGTGATGCTCCCGCTTCAGCTTCCCAAAGTGCTGGGATTGAGCCACTGCACCTGGCCAGAGATATCTTTTGAAGTAGACATTGCTTACTATTACTGGCTGCTGGACCCATAATAGGGGCTGAGTCCTATGACCAGCCTGGACATCTTTCCCAGCTTCTTGAGAGGTGCCAACATCACATCAGGATATATGTATGAGCTGCATTCTGCACTGACTCTTTCACCAACTTAATGAGCACTCTGGATTCCTTGAGATCATTCTTAAAAAGAGTTTGAGGAGGATACCTTCCTTCCACATGACTAATGCTGATTCATTAACCAGAGAATGCAGGAGTTAGAAGGGACTTTAGGAACCATCTAAGTAGTCCTGTTAGCCTCAGAAAGAGTAATTCTAGGGATATTTTGTGAAATCAACACTGACTATGTTTGGGAGGTAAAATGATTCCTTTGTCAAGGTGTTTGGGTATGGGTGTTTAGGGTATGTAAAATTAGATATTTTACATAATAGTAGTAACTAGACTGGTGAAAAAAAAACAGACCAATTATTTACCTCTAATTCAGCATTCCATTGTGCTATCTCTCTCCTATAACTTAGGCTTTTCTAAGTTGTAAAGAACAAGGATATGGAGTCTTTCTACCTCCCTCGTGCATGTTCACTCTGAGATGCTGGCTATGGTGGGCAAGAAGGAGGATAAGCCAAGGGATGCCCAGCCATTCCTCTCACACCCAGAAAAAGGGAGGGCTTTCAGGGGACTGTGGGCAGGCAAAGCTGAAGGAAATTTGGGATATGTGCTAATTCCCAGGAAGACCCTGTCTGGTGATGCTCAGATAGCTTCTGTAGGGTGAATTATTCTCGAAAGGCAGTGGTCTCCAGATCAGGGCAGTCCACCACTATGGTGAGTTACAGTCCTGATCTGCTGATCAACACCCTCTTAGCAGTGCCCCCATGGACAGCTGTCGCCCCCCTTCCATTGTCTGGGGGCAATAGCAGAATGTCTGAGGATGGGTCTTACAGGTTGCATTGCTCTTGCTCCCCTTTGGCTTGCCTGCTTCATGTCAGATGGGAGCTGTACCAGTGGGCACCCCACCTGTGTACCAGAGCTCCTGCTTCTGCAGGAGACTGAGGCCAGTATTTCCTCCTTGTCATGGAAGATTCTATCACAGGTCCCCTTCTTCTTTCTCCTTTAGCCAGTCTCATAAAAATTTGCCAATATCAGTATCCAATTCCTTCTAAAATTAATATTTCTTAGATGTAGGCAAGGAACTAAGCATTAAATATTGCAGCAGAAAATATACACGCCTACCAGGCTAGGGATTTATAGGGAAAATATACAAGAGAGATCCAAATCACTTCAAAATTATTTCCAAGTGGGTTGATGCTATTTGATGTGGTTACTTAAGAATGTAGACAAAAGATACACTTGCAGTGCTGGCCAGAAGATAGCCTTAGTTATTATGAATGTTGCATCTGGCTTTGCAAAGAGCAAATGCCTAGACACATTCTCAGGGATGGGATGGGATTTGTTAAACAATCTCTTGCATCCAGTCTCTGAAACATAAAAGCCGTTGATATTCTTTTAGAGCAGGTAAAAAATGCTTGGACTTTTCTTAGAAAAGGGAGAACATTCCTAGAATTAGCATCTAAAACATGTCAAAATTTAGCTTGCAAAAATGAGTTCAAAATGAACTACTGTTCTACAGCAATGTTTTCCAATTGAGGTCCACAAATCCCTGAGAGTCTGTGGCTAAATTCTCAGGGGTCCATGCATTCCTAGAAAAATTTTTTACTTAAATAATAATCTGAAACATTTCATGATTATTTCCTTGAAAACTTCAAATGAATGTATGTTCATGTGATTTTAGTGCTTATATTTATACATGTGAAAGCACAAGAGTCTTCTCAAAGTAAGTGAGATTTTTTTTCCTTTTAAAAACACCTAGTGAGCCAGGCATGGTGGCTCATGCCTGTAATCCCAGCACCTTGGGAGGCCAAGGTGGGTGGATCACAAGGTCAGGAGTTCAAGACCAGCCTGGCCAAGATAGTGAAACCCCATCTCTACTAAAACTACAAAAATTAGCCAGGCGTAGTGGCAGGCATCTGTAATCCCAGCTACTCAGGAGGCTGAGGCAGAGAATTGGTTGAACCCGGGAGATAGAGGTTGCAGTGAGCCAAGATCGTGCCACTGCACTCCAGCCTGGGTGACAGAGCGAGACTCTATCTCAAACAAAACAAAACAAAACAAAAAAAACACTGAGTGAACCCTAATGCCTAATGTAAATTATGGATTCCAGGTGATAACTATGTGTCAATCAATGTGGGCTAATCAAGTGTAACAAATGTACCATTTGGGTTGGGGATGCTGATAACCAGAGAGGCTGTGCATGCGTGGGGCAAGGGCTATAACTTCTGCTCAATTTTGCTGTGAACTTAAAACTGCTCTAAAAAATAAAGTCTGTTAGAAATAAAAAAAAGTTATGCAAAAAATGACCCAATACTGTATGTAAGCTAAACATGAACAGCAAGTTAAATTAGAAGAAAAGAAAGATCCACCCATCACTCAAAGTTAACTAATTCTGCTCCAAAGTATTGGGGGCTGAAAACCAGCTGGCATTCTCCAGGCAATCAAGGCTAATCTATTTCCATCAACCCTCTTTCTCCAGTCTTATAGGACCCTTAGCCTCTCTCAAGTACAGTCAGTATGGACCCATGCAGGCACCATTTGGTGGGACCTCTGCCCCCAGGAGCAGATAAGGCCTAGAATTACCAATGTGAAAACATATTTTAGACCCAGTATCCAATGGACCAGGGTGAACCTCAAGCATCTGTGTGTACATCAAGCTCTAGGCTCTTCCTCAGTGATGCATATGTTTTTCCATGTCCATGTGCCTGGGCTTCTGCCCTGATGTAGTTGTCTGTTCCTCTACTGGTAATAAACCCAGCCCAGTTAGTCAAGACCATAAGAGGGTCTGGCAAGATGACATTTCCAAGCCTAGTGACTTGAACCAGTTTTCTCTCCTAGATGCTGGCTATAGTCATCTAGCTCCAAACAAGGTCAACCCAGAATCACAGCAAGGCCCCCCTGCCTGACTCTGACCATCTTGTTAGCTAGAAACACTTGCTGCAATGGCTTACCCAATAGATTGGGCCTCCTTGGAAATAGATACTAGTCCACTTCAAGCCTGTATTCACCCCATTCCCAGGCTACTATAATCTGATGACTGACTCACTGGCGTGTGCTGTTGAGGTCCCTGTGCCTCTGATAGACACATCAGTCTGAGATATGACAATCTGGAGCAAGAGAAGGACAATGGGGACAGAGTTTAGGTACAATAGGAAGAATTTAATAAAACTTCTATAGAAAATCTTCTCTTGGGAAGTATAATAAAATAAACAAATGTAAATGAAAATTTAAAAGTTAGAAATATGCATAAATCTGTTCAAGGATAATGCTGAGCCTAAGACCATCCTAAGTGGGTCTCATTGGCCTTGCAGGCAAAATATCTCTTTATTATATGCATTCATTTAGAAGTCACAGTCCTTTGATGCCAACAAGTCTAATCTTATGCCTTACAGTAAATGAACTGGCATCTAAAATATGTCAAAAATTAGGTTGTAGAAATGAATTTAAAGTGACCGGCTGCTCTGCCTATGGAGTTGCCATTCTTTTGTTTCCTTTACTTAATAAACTTGCTTTCACTTTACTCTTTGGATTTGCCTTGAATTCTTTCTTGGGCAAGATCCAAGAACTCCCTCTTGGGGTCTGGATTGGGACTCCTTCCCGGTAACATCTTCCAGGTGAACCCTGAAGGGACAATACTGAGGAAACTCTGGCCCAAAGGAAATAGACTGCAGCACCAATTGGCCAACTTTGGCTGTACCTGCTTATGATGCCCTAGAAACTGTGTGCTTTCCTGGGCCTGTTCCTCCAAGCGCTCTACCCTGAAACCCATAATCCATTTAAGAAACTGGCAAATGAAAAATCTTAACAACTACTGAATATTATTCTGCCTGTCTGTGTATTTATATGGGTTGTGTGTGTGATATGAAAGCATTTTGATTAACTGGTTTAAAAATAATAGGTGCTTAAATCAAATATTGTCAGAAAAGTAAAAAGTATAAATGCCTTTTAGTTCATGAGACTTAAGTAAATCAGTTTTACATGCAAGGAAAGTGAAATGTGTTTTTGGTAAAAGATTATAAAAAGGCATGTGAATGTGGATTTTTTTTTTTTGCCTAGATTTAAGGGTTAAAGGATTGTTTTAGGTTAGATAGGAAAAAGTTGAAGTTTGAACAAGTTGTGGAAGGTTTGTGAAAAATTAATCTTGTAAAAGAAATTCTGTGTGTGAACATATTAGCTAAAATTAAAGGGGTATTATTCAGTTTATCCATAAATTGAAGACTGGAATAAAAGCACAACAGAGTTTTCTTAGAACACTAATCTGCTCTTTAACAAAAATTGTAAAGGGTTTTAAGAGGTTTATAAGAACCTTACCTTATGGTCAGACATTAAAATTGGATAGATTTATCTATAAAGTTTTATTAAGAATCGGGTTTGATCCTGGGCACAGTGGCTCATGCTTGTAATCCCAGCACTTTGGGAGGCCAAGGCAGGTGGATCACCTGAGTTCAGGAGTTTGAGACCCATCCTCACTGGCATGTGCTGTTGAGGTCCCTGTGCCTGGCCAACATGGCGAAACCCTGTTTCTACTAAAAATACAAAAATTAGCCAGGCGTGGTGGCTCACACTTGTAATCCCAGTTACTCGGTAGACTGAGGCAGAAGAATTGCTTGAACCTGGGAGGCAGAGGTTGCGGTGAGCTGGGATCACGTCACTGCATTCCAGCCTGAGCAAAAGAGTGAGATTCTGTCTCAAAAAAAAAAAAAAAGAATTGAGTTTGACATCAATAATGCACTAATTCAATGGTGAAGTTTGGCTTGTTTGGTATAAAAATCATACAGGAAGCACTGTCAAATATGAAATGGCGCTTGGCTTTCTTTGGGCTGTATTTGTATAAATATGTTATTGGTATATGTTCCAAAATCACAGGAAACTCCTACAATTCTGATATGACTTAGTGTATGTTGTTAATCATTATAATTGTTATGTAAAAATTGTTGTATGCCACAGAAGTAACCAAAATTCTTAGTCAACTGTGGCTTTAATAGAGGCTATCCTAAGGTGTTTTGTCACCCACGGACAATTGTTGTCTTGTCTTTGTCCTCTTTAGAAGGTGGTTTTATAATCAATTATAGAACTCTAACAGGTGTTATTGAATGTAGGTTTCTAATAACTTTGTAAATTGTGACATTAAAATAGAGGAAAAAACTTTCAGGACTCATGAAGAGCTGAAATGTTCATGAATATCAAGCAAAACAGGAGTTAACTGCATGGATTGACCTAACAGAAGACTGAAGCAATCTTTTTTTAACTTTTGGCTTAAAACGTTGCTGATCCTTTCTTTTGTTTTTCAGAGCCAAGGAAATTTTTCTTTTGAGCTATTAACAGCTTTTAACAATTGAGTAAAGTATACTCCTGTGAACAAAATTTGAAGCATATTTGTTTCTCTCTGCCCAATTTCTCCAAAATTCAGAAACCATTTGTGAGCATTTTTAACTTATGGCAATATAATTATTTGCATAAATGCAATAAGAATGTTTTCTTTTGTATCAGAACACAATTGGAGAAACTTTTTTTTCACCAAGGCTTTGACTGGAATGACACTCTTTCCTTTAAGGAATCAAACTTGACTTACAGTGCCAATAAAAGCCCCTTAGGAAAACTGGCCTCATACATTGTCTACGTAGTCCCTGTACAGGGTTCTTGACCTGTGGTAAGTAAAGAATGTCACTTTATGACAAGTCCAGGAGCCCCAAGTTATCTTGGGATCTCAAGAAGAGAGAAATTTACCCAACTCATATAGATATTTGAGGGTACAGACCCATGGCTGGGCTCAGCTTTAAAAAAGTCTTATCTGAGATTCCTTCTAAGGAACAAAATTCCATCAAAGCTGATTTTAAAAGCCTATGTGAAAAATAATTATTGTTGCTGCACTTTATACAAATAATGAGGCCAAGTATAACAAAGCAAATCAGTTACCATGATTTGTCTTTAGTAAAAATGGGAGACTGGAGAGAAAAACGTTATGTTTCAAAAACTATGGTACGCATGTTATCAGAGTCTAGTCATTTTATTTTATTTTATTTTTTGAGATGGAGTCTCACTCTTGTCACCCAGGCTGGAGTGCAGTGGCACAATTGTGCCTTACTGCAACCTCCACCTCCCAGGTTCAAGTGATTCTCCTGCCTCAGCCTCCTGAGTATCTGGGATTACAGGTGCCCGCCACCACGCCTGCCCAGTTAATTTTTGTACTTTTCATAGAGACAGAGTTTCGCCATGTTGGCTAGGCTGGTCTCAAACTCTTGACCTCAGGTGATCCACCCGCCTTGGCCTCCCAAAGTGCTGGGATTATAGGTGTGAGCCACCACACCCGGCCAGAGTCTAGTCTTATCAGTAGTTTTTAAGTTTTTTTTCTGCAATTTAAACTGACTGCTTATTCCTGAGAACCAACCAGTGATCTCTGGCTGCTACTTAGAAGAAACAAGAGGGATAGATAATGTAAAAATCTGGATCAATATTCTAATTCTGGGCACATATTGGAATAAGCTAGTGACCCCATATCAACTTGGTTTCAACAATTGCCCAGTTCATGGAAAGACTTCTTATTTAGTTTACTTTGAATAATTTTACTTATTTTGCTTTACCATTGTGGAATGTGTTGCTGTTGTACTCTTTGTGTAGGAATGCAGGATAAGCTTACTGAATGTTTTCTTAAATTGAACACTTATTAATCTTTCAGATATCACCTTTTGTCAGAGTTATAAATGGCCCTCACCATAATGACGCTTTCTTTCTCTTTTTTTGAGACAGAGTCTCACTCTGTCACCCAGACTGGAGTGCAGTGGCCTGATCTCGGCTCACTGCAAACTCCACCTCCTGGGTTCAAATGATTCTCCTGCCGCAGCCTCTTGAGTAGCTGTGATTACAGGCACCCACCACCACACCTGGCTAATTTTTATATTTGTAGTAGAGACAGGGTTTCACCATGTTGCCCAGGCTGGTCTTGAGCTCCTGATGTCAAGTGATCTGCCTGCCTTGGCCTCCCAAAGCACTGGGATTATAGGTGTAAGCCACTGCACCCAGCCTCCATACTGACACTTTCTGACAGAGCTCCTCTCTACCCCAAATACAAGAGACCCTAATAGGCAGTAATATCATTGCCCCTATTCAGCCTGAAGAAGTCACAGAAGATGGATCTTCATCCCTCTACAGCCCTTAGGATTAAGGGTTCTCTTATAAAAGGAAGGGGTGAAATATGTCAGAGGCATTTGAACCACAGCAATTCCATCTTGAATAGGGGCTGGCTAAAATAAGGCAGAGACCTACTGGGTTGCATTCCCAGGAGGTTAGCATTCTTACTTATAGGATGAGATAGGAGGTCAGCACAAAATACACGTCATAAAGACCTTACTGATAAAACAACCTGCAATAAAAATCCCACCAAAATCCCACCAAAACCAAGATGGCAATGAAAGTGACCTCTGGTGGTTCTCATTGCTCATTATACGCTAATTATAATGCATCAGCATGCTAAAAGACACTCCCACCAGTGCCACTGACAGTTTACAAATGCCATAGCAACGTCAGGAAGTTACGCTCTATGGTCTAAAATGGGAGGAACCCTCAGTTCTGGGAATTGCCCACCTCTTTCCCAGAAAACTCAATAAGCCAGCCCTTGTTTAGAGTATAATCAGAAAATGACTGTAAGTGTCCTTAGTGGAGCATCCCACTTTGCTGGCCGGTGGAACAGCCATTCTTTATTCCTTTACTTTCTTTCTTTTCTTTTTTTTTTTTTGAGACGGAGTCTTGCTCTGTTGCCCAGGCTGGGGTGCAGTGGTGTGATCTCAGCTCACTGCAGCCTCTGCCTCCCGGGTTCCAGCCATTCTCCTGCCCCAGCCTCCTGAGTAGCTAGGATTACAGGCGCAAGCCACCACACTCGGCTAATTTTTGTATATTTAGTAGAGACGGGGTTTTGCCATGTTGGCCAGGCTGGTCTCAAACTCCTGACCTTAGGTGATCCGCCCCCCTCGGCCTCCTAAAACGCTGATATTACAGGAGTGAGCCATAGTGCCCGGCCTATCCCTTTACTTTCTTTTTTTTTTTGAGACGTAGTCTTGCTCTTGTCCCCCAGGCTAGAGTGCCATGGGGCTATCTCAGCTCAATGCAACCTCTGCCTCCCGGGTTCAAGCGATTCTCCTGCCTCAGCCTCCCAAGTAGCTGAGATTACAGGTGGCTGCCACCACGCCCGGCTAATTTTAGTATTTTTAGTAGAGACGAGGTTTCACCATGTTGGCCAGGCTGATCTCGAACTCCTGACCTCAGGTGATCCACCCGCCTCGGCCTCCCAAAGTGCTGGGATTACAGGTGTGAGTCACCGCACCCGGCCTCCTTTACTTCCTTAATAAACTTGCTTTTGCTTAAAATAAATAAATAAATAAACAAACAAACAAAGTGACCTATGTTCTACAGCAATGTTTTCTAGCTGAGATCCGCAAGAGAACTCTTGCCTTCCTCTTCTTGGCCTCAGGTCTGAACTGCTTGTCCTGTGACCCATTTCCTTTACACGCTCCAACCTTCTCACGTCTGGTTTCACTCTTATCTCCTACATCTGGCCTTGTCCTGACTTCCACACTTGACACCTGACACTATCTTCTTGGTAATAACCTTGGTTCCCAACTGACCAGTACTAAGGTTCCCTATTTGTGACAGTTAGCTTCAGAGCACTTTAAATAAATGCCTGTCCTGATTAAGTAGACTCTAGAAGCCCTGATGATCTGGGGCTTTGAACCACGCCCTGTGAGTATCACGGCCATCGATGGAGGCCATCAGTTTGCTAATGAGAACATGAGCCTCTTCACTAGCCAGGAGAACCTGGAGACCTCACCCTCCTCCAGAAGCCCTGTTCATGCCTCTGACATTTCTGCCCTAAAAAGTTTCCAATGGCTTAGTTTAGCTATAGGGCAAAAGGGTTTTCCCTCAAAGAAATGTTTCCCCCCTTTAGGCAGAGTGATATTTTTGGTGTCCAGACTAACAGGGATGAAGAACAGATGAATCATTTAGTGGAGGTGATGCATTATGCAGTCACTAAATGCACACATCTGGGAGACCCTTTGTTTTTTTTCCTCCCTCTTATCTTTGACAACCAATTGGTCATCAAGCCTTAGAATAGCTACCTCTGTAGCAGCACTAGAAACTATCTCCTCTCAATTTCCCCTGCCACTGCTTTTTTTTCTGACTCTGATTTCTCACGTGACCATACCTATTGGTTCCACTGCACCAAGTCTGGAGCCCCCTTCCCAAGCTGCTTTCCACAGTGTTGTCAAAAGAAGTCTTTCTAAAATGAAAATCAGATCAATTTATTGCCCATTTTGACGTACTTCAAAGCTCCTTATAGTTTTAAGACATTTCAATTCCATAACCTTCACCTGACACATGGTCTTTGTGATCTGGCATTTGCCTGGCTCCCTCACTTGATCTTCTGTCATATTCCCTCAGGCATGTGGACTCCAGCTATCTGGAAGAACTCATATGGAATGCACCTGGCTAATTCCTACTTGTCTCTTAAAGCTCAGATCACAGGCAACCTGTCTCTAGTGTCTTTCCTGGCTCCTGCATCTGAGTCCATGGTACCTTTGTGTGCTGTCCTCACATCATTAGTTGGTTTGTTGGCTTTTCCTAGACTGCAAGCTCCTTGAGGGCAAGGACTTGACTTGCCATTTTGTACTCCTAGGACCTGATATTTGAGATATAGTATATGCTCAAAAAATGAGTGCTAAATGAATAAACAAACACATTTCAAAGATTAATAAAGAAACAAAGTGAAACCCATGTTCCTCCCATGTCCTCTCAGAATCCTGTTTCATCCCAACTTCCACGTGAACCTGGCTCAGTGGGGCACCAGTTTTTTGTAAATACCTCAATCACAACTACAGAGTGTGCATCGAACACTGAGAATCATAGAGGACCAGGCAGATGACAAGAATGGCTGAAGGTGACCGACCCAAGTGGCCAGGGAAGTAAGGAGGTAGGAGGACAGCTGGAGCCAGGGACTGTTACAGAAGCCAAGAGTGGTTTCTGGATTGGGGGAGTGGTCAGCATTGGCCAGAGCTGCTGAGAGGTCCAGTAGGACTGGGACTGAAAAGCTTCCTACTGATTTCACAAATAGGAAGTAACCAGTGACTCTGGAAAGAGGAGCTTCAATGGCAGCGAGAAGTAGTAGGACGATGAGCCAGAATTTAATGCATTGGGGAATTAATAACAGGATGTGAAGACAATGCATGTAGATAATACTTGGTTATGAAGGAAGAGAAGTAGAGCAGTAATGGGATGAGGAGGGTTAAGTAGAGGTTTTTGTTTATTTGTTTTTAATGATGAGAGAATCTTGAACAAACAAATATGGAAAGAACCCAAATAATACAATAGGAATAGAGGCAAATGAAAATTTCCAGGAAGGCATGCTATGACTATAACAGATTACATGGCATAGGTCAGAACTATTGACAAAATGTCAATAATGAGGCTGTAAATAACAGATGTCCAGGTGTAGTCCTGGCAGCTAGTTCTAGGAAACAGATTGCTGTTAACTATTCTAAGTTCTGGGAATTTATTTCATAGGTAAAGCAATGGAGTGAGTGGAAATTTGATATTCACAACTTGTTTCAGGCTAAGGATAAAAGGCAGAAATAAGCAAGCTCACAGTAGGGAAATAGTGACACTGACTTTCACAAAATGGGATAAAAAGCAATGGCTTTGGGGTTAGGGTTGCCAATAGCAGATGCCAGTTAAAATTTGATTTTAAGCTGGGCATGGATGGAGGCTCATACTTATAATCACAGTGCTTTGCGGGGGCCAAGGTGGGAAGATTGCTTGAGGCCAGGAGTTTGAAACCAGCCTGGGAGACAGAGGAAACTATGTCTCAAAAAATAATGAAAATAAAATAAAATAAAATTTGAATTTCAGATAAACAAGTGAATAATTTTTTAGTATAATTATGTTCTGGCCGGGCACAGTGGTTCACGCCTGTAATCCCAGCACTTTGGGAGGCTGAGGCGGGCAGACCATGAGGTCAGGAGTTTGAGACCAGCCTGGCCAATATGGTGAAACCCCATCTCTACTAAAAATACAAAAATTAGCTGGGTGTGGTGGTGTGCGCCTGTAGTCCCAGCTACTCAGGAGGCTGAGGCAGAAGAATTGCTTGAACCCAGGAGGTGGAGGTTGCGGTAAGCCAAGATTGCACCACTGCACTCCAGCATGGGCGACAGAGCAAAACTCCATCTCAAAAAAAAAAAAAGTGTTCTATGTGAAATTTGGGACACACTTAACATTAAAAAATTATTGTTTATCTGAAACTAAAATTTAGTTAGGCACTTTGTATTTTATCTGTAACCCTATTTAGGGTACGTACCTATTTGCAGGACAATTATTCTGTTTATTGAACCACAAAATGCTAGTTGTGAAAAAACCTCAGAGATAATCTAACACAAGGCTCCTATTTGATGAAGAGAAGCCTGAGGGTCAGAGCATGAATGTGCCTGCCCACTGTCACAAAAGGTGGAGCTGAGGACTGATCCTGGACTGCTTGAGGTTGCTACAGAAGAATAATTCCTAATTATATTTTTGAGTCTAGCTTTAAGAGACATAATGAAGGTTGCTAAAGAAGAATAATTCCTAATTCTATTTTTGAGTCTAGCTTTAGGAGACATAATGAAATTCCCTAAGATGCCTTAGAATCACAATAATTTTAATAGACTTTATTCAATAAAGAAATACATACATTCTATGACTTCTTTAGGAATTACTGAGGAAAAAGGTACATTGTTGAATTGAGCAGTCATTCATAATACATCCCAATTACAAAAAGGTTAATAACCTTTACACTGGAAATGAGTCCAAGGGAGGGATCATGACTACTTTTCCTTTTCTCTTTTTTTTTTTTTGAGACAGTCTCGCTCTGTCGCACAGGCTGGAATGCAGTTGCGCGATCTCGGCTCACTGCAACCTCTGCCTCCCGGGTTCAAGTGATTCTCCTCAGCCTCCCGAGTAGCTGGGATTACAGGTGCCCGCCACCACACCCGGCTAATTTTTGTATTTTTAGTAGAGATGGGGTTTCACCATGTCGGCCAGGCTGGTCTCAAACTCCTAGCCTCAGGTGATCCGCCTACCTCAATCTCCTAAAGTGCTGGGATTACAGGCGTGAGCCACTGTGCCTGGCCTGACTACTTAAGTTTTCATGGGTAACATCTAGCATATGCTTGTTGGTAGGAGGCTGACAATCATCTAATGAAAAAAATACTGCATAATTTTTTCTCAGGTTCTATTTAATAAATTTGAAATTAATTGTGGGATCACAATTTTTATTAATTTATAATTAATTAATTTATAATTAATAATTTATAATTAATTGTTGGATCACAGAGGATCAGTCTAGGAAAACTGCAAAATTAGAACACGGGCAGGACAATGAACTAAATATGTTATAGTGGGAAGATTGGAGAATGACAGTGAGACTGGCATCTGATTAGAATTTTTTTTTTTTTTGACATGGAGTTTCGCTCTTGTCACCCAGGCTGGAGTGCAGTGGTGCAAGCTCGGCTCACTGCAACCTCCGCCTCCTGGGTTCAAGCAATTCTCCTGCCTCAGCCTCCTGAGTAGCTGGGATTACAGGTGCCCACCACCATGCCCAGCTAATTTTTTGTATTTTTAGTAGAGACAGCATTTCGCAGATGTTGGGCAGGCTGGTCTCGAACTCCTGACCTCAGGTGATCTGCCCGCCTCGGCCTCCCAAAGTGCTGAGATTACAGGCGTGACCCACCATGCCTGGCCTAGAATTTTTAAAGTATAGATGAGTGCTGAAGAAACAGGATATGGCTTCAGCTCTGTAACTTTGTAAAGACAGATGAATGAAGTGTAAGATTATGAAGACAATCTTGGTTGAATACTTGAAAGATGCAATGACTCATTCTTAAAAAAAACAGAACAAAACTTGGATTTCAACCCAGAGACTCCAGCCCAGAGGTTCCCAAACATTACTGTGCCTTAGGATCATCTGGGGAGTTCAAAAAAAAAAATTCAGGTTCTTAATCACCCACCCCATTAGATTCATGCAGAGTACAGTGGAGCCTAGGTATCTGTGTTTTATCAAATGCCCCAGGTAATTCTAATTTTTTTTTTTTTTTTTTGAGACGGAGTCTCGCTGTGTTACCAGGCTGGAGTGCAGTGGGTGATCTAGGCTCACTGCAACCCTAGCCTCCTGGATTTAAGCAATTCTCCTACCTCAGCCTCCCGAGTAGCTGGGATTACCGGCACATGCCAACACACCCAGCTAATTTTTTTTGTATTTTTAGTAGAGACGGGGTTTCACCATGTTGGCCAGGCTGGTCTCGAACTCCTGACTGCAGATGATCCACCTGCCTCAGCCTCCCAAAGTGCTGGGATTGCAGGCATGAGCCACAGTGCCTGGCCTGCCCCAGGTAATTCTATTGCACCTAGGCTGCAGATCAACCTCTATATTTTACAAAACACCACTCTAGTCAGTCTGGATGGAGACTGGCCATGTAAAGCCTAGGCTATAGAGGCCATATGTGTCAGCTAAAGCAGAGATGACAGACCACATGGCCCTATGTGTACCTTTGAGAAGTTACTTAATCTCCCCCGACTCAGTTTCCTCATCTGTAAAATGGGAGTAATGACAGCATTTACTCCTAGAGAATTTAACAAGTTAATAAATTTAAGGGATGTAGAATAGAGTTGGACAGAGTAAAAACCTGGCTGGGCATGGTTGCTTACGCATGTAATCCCAGCACTTTGGGAGGCTGAGGCGGGCAGATCATTAGGTCAGGAGATCAAGACCATCTTGGCCAACATGGTAAAACCCTGTCTCTACTAAAAATACAAAAAAATAGCCAGGCGTGGTGGCACGCGCCTGTAGTCCCAGCTACTCAGGAGGCTGAGGCAGGAGAATTGCTTGAATCCTGGAGGCAGAGGCTACAGTGAGCCGAAATTGCGCCACTGCACTCCAGCCTGGGCGACAGAACAAGACTCCCATCTAAAAAAACAAATAACAAGAACAACAAAAAAACGCCAGGCGCAGTGGCTCATGCCTGTAATTTCAGCACTTTGGGAGGCTGAGGTGGGTGGATCACTTGAGGTCAGGAGTTCGAGACCAGCCTGGCCAACATGGTGAAACCCCATCTCTACTAAAAATACAAAAAACTAGTCAGGCATGGTGGCAGGCGCCTGTAATCCCAGCTACTCAGGAGGCTAAGGTAGGAGAATCGCTTGAACCCAGGGGGCAGAGGTTGCAGTGAACCAAGATGGCACCATTGCAGTCCAGTCTGGGCAACAAGAGCGAGACTTCATCTCAAGAAAAACAAAACAAACAAAACAAAACAAAAAACACCTAATATATGTCAGCTATGATAATTATTAGGCTGCTAGTAATGTTTCACTTAAAAGAGGAAGAGGAAGTGGCAACAGAAGGGAAATGGCTCAGAAGCAAATATCTCACTTTACACCACTGTCTTGCACTATGTTTGTACTACTATTATCCCAATATCATAGCATGCAGCTTGGGGCCTCTGATGCCTTTGAGTTTTCTATCTATAATGCTCTTCTCCTGCTTCTTCACAAGCCTACCTTTCAACTCATTCCCATCTCGGCTCAGGTCATGTAGACCAGTCATCATCTTCAGGAGAACTTTCCCTAAATCTCAGGTTAGACAAAGTACCTCTCTTCTGAGATCTTTCTCTGAACTTCCCCTTGTGCTCCATCTCTGCTGTTACCACGGCATGGTGAATATTTACAGTCTCCTCCCCTCCCTGGTCTGGGAGCTCCTTGAGGGACGAGTCTGTTCTGCTTACCAGTCTAAAGAGTCTGCTCTTTGTCTGCTCTTGCCTGGAGTAGAGTTAAGTAGAGCAGAGCCTGCCTCCACCAGGAGAGCCTGGGACACCTTCTTTACCATGGCTAGTATTACACAAACATTCTGGTGCTCCAAGTTGCACCCCCTGGGCTGGCTCTTAGTGAAGATATTGAGTCTAAACTTGGGGTCAAAGAAAGACTAATTGCCAAGTTAGAAACCACAAATTCGGGTTAATTTCTTTCCTTTTCTTTTTTTTTTCTTTTTTTCTTTTTTTTGATATGGAGTCTCACTGTGTTACCCAGGCTGGAGTGCAGTGACACCATCATAGCCCACTGCAGTCTGGGTTCAAGTGATCTTCCCGCCTCAGCCTCTCAAGCAGCTGGAACTATAGGCGTGTGCTACTATGTCTGGCTAAATTCAGGCTAATTTCTGAGACCTAATGGCTAAAGAACCCCGACAATATGACCACAGTTGACCCTTGAACAACACGTTTGAACTGCGTGGGTCCACTTATACAAAGATATTTTTTCAACAAAAGTTACACCAAGTGTGCCTGCCTCTCCCGCCTTCCCATCCACTTCCTCCACCTCTTCCGCCTCCCCATCCACTTCCTCCACCTCTTCCGCCTCTGCCACCCCTGAGACAGCAAGATAGCCTACTCAATGTGAAGACAGGGATGAAGACCTTCATGATGATCCATTTCCACTTCATGAATAGTAAATACACTTACTCTTCCTTATGATTTTCTTAATAACATTTCTTTTCTCTAGCTTACTTTATTGTAAAAATACAGTATATGATAAAGATACAAAATATGTGTTAATTGTTTAGGTTATCAAGAAGGCTTCTGGTCAATAGGCTACTAGTGGTTTGGGGAATCTAATCTTTTATGTAGATTTTCAGCTGCATTGGTGGGAGTTGGCACCCTAACCCTCTCATTGTTCAAAGGTCAACTGTAGTTCTAAAAACAATTAAAAGGAATTGCTGGGATGGTGCTGTTTGGAATAATTCAGAGATCAAGGAGATTCATAAACTTAATTTCCACGACAACCCCCCCCCCCCCAAAAAAAAAGAGCAAGGCGTGGTGGCTCACGCCTGTAATCCCAGCACTTTGGGAGGCTGAGGCAGGCAAATCACGAGGTCAGGAGATCGAGACCATCCTGGCTAACACGGTGAAACCCCGTCTCTACTAAAAATACAAAAAAAATTAGCTGGGCATGGTGGCGGGCGCCTGTATTCCCAGCTACTCAGGAGGCTGAGGCAGGAGAATGGCATGAACCTGGGACGCGGAGCTTGCAGTGAGCCGAGATAGCGCCACTGCACTCCACCTTGGGCAACAGAGCGAGACTCCCGTCTAGAAAAAAAAAGAAACTATTATCTGTTGAGCAGCTCCACTTGTAAGTCAGTCTACTAGGCAGTTAAAGGTCTTGATTCGGTCAACATAAGAGGCTGGTGATGTGAGTACCACCTCACTCAATTCATAGATATGAAGCCATGATTTCAGTTGCCCAAGAGTAAGAGTACCTGGCACAATAAATGAAGTAATAGAAGATATTCATTCTTTTTTTTTTTTTTTTTTTTGAGATGGAGTCTCGCTCTGTTGCCCAGTCTGGAGTGCAATGGCGCGATCTCGGCTCACTGCAAGCTCCCTCTCTCAGGTTCAAGCGATTCTTCCGCCTTAGCCTCCCCCATCATGCAGGGCTAATTTTTGTATTTTTGTAGAGATGGGTTTTCACCATGTTGGCCAGGCTGCTCTTGAACCACTGACTTCAGGTGATCCGCCTGCCTCAGCCTCCCAAAGTGCCGGGATTACAGGTGTGAGCCACCACACCAGGCCAGAAGATACTCATTCTAATTCTGGAGATGAATGAGGTTATGTAAAACAGCACTGAGATTTTTCTAGAAAGAGTCATGACAGCCAGATACTTTATCTTGGTGTGTTTTTCAGACATGTCCTCTCACTTCTCTTCAGGATGAAGAGTCCTCTCTGGGTGAAAGGGCCCTCAGTTCCCCTTCCTCATGGTTAGTACTGAGGAGAAGCTGCCCAGGGATGGGATGATTCCTAACAGGATACTCAGGACTTTTACTCTTCTTAAAGTACAGGGTCTATAATGCTCTTCAGGGCATGGGGGGAAATGCGGGGTCTGAAGCCCAGAAACTCTCCTTAACTTGTTGAGACTATTAAGACCCAGCTGTTTCTAAGAAAGTTTCCTTGATTTTTTTTTTTTTAATACGGAGTCTCGCTCTGTTGCCCATGCTACGAGTGCAGTGGTGCGATCTTGGCTCATTGCAACCTCTGCCTCCTGGGTTCAAGCGATTCTCCTGCCTCAGCCTCCCAAGTAGCTGGGACTACAGGCACGTGCCACGATTCCCAGCTAATTTTTGTATTTTTAGTAGAGAGGGGTTTCACTATGTTGGCCAGGTTGGTCTCGAACTCCTCACCTCATGATCTGCCCACCTCAGCCTCCCAAAGTGCTGGGATTACAGGCATGAGCCACCGCGCCTGGTCTGGTTTCCCTGATTCTTGATGCCAGTTAGGTTGTGGGGACTAATACTCCACCATGGGCAGTCTTGAGCACCTATGCAGTCATCATGTTAACACCCACAGGAGTCTCCAGCCCTAAATCATCTGTCCTAATCACCTCGTGACCACAACTTGCTCACTATGTGCCCTTTGGCATCACTCCCCACCCATTTATGAATGTGACCTAATCAGCACCCTTAAGGTCACCGTTAGTTACCTTACCATATATCCCTAAGTGTTAGTCTTAAGGTAACACTATTCCCTTTATTCCTAGGTGTTCTTCTCCAAATCCCTTTCTGTTACCTCACAATGACACAGTGTCACTTCCCTTCTCATACAGAAAAAAATAATACCACTACTCTGCAGCCAGTTGGCTGATTCCTCACAAAGGCCTTTACCCTCTTAGAAGGACTATAAGCATTATATAAATTGATGTGAAACATTATAAAACTAAGTTTGTCTCTTTATTCACATTGTCATGTGAAAATGACTACATCACATTTCAATAATATGGAAAGTAGCCAGGCGCGGTGGCTCACGCCTGTAATCCCAGCACTTTGGGAGGCAGAGGAGGGCGGGTCACCTGAGGTCAGGAGTTCCAGACCAGCCTGGCCAACACGGTGAAACCCCCATTAGCCAGACGTGGTGGTGGGCACCTGTAATCCCAGCTACTTGGGAGGCTGAGGCAGGAGAATCACTTGAACCAGGGAGGCAGAGGTTGCAGTGAGTAACCTGCAGTGAGCTGAGATCACGCCACTGCACTCCAGCCTGGGCAAGAGTGAGACTCTGTCTCAAAATAATAATAATAATAATAATAATAATAATAATAATAATAATAATAATAATGACGATGTGTTTGGGAAGACTAGTTTGACTTAAAGGTTACATGGCATACACAAAACTCCTTGTGAGGACATTCTAGGTGAGGCATTTCAAAGAGCTAGGCAGTTATTTTCTAGAGCAGCTAATCTGTTTCTGGTATTAAGAGTCAATTTATATAGGCCATGTGTGGTGGTTCACACCTGTAATCTCAGAACTTTGGGAGGCCGAGGTGGGTGGATCACCTGAGGTCAGGAGTTCGAGACCAGCCTGGCCAACATGGTGAAACCTCGTCTCTACTAAAAATACAAAAGATTAAGGCCATACCCAGAGACTCATGCCTGTAATCCCAGCACTTTGGGAGGCTGAGGCGGATGGATCACTTGAGGTCAGGAGTTCAAGACCAGCCTGGCCAACATGACCCCATCTCTACTAAAAATATAAAAATTAGCTGGGTGTGATAGCAGGCACCTGTAATCCCAGCTACTTGGGAGGCTGAGGCAGAATAATTGCTTAAACCCAGGAAGCAGAGGTTGCAGTGAGCCAAGATCACGCCATTGCACTCCAGCCTGGGCAACAGAATGAGACTGTCTCAAAAAAAAAAAAAAAAAAAAAATCAGCCAGGAGTGGTGGTGGGGGCACCTGTAATCCCAGCTACTCGGGAGGCTGAGGCAGGAGAATCGCTTGAACTCAGGAGGCAGAGGTTGCAGTGAGCTGATACCTTGCCATTGCACTCCAGCCTGGGCAACAAGAGTGAAACTCTGTCTCAAAAAAAAAAAAAAAAAAAAAAAAAGTCAACATTTACAGGCTGGGTGTGGTGGCTCACACCTGTAATCCCAGCACTCTGGGAGGCCGAGATGGGCAGATCATGAGGTCAGGAGATCAAGACCATCCTGGCCAATATGGTGAAACCCTGCCTCTACTAAAAATACAAAAATTAGCTGGGCGTGGTGGTGCACACTGTAGTCCCAGCTACTTGGGAGGCTGAGCAGGAGAATTGCTTGAATCCGGAAAGCAGAGGTTGCATTGAGCCGAGATCACGCCACTGCACTCCAGCCTGGGCAACAGAGCGAGACTTCGTTTAAGAAAACAAAAAACAAAAAAAAACCTAAACAAAACAAACAAAAAAAAACCAATAAAACAAAGTGTATAATTTGGCCAGTTGTGGTGGCTCACAACTGTAATTTGGGAGGCCAAGGCATAAGGATCGCTTGCAGTCATGAGTTTGAGACCAGACTGGACAACATAGTGAGACCTCATATCTACTAAAAATAAAAATAATTAGCCAGGCATGGTAGTGTGTGCCTGTAGTCCCAGCTACTCTGTAGGCTGAGGCAGGAGGATCACTTTAGCCCAGGAGTTTGAGGCTGCCATGAGCTGTGACTAAGCCACTGCACTCCAGCCTGGGAGCGAGATCCTATCTCAATGAAATAAAAGAAACTGTACAATTCAATTTTTTAGTAAGTTCACAGAGCTGTGCAGCCATTACCACAATCAATTATCAAATCTAGAACATTTTCATCCCCCCCCCCCAAATAAACCATATTATAATAAACCCCATTTTTCCCTCCTCCCAACCCCTGGCAAACACTTATATACTCTGTTTCTATGGATTTGCTTCTTCTGGGCATTTAATATAAATGGAATCCTATGTAGCTTTTTGTGTCTAATTTATTTCACTTAGCATAATGTTTTCCAGGTTCATCCATGCTACAGCATCAATCAGTATTTTCTTCCTTTTTATGGCTAAATAATATTCTAATTGTATTAACATACTACATTTTGTTTATCCACTCATCAGTGACAAACATTTTGGTTGTTTCTACCTGTTGGCTAGTGTGAATAGTGTTGCTATGAACATTCATATACAAGTTTTTGTTTGAATTATTATTTTCAATTCTTTTAGGCATTTACCTAGAAAGAGAATTGCTAGTCATGTGGTAATTCTATGTTTATTTTTAATTTTTATTTTTTTTAGAGATGGGGTTTCACTATGTTGCTGAGGCTGGTCTTGAACTAGCCTCAAATAATCCTCCTGCCTCAGTCTCCCAAGTAGCTGGGGTTACAGACACAAACCATTTGTATTTGGTGTTTATTTTTAAGTTTTTGAGGAACCGCCGAACTGTTTTCTGTGGTGGCTGCATCATTTTTCTTGCCTACCAGCAATGTATTAGGGTTCCAATATCTCAGCATTCACACGAACACTTTTATTTTTCCTTTAAAAAATTTATGTAGGTGTGAGTGGCATCTCACTGTGGTTTGGATTTGCATTCCACTAATGACTTATGATGTTGAACATGTTTTCATGTGATTTGGGGCCATTTGGCCCATTTGATACCTTCTTTGGAGAAATGCCTACTCAAGTCCTTCGCCTGTTTTTCAATTGGATTGTCTTTTTTCTCTTGAGACAGGGTGTCACTCTGTTGCCCAGACTGCAGTGCAGTGGTGTGATCTTGCCTCACTGCAACCTCTGCTTCCCGGGTTCAAGTGATTCTCCCGCCTCAGCCTCTTGAGTAGATGGGATTACAGGTGCGCACCACCACACCCGGCTAATTTTTGTATTTTTAGTAGAGATGGAATTTCACCATGTCGACCAGGCTGGTCTTGAACTCCTGGCTTCAAGTGATCTGCCGGCCTTGGCCTCCCAAAGTGCTGGGATTACAGGCATGAGCCACCATGCCTGGCCACAGTGGCAATTTTAATAATTTTTAAATTACTTTTTGAGCCATACTTGGTAGCTGACACCTATAATCCTAGCATTTTGGGAGGCTGAGGCAGGCAGATCACTTGAGCCTCAGAGGTCGAGACCAGCCTGGGCAACATGGTGAAACCTCATATCTACAAAAAATACAAAAAAATTAGCCAGGCATGGTGGTGCGCACTTGTAGTCTCAGCTACTTGGGAGGCACTGAGGTGGAGGGATCATCCCTGTCTCAAATTCCAGGCGGGTCTCAAACTCCTGGCTTCAAGCAATAATAATAATGTATTATTATTCTCTCTGCCTCCAGAGTATTGGGATTACAGGTGTGAACCACTGTGCCCACCCTATTTTTTGTCTTTTTGTTGTAAGACTTCTTTATATATTCTGAATATCAATCCCTGATGAGCTATGTGGCTTGTAAACATTTTCTCCCATTCTTTAGATTGTCTTTTCACTCTTGATAGTGTCCTTTGATGCATAAAAGTTTTTAATTTTGACAAAGTCCAATTTATCTATTTTTTCTTTTGTTGATTACTGTTTTGGTGTCATATTCAATAAATTGTCACAGGATCCTTGGGGTGTTGCTTCGCCAGCTAGAAACCTCTGTGGCCAGTGATGCCTTCTGCCTGAGTATTGCTTGCACCCACTGGGTTTGTTCTGCCCACTCAGCCCAGCAGGCAACGCAACAGCCTGGGCCGGGCTCTCCAAAGGGCTGCAGTTCTTTTCTTCTTGTTGCTGGGAATGTGGCAAGCAGAGGGATATGTTTCAGCCCTATTTGTATTACAGCTCTTTTTTTTTTTTTTTTTTGAGATAGAGTCCCACTCTGTTGCCCAGGCTGAAGTGCAGTAGCATGATCTTGGCTCACTGCAACCTCTGCCTCCTGGGTTCAAGCAATTCTCCTGCCTCAGACTCCTGAGCAGCTGAGATTACAGGCATGTGCCACCATGCCCAGCTAATTTTTGTATTTTTAGTAGAGACGGGGGTTTCACCATGTTGGTCAGGCTGGTCTCAAACTCCTGACCTCCTGATCTGCCCACCTCAGCCTCCCAAAGTGCTGGGATTACAGGTGTGAGCCACTGTGACCGGCTGTATTACAGCTCTTTTAGCCGCTATTTGGCAGGTCCTGAGTTTTTGTTCCCTGTCCAGGAAGAATGAAGTACACGGACAACTAGAGGGTGAGCAAGATAGAGAGGAGCTTCACTGAGAGGCAGAACCATTCTCAGGAGACCCAAAGTGGGTAGCTCCTTTCTGCAAGCAGGTCATCCCAACGAGTATCCAGCTGTCAGAGGAGAAGAGACCTGCAGTGAGTAGCTCCCTTCCACAGGCAGGTCATCCCAATGTCTGTGCAGCCCTCAGCAGACAGGAGACCTGGAGTGGGTAGCTCCTATTCGCAGGCAAATCATCCCATCATCTCTGCAGCCCTTAGTGGAGAAGAGACATGGAGTGAGTAGCTCCTAACAGCAGGCAGGTCTTCCTGTTGTCTGCCTGAATCTGGCTGAGACTGAGGTTTTTATGGGCTTCAGAGGGGAGGAAATGAGTGCTGAATTGGTCCATGGTTTGCCATGGGCAGGTCCAGAAAAAGCACCATAAGTTCTCACTCCAGTCCATGGAACTGGCAGCCCAGCCCACAGGCTTCAGGCTGTCACTGGCTTGAAGGTGGGGCTTCATCGGGCACCTGCCCCTTTCAGTCCACGAGCCTGTCTGCCTCCTGCTGCCATCAATCTGCCATCCAAGTGTCCATGGCACCAAGGCTGTTTGTGCCAAGGGGTGCCTGCAGGCCCATGGTGAGCTGCCCTCAGCACCCCCTCGGCCTCCCACTTGTGCTCATCTCTGCCCAAAGCCCAGAGAGGGCCAAGTTGGCAGGGGGCTGGTGTATCAGTGCTGCCCTGAGCATGCGTGCACTGTGGCAGGTTGCGACAGTGCCTGGGCTCAGCCTCAACTTTGCTCCAAAATTGGAGCGGGCACCAGGAACAGGAAGAGGCCAGGCAGTGGGAGCAGGCATTTTTGAGCCTGTGGGGGCAGGGGGCTTCCTGAGTCAAGAGTGCAGGGATGCCTGGGTCCACAGCTACAGCTGGTTGGCTGCAGCTGCACTGGCCCTGCCAACTCAGAAGGGAGTAGGGCTCCCGCCTGTTCTTGGCTTCCGTTGGCTCCATGGAGTGTGCAGCCCCAGCCATGCCCACTCCCCCACCAGTCCCCTCAATGCTGGTGTCATGGCAGTAGCCACCACTCCAAACAGGCCGCTGCTGCCATCAAAATCATCAGCAAATCCAAGCTCAAGAAGATTCCTATATTTTCTTTTAAGAATTTTATAGTTTTAGTCTTTATATTTAGATTTTTTTTTGAGATAATTTTTGTGTGTGGTGTGAGGGAGGAGTCCAGCTTCATTCTTTTTTCTTTCTTTCTTTTTGTTTTTTTGAATAGAGACAGGGTCTCACTCTGTTGCCTTGGCTGTTCTCAAACTCCCTAGGTTCAAATGATCCTCCTGCCTCGGCCTCCCAAAGTCAACTTCATTATTTTGCATGTGGATGTTCCATCACCATTTGTTGAAAAGAGTATTCTTTCCCCATGAATTGTCTTGGCACCATTGTTGAAAATCAATTGACTATATGTGAGGGTAGAATGTATTATTCTTTTTTTTTTTTTTCCTGCAAAGTCCAGGATCGAGGCTTAGAATGTATTATTTAAAAGAAAGAAAGAAAAAAAGCAACAAAACAGAATAAAGCCTACTCATCCTTCCATTACAGAAACCAGACTGTTGTGTCTCAGCCTTAAGGAACTAGGTCTATCTGATCATAACAGTTGTACCAAACTAGTAGATGTAGCAACACATCATCTTGAATTACAACACACACAAACAGCTGCAACTTTACTTGTCCCAAGGGCTCTCTGGAGCATCCCACAAATGACTAGAAATTGTTTTTTGGAACTTGGTGTTATGGGGAAATAATCTGAAAGACTGACCCAATAACCTTTCTTCTGGACACTAACATTATTTGTCTTTAAGATTTGCATTTTAGAAAATTTGTTGTCTCATATACAAAGTTTTTGGTCCCAGTACAATTTTTGTAGAGGCAATGGTGAGCTAACTAAATTCATTTTGGTTAATAAAAAAATGTCTACTTCCAGGCTGGACGTGGTGGCTCACACCTTTAATCCTAGCACTTTGGGAAGCCAAGGCAGGTCAATCACCTGAGGTCAGGAGTACGAGACCAGCCTGACCAACATGGAGAAATCCCATCTCTACTAAAAATAAAATTAGCTGGGCATGGTGGTGCATGCCTGTAATCCTAGCTACTCCGGAGGCTGAGGCAGGAGAATCGCTTGGGCCCGGGAGGCGGAGGTTGCAGTGAGCTGAGATTGCACCATTGCACTCCAGCCTGGGCAACAGCAGCAAAACTTTGTCTCAAAATAAATAAATAAATAAATAAATAAAAATAAAAATAAAAGAGGCCAGGTGAGGTGGCTCACACCTGTAATCCCAGCACTTTGGGAGGCCGAGGCGGGCAGATCAGGAGGTCAGGAGTTCGAGACCAGCCTGGCCGATATCGCAAAATGCCGTCTCTACTAAAAATACAAAAATTAGCCAGGTGTGGTGGCAGGCACCTGTAGTCCCAGCTACTTGGGAGGCAGAGGCAGAAGAATTGCTTGAACCTGGGAGGCAGAGGTTGCAGTGAGCCAAGATCACGCCACTGCACTCCAGCCTGGGCGACAGAGCAAGACTCCATCTAAAAAAAAAAAAAAGAAAAAAAAAGTCTACTTCCGAGTTTTCTCTCTCTCTCTCTCTCTTTCTCTCTCTCTCTTTCTCTCTCTCTCTCTCTCTCTTTCTCTCTCTCTCTCTCTCTCTCTCTCTCTCTCTTTCTTTCTGACAAAGTTTTGCTCCTGTGGCCCAGGCTGGAGTGCAGTGGCGCTATCTCAACTCACTGCAACCTCAGCCTCCCAGGTTCAAGCGATTCTCCCACCTCAACCTCCCAAGTAGCTGGGATTACAGGTGCCCGCCACAACACCCAGTTAATTTGTATTTTTAGTAGAGATGGGGTTTCACCATGTTGGCCAGGCTGCTCTCAAATTCCTGACCTCAAGTGATCCGCCCGCCTTGGCCTCCCAAAGTGCTGGGATTACAGGCATAAGCCACCGTGCCCGGTGGAAATATGGACTTCTAATTAAAGGACTAGTGACATTTTCACTTTACTCTCTTCTCTCAAACCCCATTAAAAACAACAACAAAAGGTATAAAAATTAAATAGCATCAATTTCTATTAAGAAAGGAAAAAAAAAACCCACTGCTGAAAACCACAAAATATATGATACATATATATGATACATTCCTGCCTATTACTGTCAACCCTGCCCCAGAAAGAGGAGGGCATACAGCCATCTGGTACATGCTGCACCTTGGACTTTTAACAGGATATAGAATTCCCTCAAAATTGAGCCTCAGAGGCATCTTCAGAGGCTCACCATCTTCAGAGGCAACTAGTGTTCTTTTTGTTTGGGTTTTTCTTTTTTTTTAGATGGAGTTTTACTCTTGTCGCCCAAGCTGGAGTGCAATGGTGTGATCTCAACTCACTGCAACCTCCGCCTCCTGGGTTCAAGCGATTCTCCTGCCTCAGCCTCCTGAGTAGCTGGGATTACAGGCGCCCGCCGCCAGGCCTGGCTAATTTTTGTATTTTTAGTAGAGACGGGGTTTCACCATGTTGGCCAGGCTAGTCTCGAACTCCTGACCTCAGGTGATCAACCTGCCTCAGTCTCCCAAAGTGCTGGGATTACAGGCATGAGCCACCGTGCCTGGTCTGTTGTTTGTTTTTTAAGGACATTAATTTTTTTTGAGACAGGATCTCTGTTGTCCAGGCTAGAGTGCAGTGGCAGTGGAGTGCATGGCTCATTGCGGCCTCGACTTCCTGGGCTCAAATGATCAGGAAGAGGGTCTTAAAAAGAGACTGGCTGGCATGGTGGCTCACGCCTGCAATCCTAGCACTTTAGGAGGCTGAAGTGGGCAGATCATTTGAGCCCAAAGAGTTCAAGACCAGCCTAGGCAACATGGCAAAACTCATCTCTACTAAAAACACAAAAATTACCCTAGTGTGGTAGAGCATGCCTATAGTCCCAGCTACTTGGGAGGCTGAGGATCACTTGAGCCCAGGAGGCAGAGGCTGCAGTGAGTCAAGGCTGCACCACTGCACTCCAGTGACAGAGTGATACCCTGTCTCAAAAACAAACAAACAAACAAACACACAAAAAACAAAACAAACAAAAAACAACTATAAAGGGTGAAAAACGGCTGGGCGCGGTGGCTCACGCCTGTAATCCTAGCACTTTGGGAGGCTGAGGCAGGCAGATCACGAGATCAGGAGTTTGAGACCAGCCTGGCCAACATAGTGAAACCGCATCTCTACTAAAAAATACACAATTAGCCGGGCGTGGTGGCATGCAACTGTAGTCCCAGCTACTCGGGAGGCTGAGGCAGAGGAATCGCTTGAAGCTGAGGCAGAGGAATCGGGAGGTGGAGGTTGCAGTGAGCCGAGATCATGCCATTGCACTCTAGCCCAGGTGACAGTGTGAGACTCCGTCTCAAACAAACAAACAAACAAACAACAAAAAAACCCTCAATATTATATTATGAACATCTTCTTGGGTTATTAAATATGCACAGAAAACTTTAAATTGTGGTTTAATGTTCTAGACCATGGCTATAAAACAGTTCACCTACTGCTAGATGTTTCAGTTGCTACCAGTTTTTTGCTATTATAAATAGTGCTGCAATGAATATCACAATACATAAAGACACTTTGAATCCCATTTTTGTGGTATTTGCAAACCTTTTCCAAACAACCTCTTCCAATGAGTGGTATTAGCTCCAAATGCATGCTTTGTTCCTTCCTGGTCTCACTTTTTTTTTTGTACTTGACTTCCCTAGTCATATTACTTGAAGGCTCAGTCTCCCTTCAGTTCCCAGAATAATCTGGCTTTGAAGTAGTATCGAAGCAGCTTTCAGTTTTCACATAACAGCTCCATATCAGCTAGGTCTACTTTGGTCTCCTTCCCTGGTTTCTTTTCTAGGAAACATTCTTGTCCTTTGCACCCTTTGGGAGAACCAGAGCCCTGCCCTTCTCTTGCCAACAGGGACTGGAACTGTGCCCTTGAGCCTCAGCCCAGCCACTTCTTTGTGTATTTGGAGAAAAGGACTGCAGGAGGCTTTATTTTAATCTCTTAGAGTGAGAGGACGCGTGGTCAGATCCGCTTTGGCAGCAAGCTATGGTCTTTTTTGTTTTTTTGTAAGGGGAAGGCTCTCACTGAGTCTCAAGAGGAGAGAGAGTTTAATTACTAACATGATCCCAACAGTCCCAGCCTCTGCTTTGTGGCTTCTCTTTCCCTGTTACGATTTGCATGGATTTATTGGAAAACACAGTGACTTCCAGGAACTGCTAGCAACCCAGGCCCATTTATGTTTCTTAGTAGGTACCAGATTATATTTCCTTGTTCAGCTTAAATTAGTCTGTAAAAGTCTTGGACTTTTTAATGCTACATTGATGTCAAGACAAGCACTGGGAGAAACGAGATTTTTATTGTGCTGAAACCTTAGGACAATGGAGCCAAATCTGTAGAATGGCAAAATAAATAGATGTAGAAAAATACTTTCAAACCTAAGTATTCATTTAGAACTTTCTATCCAGTGTGGCAATCAGGAACAGGAAGAGAGAGAGAAAAAAGAAGAACTTTCCAGAAGGTTAAAACTATGTAAGTCAAGGGTAACTTTAAATAAAACGAAAACAATTTCACTTAAGACTCAGAAATTAGTTTGTTAATTTCAATTTCTGCGTAAATAAAAACTGAGGAAAGTGGGTTGGATAGCTTAGGCATCATTCGAGTTCTTAGAGACCACACACACATTCATATGCTGGTCACAGGAAGAGAGTTTATGGTGCAAATGGAATCATTCCTTTACTAAACAAACATAATTGAGCAAGTATTATATATCGAGGGTTCAAAGGGCCTTACGGCCTACAGTAAAAAACTAGTGTATATGGGCCAGGCATGGTGGCTCAAGCCTGTAATCCCAGCACTTTGAGAGGCCGAGGCGGGTGGATCATGAGGTCAGGAGATTGAGACCATCCTGGCTAACACAGTGAAACCGTTTCTACTAAAAATACAAAAAATTAGCCGGACGTGGTGGTGGGCGCCTGTAGTCCCAGCTACTCAGGAGGCTGAGGCAGGAGAATGGCGTGAACCTGGGAGGCGAAGCTTGCAGTGAGTCGAGATAGCGCCACTGCATTCCAGCCTGGGTGACAGAGCAAGACTCTATCTCAAAAAAAACAAAACAAAAAAACAACCAACCAAACAAACAAAAAAATTCATGTATATGCCAGGTGCGGTGGCTCACGCCTGTAATCCCAGTACTTTGGGAGGCCGAGGTGGGCGGATTACCTGAGGTCGCGAGTTCGAGACCAGCCTTAACAACATGGAGAAACCTCATCTCTACTAAAAATACAAAATTAGCCAGGTGTGGTGGCGCATGCCTGTAATCCCAGCTACTCGGGAGGCTGAGGTAGGAGAATCGCTTGAACCCGGGAGGCAGAGGTTGCATTGAGCTGAGATCACGCCATTGCACTCTAGCCTAGGCAATAAGAACGAAACTCTATCTCAAAAAAGAAAAGAAAAAAAGAAAAAAAAATTGGTGTATATGCTAGAATACAGTGGAACAATGGGAATGTAACAAAAGTGTCCAAGAAAACCTGGGGCAAATTAGGGATGATGCCATGGGATCTAAGATAATTCTTTTGAAGAATAAACAGAAGGTTGCTAGAGGGACAAGATGAAGGGCGTTGGAAAATGTGGAAGTGTGTTAGAGGAGGGACTAGCACATGCAAAGGTGTGGATGCATTAGACAGCATGGTATATTTGAGGCACAGCTTAAATATGGACTGGGAGATGGAGAGGAGAGACATAGATTGGGGTACTGGGACGTCCTATTTTTTTTTTTTTACTTAGACAAAGTCTCGTTTTGTCACCTAAGTGGGAGTACAGTGGCATGATCATCACTAATTGCAGCCTTGAACTCCTGGGCTCAAATGATCCTCCTGCCTCAGCCTCCTAAGTTCCTAGAACTACTGGTGTGCAGCATGCCTGGCTAATTTTTAATTTTTAGTAGGGATAGGGTCTGGTGTGTTGCCCTGGCTGGTCTTGAATTCCTGGGCTCAAACTATTGAGCCTCCCATCTTGGTCTCCCAAAGTGCTGGGATTACAGGCATGAGCCACTGTGTCTGGCCAGTTCTACCTATTTTTGTTACAAGAATAGAGGTGATATGTGTATAAACAGGTGCTAAAAGATGAGGCTGAGCAAGGAAAAAGAAATTAGACCACAAACTGCTTTTTGTGTGTATTTTTAAAAAGTTTTAAAAAATCTTTTAAAAAAGTAATAATTGTATATATTTATGGGGTACAATGTGATATTTTGATGTAAGTATACATTGTAGGTTGATCAAATCAGGCTATTTATCATATCCATCACCTCAACTATAAATTGTTTCTTTGACCATGAACAGCTTTTAGACCTTCAAGTTTTGCCAAACAGTAGGTCATTGGGCCCCCATGCACTTTAATAGGCATGGGTTTTAATTGGAGGGATCTTGTTTGTTTTACGTTTTTGTTGTTGTTGTTGTTTGTTTGTTTTTTTGAGACGGAGTTTCCCTCGTGTTGTCCAGGCTGGAGTGCAATGGTGTGATCTCGGCTCACTGCAACCTCCGCCTCCCGGGTTCAAGCTATTCTCTTGCCTCAGCCTCCCGGGTAACTGGGCGTGATGGCGCATCCTGACCTTGTGATCCACCCGCCTCAGCCAGGCATGCGCCATCACCCCAAGCTAATTTTGTATTTTTAGTAGAAATGCGGTTTCTCTATGTTGGTCAGGCTGGCCTTGAACTCCTGACTTCAGGTCATCCGCCCACCTCGGCCTCCCAAAGTGCTGGGATTACAGGAATAAGCCACCACGCCCAGCCTTCTTTGTTTTATTTCACCATAAACAGTTCTTTTCTGACTCCCCACCATTTCTAGTCTAAGCACTTAGGAGTGGTGTCCCTGGGTTACTCCCCATTCATCCTCCAGAAAGAAGCCCATGAGAAGACTACAGTGTTTATAAAAAGGTTTAAATGCATTGTTATCTTTTAAAGGAACTCTGTTCTATGCTTTGAACTTATCAAATAAAATATTATCAAAATGTACACAGAATTATTTGTAATCTAGCATTCACTTGGATGGCTAGAAGTTGAGTAGAGAGGGAGGAAAGTTTTATTAGTTGTGTAGGATAGTCTTTTAAATTATATATATGTTTTAAAAATTATATACATATAATTATATAATTATATGTATATAACTTTTAAAGTAATAAAGGCTTACTAAAAAAAACCTACACAGATTCATGTGGAATTAGAAAGTGATTATCTCTCTTCCCTGGCTCCAACTAAGTAGCAGCTACTGTTAAAGAGTTTGGTATCTATCCTTTTAGAAATTATCTGTGCATACTACCTAAGTCTTGTCTTAGTTCTATTTAAAAAAGGAAAAGAGGCCGGGTGGGGTGGCTCACACCTGTAATCCCAACAGTTTGGGAGGCCAAGGCGGGTGGACCACGAGGTCAAGAGATCGAGACCATCCTGGCCAACATGGTGAAACACCGTCTCTAATAAAAATACAAAAATTAGCTAGGCGTGTTGGCATGTGCCTGTAATCCCACCTACTCGGGAGGCTGAGGCAGGAGCATCGCTTGAACCTGGGAGGTGGAGGTCGCAGTGAGCCGAGATTGCACCACTGCACTCCAGCCTGGCGACAGAGCGAGACTCTGTCTCAACAAAAAAAAAGAAAAAAAAAAAAAGGAAAAAAAAATTATCTGCGCATAGAGAAATTCGTGTTTTTGTTTTTCTAAATATAAATAAAATAATTCTATAGATTCTTCATAATATGTTAAGAAGCACAAAAGCAACAAATGAATACCAAATCTGTTGGCTGCATTTCTCAATCACATACCGTTCCCAAGTATTCTGGAAAGGGTCTCTAATCTCCTCTCTAGGCCTGACCTTCAATACATGCATAATGAAATAGCTGTCCACAAATGCAACAGCAATGACTGTCATGGCAAAACCTATTATTCATTTCCTATACCTTTCACTGCTTTTCTCTTTCTTCAGCATCTAGCACAGTGTCATTCTAGGTACTGAATAGGTATCTGTTAACATCTGTGCAGCATGCATTTTAACATCATACTAGATGTTAAGGTACTGGGTAAAGTTGCCAAAAGTCCCCATATAGTGGTCTTACAACTGAGATTATGCCTTCTTTTCTTGAGAACTAGATTTTTTCCCCCCTCTTTAACTGATTAGTTGAGGGATTTACTTGGGTGAGCTCCTCTGGCTAAATGTTTTGCAGTGAAGTTCAGAACAAGGGGAAAATAGAGCTGATTCTATACGATGTCAATTAAATGTACTCATAAACCCACGTTGGTCTTTTTTTTTTTTTTTTGAGACAGAGTCTTGTTCCATTGCCCAGGCTGGGGTGCAATGGCGTGATCAAGGCTCACTGCAACCTTGACCTCTTGACCCCAAGCGATTCTCCCATCTCAACCTCCCAAGGAGCTGGGACCACAGGCACACGCCACCATACCAGGTTAGTTTTATTTTTTGTAGAGATGGGGTCTCACTATGTTGCCCAGGCTGGTCTTGAAATCCTGGGCTCAAGTGATCCTCCCACCTCGGCCTCCCAAAGTGCTAGGATTACATGCACAAGCCACCGTGCCCAGCTCGTCTTTCAAATACAGTAACAAAGTGGTGATCTGCTTCCCTGAAGAAAGTCAGAATCTATTCCATCTCCCTTTCTGTTTTTGAATCCTCACATTGTCATTTATTAAACGTGTGACCACAAAGATTCTCTTAATCTCTCTGAGCTTTAGTTTCTTCCTGTGAAACAAAAAAAGAAAATAAAACCTATCTTGTGCAGTTAGTCTAAGAATTAAATGAGACTGCCTTTGTGAAAGCATGTGTCAGGCATGGAGTAGGTGGAAAATAGTGGTTGAAGCATATACTGTACACCCAGATTGCATCAGCTCAAATGCCAGCTCTACCAGTTATTAGCTGGATGACCTTGAGCAAATTACTCAACCTCCCACTGTGTCTCTGTAAGATGGGAAAAATAATTAGACTATTTTGAGGATTAAGAAAGATCATATATTTATTTTTTTGGCACTGACAGTAGTAGTTTTATATTTACTGTTATTGTTACGAGTACAGGTCCTCTATAAAACTTCTCTTTCTCTTCTTCCTCTTCATTCTTCTCTTTGACTTATCTAAATAATCTAAAGTAAGATTCCAAAGCTCTGCTTTTTCTGGGTTAGGAGATGAGAGGCTGAAAGACTGACTGTTGCGTGTTGCTATGGATTAAACTGTGATCCCTCCAAATTCATGTTAGGTTGAAGCCCTAAACCCAAAATGTGACTGTATTTGGAGGCAGGTTTTTAGGAGGTACAGCAGCCTCCTTTTACCTGTGGATGATATGTTCCAAGATCCCCAGTGGATACCTGAAATAGCAGATGGTACTGAACCCTATATATACTATGTTTTTTCTTATACACATGTTAACTATGATGAAGTTTAATTTATAAATTAGACACAGTAAGTGTGCTGGTTAATTTTAAGTATCAGCCAGGCATGGTGGCTCATGCCTGTAATCCCAGCACTTCGCAAGACAAAGGAGGCAGGTGGATCACCTGAGGTCAGGAGTTCGAGACCAGCCTGACCAACATGGGGAAACCCTGACTCTACTAAAAATACAAAAATTAGCCGGACATGGTGGCATATGTCGGTAATCCCAGCGACTTGGGAGGCTGAGGCAGCAGAATCATTTGAATCCAAGAGGTGGAGGTTGCAGTGAGCCAAAATCATGTCACTGCACTCCAGCCTGGGCAACAAGAGTGAAACTCCATCACACACACAAAAATAATAATAATTTAGGTATCAACTTGACTGGATTAAGGATTATCTAGAGAACTGGTAAAGGATTATTTCTGGGCATTTTTATGAGGGGGTTTCCAGAGGATACTGGCCTGTGATTCAGGGAACTGACAGGGGAAGACATGCCATCAATGTAGGTAGGCACAATACAATCAGTGGGGGACCCACATGGAGCAAAAAGGTGATTTCCTCTCTCCTGAAGCTGGGATACATTCTTCTTCTCCTGTCTTTGGACATCAGAACTCCAGACTCTTTGGCTTTTAGATTCTAGGGCTTATACCAGTGGCCTGCTTGTTTCTCAGGCCCTCGGCCTTGGACTGAGCCATACTTCTGGCATCCAGCTTGCAGATGGCCTGTTGTGGGACTTCTCAGCCTCCATAATCACGGGCCAACTCCCCTAATAAATCCCCTCTCATATATCTATAATCCTATTTGTTTTGTTTTGTTTTGTTTTTGTTCTTGTCTTTGTGTCGCTCTGTTGCCCAGGCTGGAGTGTGACGGCATGATCTTGGCTCACTGCAACTTGTTTCCTACCAGATTCAAGCGATTCTTGTGTCTCAGCCTCCCGAGTAGCTGGGACTACAGGCGTGCGCCACCATGCCCAGCTAATTTTTGTATTTTTAGTAGAGACAGGGTTTCACCATGTTGACCAGGCTGGTCTTGAACTCCTGACCTCAGGTGATCCACCTGCCTCGGCCTCCCAAATTGCTGGGATTACAGGCGTGAGTGCACTGTGCCCAGCCAGAATGGTGTACATTTTAAATGTATAAATTGTTTATTTCTGGAATTTCCATTTAATATTTTTAGACCACAGTTGACTGCAGGTAACCGAAACCACAGAAAGCAAAACTGTGGATAAGGGAGGACTACTGCAATTGAGGTTATATAAATCCATAAATGTGGGGCCCTAATCTGATAGAACTGGTGGTGCTATAAGAAAAGGAAGAGATCTGTCTCCCTCTGTCCCTCCACCACATGAGGCACAGTGAGAAGGCAGCCATGTGCAAGTCAGGCTGAGGACCCTTACCAGAAACCAACCCTGCCAGACCTTGATCTGGGACTTCTAGTCTGCAGGACTCTGAGAAAATAAATTTGTGTTGTTTAAGCCACCCAGTCTATGGTATTTTGTTTTGGCAGCCCAAGCTGACTAAGACAGATTTTAGTACTGTGAAGTAACAGATACATAAAAATGTGCAAGTGGCTTTGGAACTAGATAATGGGTAGAGGTTGGAGGAGTTTTGAGGTGAATGCT